>NC_000004.12:156497138-156800168 GCF_000001405.40 Homo sapiens | reverse complement strand
ATTTAATCCCCATATTGAAATATTACTACCATTTTGTAGATTAAAACTCAACATATATAGAGTGAAGAGAGTTCTCTTTAAAATCAGACTGCCTCTTGACTGGTTTGGAAAATAGGAGAAAGATCATTGAGAAAGAAACAAAAATTTAAGATCTCTTCTGACCATTTTTGTTTTCCTATTAAAACACCTGTATGCTATTCCTGTTGATTATGATGTCATGGATACTTTGGTAACTTTGAAAAAATGGTGAACTAATTAGAATTTACCAATTTTTTTTAGTAGTGACAATGGTGATAAATATTGAGGGTTAAACTGTAGTGTCTCCACACGGTAATCTATAAAATTCAAATCCAAACAAGAAGCTTTTTTAAAAAAATGTCACCTGGAGTCTAAGAAAAAGTAAAAATATGAATGCAGTCAATATTTTTCTTATCAGTCATATTTCATCAATATTAGCAAAATTACCCAGTTCCATGATGTATCTTAGCAATCTTGTCAGTGCCAAATTTTTCAGAACTGTATTCTTATAGAACCTTGTAAGGCTAAAATTTAGCTAAGAAATAGGAGAATAAAATTGGAAAGCAAGTATTTCTAGTGAATAGGCTGTCTTCTATTAAACACCTCAGAATGTGTCACTCTGGTATGCAAAAGACTCAGAGCATTTTTAGTTTGAAATTATGCAATCTGTGCACAGTATTTGAAATATAGGCACTCCTACAGTAAGTTTGGAGGAGAAAACACAAATCTAAGGACTAATACAATTTTTTTTTCGGCTTTTTGCAATGTGACCACATGTAGGCCACCAAAGGCCTCAGAAAACTGAGGGGGGAATTTCCAAGATGTCTTTGTGTCTTGGCCCCAGGGCAAAGGTCCTGTGTCTGCATAGATGTTACCACTCTAGTTAAGTCAGGTTTTGTGTAAGTGTGAATAAAAGCCATTATGGAAATACCTGGCTGATGCCTTTCCTTGTGCTTCTTCACCACAAGTAATTATTCAGGCAAGAGATCAAGGCTGTCATCTCTTGCTTTAAAGGAGTACATGAATTATCTTAGGTTCTTCCAAGGCAGATTGCTTAAGAAAGCTAAAGTTTATACTAAAAATTTTGTTTTATGGGAAAATAATAGGAAAGACATTGAGGTAGCAATTATCTAAGACTCTAACATAAAATCTGAGGTAGGCATTGGACATAAACGTAGGAGGCTCCAAATCAGCCCAGGCAGCTTCCAATACCTCCTCTGAAATTGGGTTTTTAAATTTGTGTAGCATTGCTAAAGAGGAAGTGCCTTTTTTTCCAGTGGAATAACATTCTGATAGAGTTGAATTTTAAAAGGGCACTTTTCTGCTGGGTACAAGTTAATGAAATAGCATTAAGTGTAATTAGTTTTTTTAGAGAAAGAAATATGCAAGCACTGAATTGTTAGAGAGACAGAGAAACACTGCATGCCAAAACTTGACTTTCAATACCTGAGTGAGGAGGTATTAAAATATATGACACATCCTTTGGATGAGATTCTTGAGAAGCCATCTCAAGCTTTCTGACACCAATATTTTCCTTTCTTTTTGGAATATGATGAGTGATGTTTTGTGGTATCCTAATCCTATTACTGATAAAAGTAATATGAAGAACTCTCACTTCTACCCAGGCCTACAGTGTTTTGTTTTGTGTTAAAGTCAGGGGAATTCTAATAGGATTCCCAATTACGTAAAAGAGGTTCACTTGCCATTCACTGTTTCCTCTACCTTGCTACAGTCTTTATTTGGCATTAAGAGCAATGGCATAATTTCATGTCACTGAGCAATTTGCAGATTTTAACTCTCTGAAAGGTCATAGAGGCTTTTGGTGTGATCTTAGACCTTGCTGTTGTGATGCCCTTTGCATCTGATTTTTACTTCTCTTAAATGAGGTTTAGCCTAAAGCTGCCTCTTTAAGGTTTTTGTTGTTGTTGTTTTGTTTTTGTTTTGTTTTGTTTTGTTTTTGTGACGGAGTCTCGCTCTGTCGCCCAAGCTGGAGTGCAGTGTTGCAATCTCGGCTCACTGCAACCTTCGCCTCCCGTGTTCAAGTGATTCTCCTGCCTCAGCCTCCCGAGTAGCCGGGATTACAGGCGCCCGCCACCATGCCTGGCTAATTTTTTTGTATTTTTGGTAGAGACAGGGTTTTACCATGTTGGCCGGGCTGGTCTCGAATTCCTGACCTCAAGTGATCCACCCACCTGGGCCTCCCTAAATGCTAGAATTACTGGCGTGAGGCACCGCGCCTGGTCTCCTCAAGTATTTTAATGTCGGTCTAAAGGTTTCTTCTTACATAATGAACTGTAACCTAACTAGATGTGTAAACAGACTGTAATCTACTCTTGTAAGGAGTAGCCCAGTCTCAGCCAATCACAGCAGCCGTACTTCAACCGCTCGCAGGTGACCAACTCCAAGCTTGTCCAACCCATGGCTCGCGGGCCCCATGTGGCCCAGGACGGCTTTCAATGCCGTCTAACACAAACTTGGAAACTTCCTTAAAACATTATGAGATTTTATTTTTGTGATTTTACTTTATTTCATTATTGTAGCTCATCAGCTATCGTTGGTGTTTATTGTATTTAATGTGTGGCCCAAGAAAGTTCTTCTTCTTCCAGTGTGGGACAGGGAAGCCAAAAGATTTGACATCCCTGGAACTTTAAACCATGTTCAAATGCAGAGCTGTGACCAATCCAGCTGTTTCTGTACCTCACTTCTGTTTTTTGCGTATCACTTTCCTTTTTCTGTCTTTAAATTCTGTCAGATCACCTGACAGTGCTGGAGTTGCTCTGAACCTATTCTGGTTGAAGTGGGGTGTGGGCGAGGGGTGAGTGTGCTCCTTAATTCACAAGTATTTTTTTGCTCAATTAAGCTCTGTTAAATTTAATTGTCTGAAGTTTTTCTTTTTTTTTTCTTTTTTTTTTTTAGACTGATTGTCGCTCTGTCGCACAGGGTGGAGTGCAGTGGCGCGATCTCTGCTCACTGTAAGCTCTGCCTCCCAGGTTCATGCCATTCTCCTGCCTCAGCCTCCCAAGTAGCTGGGACTACAGGCAGCCGCCACCACTCCTAGCTAATCTTTTCGTATTTTTAGTAGAGATGGGGTTTCACCGTGTTAGCCAAGATGGTCTCAATCTCCTCACCTCATGATCCGCTCTGCTCGGCCTCTCAAAGTGCTGGGATTACAGGCGTGAGCCACCACACCTGGCATTTTTCTTTTAATACTTTCTTCTTTGTCTTGCAAGGTTGTAGCAAATTGTGACTTTGCTTAAAGTAAGCATTCATTTGACTTAGAGTTATATGTAATTTTCTATAAGTTTATATTAAGTTGATTTAAAAAACCAACAGCCTATCCATAGTAATAATGATAGTATGCATCATTTCTCGAATACTTACTATTATATTGGGTTCCTGCTGTAAGTCATCTCATTTATTCTTTTCAGTAACTCTATGCTAAATCATCACCATTTTGCCTAAAAGGAAGTACACTCAGAGAATACAGCTTGGCTGAGGTTCAGAGAAAATAAATGGGAAAAATTATAGTGAAATCCATAATTTCAACTACAGCACAATGCCTCCCAACCAATATTGCTTGAAAAGAACTTACTTAAGTTTTATTTTGAGATAATTGTAAATTGACACCTTTTGTAAAAAAAAAAAAAAAAAAAAAAAAATACAAAGTGGTCCTGTATACTGTCCGCCTAATTTTCCCCAAGGATAACATCTTGCATGAATATATAATAGTATACCACAACCTGGAAACAGACATTGATACTTGGTACAATTCACCAAACTCAATAGGAAATTATGAATAAATAAAAATATAAAACACTATGGGGGTACTAAATAAAAATATTATATAAAAAGATATCATTTATAAGTTAAAAAATGTTTGATTAGTGCATAGTTTTAAAAATGGCTCAATCAAGAGTATCAAGAAGGAGGGTATAATTTTGTATCACTAAATGGCTTTAGAATATTAACTTGGGTAAGGAGGAAAACTTTTTTTCTGAAGTAGGTGATTTTATAATCTTTATCTAAAACTCTGCAGTGTGGTGCAGAACCATCATTGCAGCTTGGAGCACAACATCTATCATAGATTAAAGATTACAAAGTCAAAAATAATACCACAAATCACTCCTCTTGATGTGGGATTCAGAGTAAACGTGTGAAACATAAATAGTCACTATAAATAAATCCATGAATGAGGCTCTGCTGCCTCCACGACAGAGATTAATGAAGTTTTAGGATACTAAGAGCTCAAGATATAATCTACAGCTTTAAACTGATGTCAAGATTCAGAACTGATTGCTTTAAAAGCCCTTCATTTTTCTAGAAAAGATTGATGACTGTAGTGCAGCTAAATCTCTCCCATGCAAAATTTATGTAATTTGGTTCCAACAGGTATCTTATATGGTAGTTTTACATATTAAATTTAACTATACAATATGTAAAAGTTAAACTGTTTTCAAAGCAGTCCACATTAACACATGATATTTTCAAAGTATTTCTTAATTTTAGAATTCATTGGAAGTCTGCTCATGAACATATTTGGGGTTTGTAGCTGGACCATTAGTTAACTTGAGTAGTTCAGGTGGAGAATCATAAAAATTATGTACATATTGGTAAACATTTAATTTTAATTTTACCACTCATCATTTAGGGCCTGTACTTTTTTTTTAAACAGGGATTTGCCAACTGGAGTTGTGTTGTATTTCTTCCAAAAATTATAGCCACAATGCCTCAATTATGACTTTCAGTTTGGTTTTCTTTGAGTTAAATTGAAAACTTAAAGATACCTTTTAATGCAATCTAAGCTCAGAAATCCTCCATGATTTTATGAGGCTTTCCTTCCTGTATTTCACAGTTATCTCTCTCATACCTGACTTAACAGCAGTTTTTTATAGTAACTCATTTTATATGGAGTCCTTCCAAGGCATTCGTCTAAATTTTCAAAGAAGCAATAACTCATATTTAATTGGGTTACATAATATTTGAATAACTTAGTAATTAAAACAACAGGTGCTAGTGATATAAATACTTTTGGGAACAAATACAAGTGTCTCTTGGTAAGTGTAAGATTTAACTGCTGGAAACAGAAAGGATGCCAGTAAGCAGTAGTGTTCAGTGAGTTGTCAGTGTCAACAGTCAGTATGCTTCACATGCATAGGAGAAGTGGTTAAACCAGGTCAGCGATGGCAATAGCTGCTGTCCTTTGTCCTTTGTTCTGTTTCCATCTTGATACTGCATGATATGTCATTGGAAAATCGTAAATTAAATGCATGCGGTCAATAGAGAGGTGATTGGTAACGTGTCTTGGTATATATATATCCAAGTAGCTAGTAATATGCTTGACAAAATGTTGATATTTAATATATTTTTGTTCTCTTCCATGATTTTTTTCTATAATTAGCTTCACTAGTTTTCAAGCTATTTTTCTATGTAGTTGCAGGCTTCTTTGAGTTTGAAGGAGTGAGTGTTCTACTAGAATGATACCCTTTAATAGAATTCCAGATGAAGGTATATAAATAGATATTTTTATCTTATTAATAAAAAGCAAAAGGTCTTGTAAAAAATATTACTCACCAAAGTAAAGGAAAAGCAGAGTTTCCTTTTCTTCCTGTCTTCCTTCCTCCCTCCCTTCTTTTTTCTTCCTTCTTCTCTTTCATTCTTATTTTTCTTTCTCTTCTTAAATGCTTCCCTATCTTAAGCTACTTCTTGGTTTGTGTTACTTTGAAAGCTAATATTTCAAAATTTTGTCCAGATTTCCCTACTCTAATGCTTCTTTAGGAAAGAGGCAAACTTTTTTGTTTTTAAATTCTTCTGTAAGTTAAAACAACTCCTTAGTTAAAATCACACATTCTATTTTCTAATATATACCATGCTCTTCCAATATAGAGCATGTCCTGATTTAAGGAGAAAGATGGTTGAATGTGTAAGCTGTAAGCAGCTAAGCTGCTTCAGCTTTCCCAGTGTGTCAGCAACGCCAGGGCTATGAAAAGATCAAGCTGAAGAAACACGGTTTAAAGTTATCTCAGGTTTATTTTCCTTACAAGCTGCCATAATCCACACATAGTGCGCAGTCAAAGGTGCTGGAATAGGACAATGTTTTATGATACAAATTATATCATCCATGTTAACAGTAGTACTTACTCTTCTAAGACCTTGGATGCTACTAAGGTATTAGTAGCTCCTCAGTTACTGACCTTAACCAAGATCCTTTACTGAATCTCACTGCAAGGGTGTTGTGTTCTTATAACCTTGAGTGCTTCACATTTGGCTTGAATTCCCATCCTACCATGAATCTACCTATATAAACCTGGGCAGTTTTTTTTTTTAATCCAAAAATGTGAATGACAAAAATTTCTGCCATATATTATCATGAGGATTACTATGAAATGCTTAGCCCAGTGTTTAGCATGTGGTAGTCAACAAGTATGTGTTACCTTTGTTTTAAGGTCAGGTTTATTGACATGTTCTGATTCCAGGCCACTGCCCCCCTGATTGGTATTTAAAAAATTTTTTTGCCCAAGACCCCACTATAAGGACAAATTTTAAAGTGTGATCATGTATACACACACATATAACATTTTAAAGTGTTTTATATATATATATATATATATATATATATGCACATAATTCATATGTATTATAAAATAGTACTTAACCTTACTATATGAAATTGTTTTTTTTTCTCAAGAATGCTGGTCACAATGCACTAAATTGATTTCACAACTCCACTAAACATGTCACAACGTGAGTTTGAAAAGTCTTAGATTATAAAAGATGTATCATTTGTACATGAAAGAGTATGCTCTTTGGTCATTTTACGTCCCTTTCTGGGAAAAGATTGTATAATAACACTAAAATATGTAAAGATTAATTCTTATAGTCCCCAAAATTGATATTAAAAATAGTTTCCATTATAACCTGCTACATCTAAAATGGACTTTAGAAAATCTAGATTTTAAAGTCTTCTATCAACATTTGACTCCTTTTAAGAATTTGTGCTTGATGATAGCTTTTCAGAATTTTACTGTTTAATGAAGATAGGAACTATTTATTGAATGTCTACTTGTATTCTATGATATTAAAATAGACAGCTTGTTGAAGTTATGCCCTGTGGTTGAGTTTGCTTCCCCCTTATTTGAAGAACTCATCAATCTCTAGTACAGGAATTTCAGGTTCAATTAGTAGTTTCTGATTCAACACTCCAGAGTCCATCTGTCCCCTGTAACTGTTTGGTGCCAATGGCAATATGCGGAGGTGAAGGTGAGGGTTTCCTTCATACCCTCTGGAAATCTTTAAGTTTTCAGGGAAACAAAAGAAGAGGCAAGAGTGATGACTTATGGATGGCTGTCTCATTGTAGTGCTTATAAAATGCAGGTGTGTGAAATTTGTTCTCTGCATTATAATTGGAAATGCAGATTAAAGGTTTTGGAAACCACAGTTATTCATTGTTTAGATAGGTCTGTAGACTTCCTGAACTATGCACACTACGTGGAATTGGCCTTTAGTGGTATTTGCTTTGTGTATTAATGGCATTTCTGCCTGAAGATAATGGCATTTCTGCCTGAAGATAGTGTATTTTTGGTAGAAATAACTTGTCATTCAATTGAAACATTTTGCTTGTGAGATGCTGGAGTTTCAAAATATTTATCTGCTCATGTATGCACACCTGTTTCCCTGCTTTTCTGTTTTCTGATCTTGACACGTTTGTTTTTGTTTTTAAAAATGTGCTCTGTGATTTTTTGTGGAATGTGACTTTTACATTCTAACTCAATTCCAAATTGGCTCAAGTGTCCCACCAATACACTACTTGTTTAATTCATATTATGAATAAATTATATTGACAGTTGTCTTTTCCTTCATATATTTGGATTGTACCTCCAGTGGAACCTGTATTTTTTACACTTTTATCCAAATTGTATATTATATAGATATTAGTATTTATTTAATCACTTTCCTAACCACTCACCCACCAGATTCAGTGTGCTACTTTTGAATTTAGAACATTAAGAATTTCAGTTCACTGGTCACATTTGTTTTAAGCAGACAAAGATCCTAGGCGTTTTCCTTGGACCTTGGGATTGACAGAAATTTTTTACAGATGTTAACCATGGTGAAATTGCTTTTTAAATATCCCTGTTGATCTCTTTGAATAATAAACGGGAGGATTTCATTAGATATATCAAAGTTTCCAGGCTTTCCCGAAATATATTTGAAAGTTCATGGCCAAATGGAGATTAGGTTTTCAGGCCAATCCTAGGCAAGGTGTTAACATTGCTGTTACCACACTCATATGTATTACTCAGTGAAGACATGTTTTTAATATGTTTTAAGATTTGTCTTTGTAATGCATCTTTGTAAGGTTACCACAACTAATGTATTTTATTACTCTTAGGGAAATTTCAGTGTGGTACGTGGGATGCTAAATAATTAAAGCTAAATAGTTAACATGTAGGAAACAAAATAAATACATATAATTTTGTTTTAAAATTTAAATATGTAAAATCTATGTTTGCACTGCTTTGTATTTAGCAGATATTCCCCCAGTTAATGTGTGAATCAGTTCTTTGAAATTCAAGCTTTATCTTAAATAATTCTTCTTTATTAGGTCATTTCAGTGCATTCTTTACATTATTTCCTCTTTTTTTTTTTAAACTGTCCTAAAGCTGTTGTTACTATATGCTTGATTAAAAGAAAATTTATTTTTGAGGTTCTCTGAGCTTGGATATTTTAAAGCATGTCAGACTCAACATAATCATTTCTGAGTTTCCACGTTAGTAATAAATACACGATAAGCTGGATATCAACAATAATAATTGTACTCTTTTACAGGAATGATGGCAATTCATCCAAATGTCTTGAGATCAGAGCCTGTCTTAACCTTTGTATTTTCACTTTATAGTGGGGTACCTAGGACATAGTAAGCACTCTTAAAATTTTAAGTGAATGAATGGATGATAGATCCATCTTTCCTTGGTGTTCTGGTGGCAGAGACAAATGTTCCTGTGACAGCAAGCAGCACAAGGTCATTAAGTAGTACTGGCTGGGAAAATGCCAGGCTTTGCATTGTATTGTGGTAAACCAAATTCCTGAAGCCCAAAGCCAGAGAGCCGCAGCCCTAAGCTCCATATGAATGTTGATCCTAGGAAAAATCCCTGGTGGTTTGCCTGAGGAATCATTGGCACCTTCAAGATGTGAAATTGATGCCAATGTAGGATGTAAAATGCAAAAGCCAGGCAGGAAAAAAGATTCAGATCATGTGGAGTAATAAAAAACATCCAAGTTCCTACCCTGTGCCAGAGGAACTTAATTTATTGGCTTGCCCCGTTCTCAGTATGGCATCACAATAGCTGTACCTAATTTGTATTGTGCCTTTCATGTTACAGAATATTTCACATGCACAAACATGTTTAGTGAATAATTAGGATGAAAAAATCTCAATAAATAATTGGTATAAGTTTTGGAGTTCACATCTTGAGGTTAATATTTTTGTTGAGAAAAATTGGGATGGATAGAATTTGCAATAGACATACATTGTTTGCTGATGATCAATTTAGGGGGAAGATTGTCTTGTGTTGTTAATATTTAAACATGTTTATTCTATCCAAATTCATAAAGTTTCAACATTTGGAGAAACCTTTAAATTGTTTTTGCTTATCTTCCATCTGATTCACAATCTCCTTTCCTCCCAAACAAAATGACTTTGTGACCATGGCATAAAATATAAGAATTCATTGTCTCTTAGCTCTTAAGTCCATTCCATTTTTAACTAATATTGTTTTCAGAAAGTTCTTTCCTGTATTAAACAAAAATCTTTCTTCTTTCAACTTCCTCTCACAGGTCCTTATCTTTCCTTTGAAGCTACTTGCAATAATTTTATGACCTTCACCATTGCTAATAATGCATGCTTATTATGTTTTAAGATACAATTATGTGCATTATTTTATTTGAGCTGCAAAACAACCCATTAAATTAGATAGCTTATGTGTTATTATCTGTCTTACAGATACATACACTAAAATACAGAGAAAATAAATAATTGGCCAGTGATCACACTCATAAAATGATAAATGGTGAATCCAGGGCCTGTGCCCAGGTCTTCTGATTTAAAATTCCATGTTCTTGCCATGATACTATGTTTCCTCAAAGTATTCTTTCTTTTTTTTTTTTTTTTTTTTTTGAGATGGAGACTCACTCTGTCATCCAGGCTGGAGTACCGTGGCATGATCTCGGCTCACTGCAAGCTCCGCCTCCCGGGTTCACGCCATTCTCCTGCCTCAGCCTCCTGAGTATCTGGAACTACAGGCACCCGTCACCATGCCTGGCTAACTTTTTTGTATTTTTATTAGAGATGTGGTTTCACCGTGTTAGCCAGGATGGTCTCGATCTCCTGACCTCATGATCCGCCTGCCTCGGCCTCCCGAAGTGCTGGGATTGCAGGTGTGAGCCACTGCACCCGGCCAGTATTCTTTCTAATTTTTAGTGATGTCTCATAAAGTCTTTACTTCTTCAGATTATATATCCTCAGCTTCTTTAGTTTCTCGATTTTGTCAGCCACTTCTCAAGTGACCTGATTTTCAATAAAAGCAGCTAGATGATGAGTGCTAGTTGGTGTGTGTGTGCATGTGTGTGCACACGTGCAGATCTTGAGAAAAGTTCATAGACTTCTGGCTGGTATTTATAAAATATTTTGTAGTTACACCCAGTCTTTGAATGCCCCCGTACACACAGCTTATTTTTTGTTTAGCTGAGTCTATCATCTTAAGTAAAATTTTATGTATTTTCATAAACAAATTTGTACATCATGTGCCTTCTCAGAGGCAAAGAGTTTTCAAGTGAAGAATTATAGGCCTAACTCTTTATTTTCTATGTTACTATTTTGTCAAACCAGAAAAATGTATTTTTTCTAGGCAGCTGTTTAAGAATCATAAGTTTTTCTGTCTGCACTCCGTATTTGATTAGAGGGAAAACCTCACATCTTACCAACTTCATTCATTCTGGCTAGCACAGAAAATAAATGTTTTCAGATTGTAGCAGTGGATTCAATAAAACAAAAGTATTTCCAGTGTTCACTTAGAAACTGCTTTGTCCAGTAGATACAGGATTATACCAGGATCTAAATATCAGAGGAAGAGGTTACCCTTGTGTCAACAATTATATAATTCTATACTCAAAACCCAAGAACAAACTAACCACTTCCTAAATTATGAATAGCAGTAGCACAAGCTGAAACCACAGTTGATCAGTGCATATAAAACCAGTTTTCCTAGTACTTGTATATAATTATTTTCATAATATTTTGCACAAAATAATCAGAAGTCAGAAAATATTTCTGCATCAGTGAATAAGGAAGACATTTAGCAAGATAAATTCTTTTAAAGTAACCATTTCTGAAAAATGGTTTTAAAAACGGCATTGTATTTGTTGCATGAGCATTCATATTAACCAACTTAAATAGTCCTCTTTAAAACTGATTTCTCAGAAACTCTACTGCTTACACTGAATGTTTCAAGTCCCTTGAAGCTAATACTTTGAACCAAATACCCTTTCTTTGAGGCTAATTGGTTAGAAGATGATTAAAATTCGGATTTGAATTTCACCAGTTTTCCACATTGAATAAGAAGCAGCATTGAATTCATTGTGAAGACAGCCAATTGCTCAGTTCAAGTAAGGATTTTTGGCCCTGCTAAGTTTCTGATACTGAAATTTAACTTTTTAATTATTATAAACTTTTATCAACTTGTCTTCAAAAATTTCTAAAATACCGACTCATGAATTTAATCTCTCTTAGCCAAGTTCTTAAAGGGCCTTAGTAACAAAAGTTGCCGTTGATCTTGGTAGCTTTTCGGGGTTCTGGAGATTCTCTGTGGACACCTAGGCATTCTTCCTTCAGCTTTCCTGTGTATTTGTCTTTCTTTGCTCTCAATGTGTTCTGTGTGTGTTTTTTTTTCTCCTATCACTGCAGCATTTGCTTAGTTTGACTTCTTATCGGTGAGACTCCTTGTCCGAGATTATTGGCCAGCACACTTGATTTAAGAACGCTCTGGAAATACTCAGCCACAGAATTATGCCCCCACACCATGAATGTTGTCCATGAATGAAATGCTGTTGTCATTCTCTAGACCTGTTTTAGAGTCATATGTTCTGTAGTGCTACTGTCCAGACATTCGGCATCTTCTTTGTCTATCTTCTCTACTCCTCTCCTAGACTGTTACCTTACATTTTCCCTCTCCTCAAGCCTCTGGCATTATTTCTCCCATCCTCACTCTTAGATGGTAATTTTTTTTCTCTGTCACAAGGAGATTACAAGCAATCAGAAAAGGACTTCTGAACACTTTCCTCACGCTACTTACCTGCATGTCTCACTGGCCCTCAGCAACTGACTTTCCTCCCAGTGACCCTAGGCGAACATTGTTTGTCTTCCTTACTCCATCTCATTCATCTCTTGACCACTCAAGTGTGCCTCCTGCACTCTTCTCTCTCTCTCCTCCTCCTTCTTCTTTTTTCCATTGGCCATTCTATTGGTTCATTACCCTCAGCACATCAATAAGGCTATTACTTCTCCCATCTTTAAAGGAATATGTGCTTCTCCTGATCCCACATCGTCATCCAGCTACCACGCATGTTGTCTCCTCTCTTCTCAGCAACTGCTCACGACAGTTATGTTGCATTCACTGCCCTCTTTTTATTCTCTTCTAAACTCATGCTCATCATATTTTTTGCCTCATCATTTGTCAGAATCGCACTTGGTACTCCATGATGACGTATTGCTAAATTCAGTGGAAAATCCTCAATCCTCCTCTTATCAGACCTATCATCAGTGGTTGACACAACTGATTATTCACTTCTTTTCACTGAACACTTTGACACTGGTATCCAGATCAGCACTCTCTCCCTGTTTTCCACCTATCTCTCTGGCCACTCCTCAGTCCTCTTCACTGGTTCCTCCTTCTCTCTCTCTCAACTGGAATTATGACAATGTTTCTAGATTCAGTCCCCTTTTTAATAGAGATCACTTTATAACCATGGCACCTCTTCCTAATAACATTCATTTGACAATCTTGTCCAGTCTCATGACTTTTAGTAATATCCATAAACCTCTGGATCTCAAATTTATGTATCTAGCCCATGTAACCTAGAATCTTCTCTTGAATACCCACACACCTCTCAATCTTTCCATTTGGATTATTGAAACTACTTCTAAGTGGCCTCCCTGTTGCTACCATTGCCTTCCTGCATTCTATTTTCAGCACAGCAGTGAGTGTGATCCTTTTAAACATAAGGCAGATGATATAACTCATTTCCTTGAAACTCTCCAATAGCTCCCAACTACAGTTGCCAAAGTGAACAAATGAAAACACAGGATTGCCTAGTTTTATATGTGAATTTCAGCTAAACAATGAATGATTTTATAATTTTGGGGCCATACTTATACTAAAAGATTATTTATTGTTTATCTGAAATTCAAATGTAACTGGGCATCCTCTGTTTTATCTGGCAGCTCTACTCCCCAGTCACCCAGAGTAAATTGCTAATCCTCACCGTGACCTACAGTGTCCCCTTGTAGTCCTATTATCTCCAACCTTTGGTCCAGCCACAGCGTCCCCTCCTTGTCATTCCTTGAGTTGAATTTACCTAACATACTTCCAAACAGATTATTTGCCCTGATATTCCATATTCATGGGATAATCTTCCTCACATAGCCCCACGACTTCAAGCGTCAACTCCTTAAGGTTTTGCTTGCACGTCAGCTTCTCACAGAGGCCTTGCCTGTCATTCTTGTCTTCTTCCTGCTTTACTTTTTACTTCTTCCTGCTTTTACTTTTTTCCTGCAATACACTTTACCATCTAACATTGTATGTGCATTATTTATGTTGTGCATGGTCTGTTTTTCTCCAATAGAATATGTATTACATAAAGGCAGAGATATTTACTTCTTTTGTTCACTGCTTGATCCTCAGCACCTAGAAGAGTGTCTGGCTCGTATTAGTTGCTCAGTATGTATTTATTGCAAATGAATATATATTACATAAATGGTGACAAGATAGATAATCAAGAGCCTATTAGTGTGGTTATGAATGATCATATTATGTTGATTAGGGTAATGGTGATTAGTTTCACAGTACCGTATCTGAAATCAGCTGAAGCAATGAAAGTTTTAGGGAAATAAAGATGATTTCAGAGCATTGTACACTTAGGGCAAAGCGATACAGAATAGAGGGGCAGGGTAAAGAACAAGGCAAAGAAAAGAATGTAGGAAGATATTTTTTCAATTGACCTTGAACTTTGTGGGAAGATATTGATCAACTGACCTAGAACTTTATTAAATCTCACTGTGACTTTGCACCTCCTGAGTATTCTAGCCCTGCCCAATGTAGACATTAGATTCTACATGGAAAAAAATGTGCATTATTTTAATAGTCCCGTAAGTTGATCCTAGTTGATAGAATTTTACCTTTTGTAACTGCATGAATGTTACACTTTGAAGAGTCGGTCATCTCTCACCTGTACTGACAATGCTGTTCAGTCACCCCTTTATCTGATGCTGGCTGCTCCCTTTCCAGACTGTTGTGCACCCAGTAGATTCCTTGCATATCAGATTGAGAACTGATGGATCTACTTTTAGAAGTTTATTAAACTTAGGGCCGGGCACAGTGGCTCACATCCGTAATCCCAGCACTTTGGGAGGCTGAGGCTGGCAGATCACCTGAGGTCAGGAGCTCGAGACTAGCCTGGCCAACATGGTGAAACCCCATCTTTAAAAAATACAAAATACAAAGTGCAAAAATTAGCCAGGTGTGGTGGCGGACCCCTGTAATCACAGCTACTTGGCAGCCTGAGGCAGAAGAATCCCTTGAACCCTGGAGGCAGAGGTTGCAGTGAGCCAAGATTGCGCCACTGTACTCCACACACCAGCCTGAATGACAGAGTGAGACTCCGTCTCAAAAAAAAATTCAGAACAGTAAGATCTTAGCCTGGGTGTCCTTAGTCTCTGCCTATGCAGAATGTGAATCATCCTGTTTGCTTTATAGTTTATATCACAGTGGCAATCATATCCCTGAGCTGTTAGGGATCAAAGTTTCTACATTGTTCTCATGTACACTAAAAATTATTGAGAATAAAATGGACCACTGTACATACATAAAGTGTAATCATTTATTTAACAGCCTTCCAATTATGAACATTTGTTTTAAATTTTATTTTTAATTTTCTCTATTAATAATGCTACAATGACTATCCTTGGATTATACTTCTGATTATTTCCTTAAGATAAAAATTCTGAATATGGAATTACAGGATCTGAAAAAATGGACACTTTTAAGACTGCTTGTGGAAAATATTGTTGAATTGTCTTACAGAAATACTTTGACATTTTAGTCTTCTTTACAGTTCATGAGAAAAATATTTTTGCCCCGTCTTGATCTACAATTGACATTAACTCTCCTCTGTCTTCTGATTTCTTTTATTCATTGGCCTTCTTTTCTAATTGCAAATATACACGTATTTCTGTACTTATTATATTAAGCTTTTTTCTAATCTTTCTTCTCATAAATCTATGATTCTTTCTTATTTTTTTCTCCCTGCCAAACTTAATGAAAAAGTTCTACTTGCTTTCTCCATTTCACTGCTTTTTAACGGCCCCCTTTCTTCCTTTCTTACTTCGATGAAACTTCTCTATTCCTAAGGTCACAGAACACCACCTGTGGAATAGCTACAGTGGCCTACTTTTACTCCTCTTTCTTGTTGATCTTTCCATTACTTTGATGTTATTCTCCCTCTTCTACTCCTCAAAACTCTCTTCTCCTTGGGAGGAAAAATCACTAAGACCTCCAGGCTCTCTTCCCGACCCTTAGATTGATCTATTTTGAGACACCAGTGCTGGTTGATCCAGTGCCTTGGCCATTGGTCTAAGTATGGGGAAATCCCATTTTCCTGTCTTCTATCCTCTTTTCTTTTCATGTGTGCTCTTAGCTCATGGCTTTAACATTTGACATTTGTATATGTTAATGATTATCTTTCTCTATTCCAAGTGAGTCCTCTATATTTAATGCCACAAAAATGTTTGCAGTTGTCTGCTGGATATATGCGTGTCAATACACCTCCACTTATTATAAATTGACCCAACCTGAACTTTTCCTTCTTTCTTACCAATTTTGCCTGTATTACATAGTTATGTCACTGTTAATGCATTCCCTGAAGCTAGAATCATTTAAAATTAAGCATATCTCTTCTCTCCCTGATTCCCCATCCCACCAGCTACCAATCCTGTTGGTTCTACCATGGTCATGTACTTTGCCACCCTTCTTTTCATTTGTTTTCCTCAATGGTGGTAATCAATCAGATCATAAAGCATACTCTTTTTAGCACTTCATTAATATTCTGTCAGATCCTGAATACTATTGGAGATCAAAATATCCAAAAGACATCAAGATTTGGCCCCACCATGAAAGAACTTCGAGGCAAGTAGGAGGGACACGTACAACAATTTCAATTTGATGTAGTGCTAGACATATGAACAGAATGGTGGATCACAAAGGTCGACCAGCTTAGAGGTAGTCGTGTATATATAGAGAGAGGTCTCACTAGTGGAAGCCTCCTGGAGAAGCTGAGTCTTTATTAGTGGGTAGTGATTAGCCATGTGACAAGGCAATAAAAGCAGTTATTATTAACAAAGGGCAACATCAGGAGCAAAGGTTCAGATGCCAAAGCCTTGTTCATGGCTCCCACCAGAGTCTGCACACCCCCTTCTCCCAACCCAAGGCACCTCCTCACCTAAAATAGAAGTAGAAAGCCAGAAAAATTAAACTTGTATGTATCCCACCTTCCTTAACATCTCTTTTGACTCTTGTACTGCTTTGTGATTAAATCCAGATTCCATAGCATGGCACACACAAAGCCTTCCCAATCAGACCCCAATTCATTCCTGCAGCCTCACCTTCCACCATCTACTCTCCCCCTAATAGCAATGCTTTGTCACAGTCTTCATCTTTTTCTTCACCCAACACCATTTTTTTCCAACTCAGTTTCTTTGTAAATATCTAAAGTGCTTCTCCCTTCTAATCTATATAATAATTACTTTCTAATTCTCTAAGCTCTAGATTAACTTTGATCTCTTCTTTGTATCACCTCCTTAATTCTCTAGGCAGAATTAATCACACTCACAGCACTTGGGTTTTTACTTCCGTTATAGTCATTACCTAAAGGACACAGGTTTTTCCATCAAGAGATACGAACCTCACAATGGCTATATTATTCATATTCTTCATTTGTTGTGAGCACGTGACAGGAGTATAATATAGTCTACTGAATGATTTAACTTTTTATCTAACCCTGTTTTCAGAGCCATATCTTGCTTGTATCAATAGAAGAAGCCTTTTCAGGTGTGTTTGAGGTGACCGTACCAACTTTTCACAAAAATATTCTATGTTCTCTGTTGCCCCTGGTGATCGTTTTGACCTGCCCAGAATTCTGACCGTGAGACACAATCTCATTTTAGTGTGGTGACCGACATGTAAAAACATGACCAAAGAACATATAACTGTTTATGCTTTTATTTTTTGAAAGTGTTCAGATCTGTGCATGAGTACTAAAGATTTTATGGCAGAATAGGGATGTCACAGAGTGATTTAAAAATGTAAAAAAAATGCCCAAACACTTCACAAAATAATTATCATTTATATTTTTCTCCATTGTTGAAATAGGAACGGCATGCTAACTAGTTACTTTACAGAAGTTTCTTTTAATGTAACACCGTACACTGTAATTAAGATACCAGTGACATGGTGGGCCTCAGAGTTGAAATCCTGCATTTTGCATAGGATTTTTTGTTGGTTTCATTTCATATAAAGATTTTATAGGCAAAGAATATGAATTCAGAAAACCGACATAGGATAAGTGAGCAGCCAAGGGTATCATTATGCTTATTTTTTAAGTTCTTTAGCACAGAGGTATTCGTAGCCATAAAGATTAATTTGCTGATGTGTAATGCCCATTTCTCCCTCCAGAACAACTACTGAATATAAATCTGTTTTAGAAGAGAAAGAAGTCTGTTTCAGAATTTTCCTTGTAGGGTTGGACAAGCTCTGATTTGCCACATCAGTCTAGAAAGAATGTTGGGTGGAGATGTCATTGAACGCTGCCTAATGAGGTCATGCCACTCCATGTAACACAGACCAACATCAATCATGAGCTATATTTTTTAAAATAATTATTTATCTTTGCTAAACTTGGTACAACTTGGGTAATTAAATATATAATAAAAATGTGTATGATAATCCCTAAATATGTATAGTGCTGAATTGTTTATTAAATTTTTAAAATATGCTATTTTGCTTAATCCTTATACCAGTTTTCCTAGGTAGGTGGAATCATCCCTCCTTTGAATACCTGTTCCTACAGACACACACATAAATGAGGTGTTCACCATGTAATTTTGACAAACGCCCCATTTTCTATGGCTGGTAGGTATGCCTCCCCTACCCTGAAGAAGAGAGTACTGTTTGCATTGTCAGCAGTAGGAGAGTTAGTGAGTGCCTTCTGACAGGATAAAATGTACCTGGGAGGGATGAATGGCAGGTTGCAGGAGGCATACTGCATTAACCGAGGCTTGTGAAATCTGTACAAAGCCCTTCCATTGAGTTCCACTGTGAATAATCTATAGAATGTTTAAAATAAAGGCCATTTTTTAAGTTTGAAATTTAAAAGCAGGATATTTTTCTAGAAAAGTAATTGGTATTTTTACTAATACTCTATTGACCATTTGTTGTAGAATGTGTAAATTTCTGTTATTTAATTCAGACAACAATGGCAAAGGCATTGTTTAACAGGGAGACCAGTTAGAAGACTGTTTCACATGTTGGCCTGAATTGTAAAGTGGCAGCAATGGAAGTAGGGAAAATGGTCAGATTCCAGACATAGTATGAAGATTGAGCCAAGATAACTTGATGTGGGATATGGAGTGTAGCACAGAAAAGAGAGGAGCAAAGTACGACTGCAAATTACGGAATTGGCATTTACTGAAATGGTAATAATGTGTTGATAAGAAATAGGAATTTTCTGGTAGTCCGCGTATAAATGATATGCAATGCTTTGAAACTATAGAAGATCACCAAGGGGAAGCATGTAGACAGAAACTAGAAAAGGTCCAAGCAGAGATCCTTGGGACACTCCAGCATGTAAAAAGAAGGTGATAAGGAGGAACCAGCACTCAGAGCTAAGGAGAAGCATCTTGTTAGGTAAAAGAAAATCTGCAGAGCACAGTGTGTGAAAAGCCACTTTCACACACTGATTGGTCAGTTAGTAAGACTGAAAAAACAGACCATTGGATTCAGCCATGTGGGGGGGTCATTGCTGACCTTTGCATACATTCTAATGGCTTCCCCTGAATTAGCTCATTTTTCCCCTCAAAGCAGTTCACTGGGGGATTTTTCTGTTGCCCTCTCAGTTTCAGCTACTTAACACTCTTTTTATACTGTCAAGACATTTTAAAGTAAATAACTCTGTACCCTTATTTCTTACTCCAAAGTAAGGCCTTCCACTCAAGGCACATACAAAGCTAGAATGAAGTTGAGTGTATTATCCAACTATTTAACTTATTGAACATATAATTGACAATGTCTACCAATATAGCCACTATTCCTGAGCTAGATTTCCACAAAACATTCCACGATTTCCCTTAATGGTGGTTGAGTGATACATTGAATAAATATTGTACTGTAGGATAAATTTCTGTAAGAAAGTGTCTTCAAAGATTTTGGGTTTGAGGTATATATTCTTTCATGTTTTGCAGTGAAGGTGTGTTTTTCTTCCAATAGTTCTTAGTTTACATTTTCTTTCATTGGAAGTTCATCACTGTTAGGCGTTATCTTGAGTATTATAACAAAGCAAATCCACAAGTATTCAATATAAGATTAGGAAAAAAATTCCTGCGATACTTTGTTGTCAAACACTTGCCACTGATAGACGTTATTTTAGCTTTTAAGGCCTGTCACATTGTTTATTCAGAGGAATTGTTTTTCAAATTTTAGTAAAAAAAAAAAAAAAAAAAAACCTTAATTTTGGCTTCCCACAGATGCCATTGTGGAAAGCATTCTTAGTACTATGTTATTTAGTCATCCCATGGAATTCTAGTTTTCCACATTGATTATTACTTATAACCCGCAGTTTGACCTAGGAAGTGGGA
This sequence comes from Homo sapiens, assembly GCF_000001405.40. NCBI lineage: Eukaryota > Metazoa > Chordata > Mammalia > Primates > Hominidae > Homo > Homo sapiens. The sequence continues at coordinate 156,779,974 of NC_000004.12, read as the reverse complement.
AACTGTGTATTGACTCTGACTCACCAGCCAACAATGAGCCTGCTCTGTGGTGGAGTTGACTTCTGTGGAGACCTTCAAATCTAAAGTGCTTGCACTAGGGTGAATTTTTTTCTTTAGTTTGTAGACCACCAGTGCTTTAGGTGAGAAGGTGTTGAGAGTAACAGTGTTTTAGTTTGTAAATCTGGTTAGATAGTAATGGTTCTCCAGTTTCATGATGACGGGAAAAGTGAGTCCGTAGCAGTTGTTTCATCTATCAAGTTGGTAAGAAGGTCTACTTAGTAAATAAACATTACTTTTATTTAAGACAACACTTTGGGCAAAATTAGCCATCTCTTTTTTCATATATCCATTCTTCTCAGGAAGACTTCTGCTCTCCGGGGTTTTTCTGAAACCATGAAACTCATGGCCTTTGAAGGCCAGTTGCAGGTTTGAGCCTTAAAATGTATTGCTTTTAAATGCTGGCTCATACGCTTTTCATACTGGACTGTTGCTGTGATGGGTTATATAGATATGTCAAGTTTTATTCAATTGTCATGCTCTTTGAATAAGAACCCCTCAATTTTAAGCCTTGATGTGAATATAATTGGCCACCTTCCCTAGGATTTCTCACTTAAATATATAATCTGCATTACTCACACCATATTAAAACATCTGTTCTTGAGTAGGAATGCAAGCATTTGCTTTTCATTGCCGGCTTAAAAATAATTTAAAAACATGACCCAGATAACTTTTTGAATGAATTCGGATAAGAACATAGGGAAAGGCAAAGAAGCGTGTTTAAATGAATTGTTTCAGGACATTCTTGTGTCTTTACAGAACCTCCCGTGAGTTGTTCCTGGCAGGCATTTGTGTCTGCATGCCCTGTCTGCTGCTTAGGCTCTTTAAAAGTAAGACCTCTGTACAATATATCAGTTTGACATTACATAAATGAGATTGGAGACACCTTTAAGAAGTGATGTTACCCAAGGCTGGACATTTATTGTCTTCTCTTAAACACCTGATCATTTTATAATATTGTTTTATTTTTAACTCCGACAATAAAACCTAATCTGCATTCCTAACCTTTTGTTAGGTATGAATGAATTGAAAACTTTATCAGTTTGAAGTGTACTATATGCAGTTGACTGGGAAAGTTGCAACATAAATCTTTGTAGGCCCTAATAGTTTTGCAACAGTTGCTATGCTACTCAAGGTAAACATTTATATGTGTGTATTTGTCCAAGGAAGATTCATTTTAAGTGTGTTTTTAAAATTGCACTGGCCACAAAAATCCTAATAAAATGACAAGCTATGGTTTTTTAGAGGTAAGTAATGACTGATTGTGAAATTATAAGTAGTTCAGATAGTACTATTCCAAACAGGAAGTCAGCTTTTCTTTTTTCTAAAAAAGGGGAAAGATGTTAACAAGTGCAGAAAATATTTAAGGTAGCCATAATAAAATACAAAACAGTAAAACACTGATTTTTGAAAAGAACAGTGGAAAAGTCAATAAGAAAACTTAACTTTTGCAGCCAAACTTGCTGTCTTGAGCTTGTTCCTATGGCTATGATTTTGTCTGAACTCCTGGGCTGCCAGTTATTTTTCATTAATAAAAATAGAAATATATTTGTTTTTCAGTAATTCTTACATACTAAGTTCACTTTTTTTCTGGTCCACATTCACCAGGATTTGTGTGATACTTGTTTGGTTACTTGTGTGATTCATAATAGCAGATTCTCGTTTTGGCAAGAGAAAACTCTCTTCTATGATGCAGTATACTTGGCTTCTCACAAAGGCAAGCATTTTCTCTTGTTTTGTTAATAGTGCTCACCTCACAGGTTTTTACTTTTGTTCATTTGCCTTATTTTTTATTTTTTTATTTTTTATTTTTTGAGGCAGAGTCTCACTTTATCACCCAGGCTGGAGTGCCATGGCCCAGTCTTGGCTCATTGCAACCTCCGCCTCCTGGGTTCAAGTGATTCTTGTCCCTCAGCCTCCCAAGTAGCTGGGATTATAAGCGTGGCCAACATGCCTGGCTAATTTTTTGTATTTTTAGTAGAGATGGGGTTTCACTATGTTGGCCAGGCTGGTCTTGAACTTCTAAACCTCAAGTGATCCACCCGCCTTGGCTTCGGGAAGTGCTGGGATTACAGGTGTGAGCCACTGCACCTGTGTGAGCCCTTACAGGTTTTTAAATAAATGCTTGTTGAATGATTGAACAGACATGGTGTAATATTATCCTTTGTTTGCTCCTATAATAGTTAAGTGGAGAAGTTGATGGCATGTATTAGCATTCTAGGGCTGCCTTAACAAAATACCACAGACTTAAACAGTGGTGCCTTAAACAATGGAAACTTGTTTTCTCAAAATTTTGGTTGCTAGAAATTGAGATCAGGGTGTCAGTAGGTTTGGTTTCTTCTGACACCTCTCTCCTATACTTGTAGATGTTCATTTTCTTCCTGTGTCTTCAGATGGTCTTCCCTCTCTACTATGTCTATGTTAAAATGTTCTCTTACTATAAGAACACCAATCATGTTAGATTAGGGTCCACCCTAGTTACCTTATTTTACTGATCTCTTTAAAGACCCTGTCTCCAAATACAGGCATTCTGAGATACTGTGAGTAGGACTTTAGTAGAATAGAAATTTTGAGTGAACTCTAATTCAGCCCATAATACAACGTGTGTCTATATTCATTTAAACATTTTTGGTATCAGTTTTCTAAGCACGGACTTGTTTCCTTCAGATTTTTAGGACCATACTGCTTCTATTTATAAGCCAGACATGCCTTTCTAGGATATTTGATGTCTTAAAGAGCAGGGTAAACTTCATGTACTCTCAAAATTTTATATATATATGTAAATGTAGAATTATCCCACAGTTGTACCACAGGGCAGTGTTTCCCAAAACTCACTCATCTGCTAAAACAACAAGGAGAGTTAAAAGAAAAAAAAAATAGAGTTCAGTCCCATTATAGACTTACTAAGTTGTTTATTATATTTTTGAAGCTCTCAAGATAATTTTGCTGAAGCTGTATTGGACCCTCTTGTATCTGATAATTAAGTAGAATTTTTACATGTAAAAGCTGGCAAGAAACTTGAAGGTCATTGAATATAGCTACCATATTTTGTAGTGGAGGAAACTGAGGCACAGATTGATTATGCAGTTTAGTCAAACTCTCTTCCCTACATGTGAGTATCTCTGGGATTTAGAGTCCAGTTCCTTAACTCCTGATCGTAGTTCTCTCATTATCATGTTGTCATTCAGAGTAACTTTCATCAGAGAATTTTAAAGACCCGATTTTGCATAGGATCCTTATCTCATGGAGCTGACATCTTAGAAATGTACTCTTTGGCAGGACACTTCATCACATAGATTGTAGATGCTTTTCTGCTCTTTGACAACCTGTCCTTACAAAGTAATAGGCCTAAAAGGGTCTAGGCTAGGGCCACACCCTCACCAAGCTTGTCATTACTGCCCTGCAGGTGATAACACAGAAGCTTTTCTCTGGCTGAATAAGGGTTTTGGTTTAGTTGTCTACATTGCAGAACACCAAGAAACTCTGCTTCCGGTTTGTGTCCATTGCTATCCACTAAATTGTCTTAGCACAACCTATAGCTTAAAAGTACACCATCATATTTTTATGAAGAATAAAAGACATAAACAGGAAATGTGAAAATCCAAGTCAAGGCGTATTTTGCATATTCTAACCAGTTTAACAGCCCAATCATAAGTGTTTTTAAATATCAAAAGTATTGTTAGAATTTTCTAGATACTAATTATGGGAGAAAATGCTATTAGTCTGTAATGAACAGTGTTACTTTGTTAGAGAGAAAAGTAAAACTTAAAAATTCAAAGACATTTTTTTTTCTGTAACTTCTTTTTTTCATTGCTCCCCCCTTTCTCTCTGAGAGTCCCTTTAAACAACTTAGAAAAGCAGAACTTTGAAACTGAACAACTCGGCTCTTTCTTGAACCAGTGGGTGGAGGGACAGTCATGAGAAGGCCCTTAAATAGAAGCACCACTTCCCCTGTTCTGTCCAGGGATTGATTCTTTGAATCCTGGGAACTTATGTTCATTCTTCTTTCCTGTTTTCTGGGTGGGGACCACTGTGTGTGGGGTGTGGTGGGGAAAGAGTTGTCTTTCTAAATTTATCAAATTTTAATTTAAATATTTAGAAGCTTAGAGATTTGTAACACCAACTGATCTATACATACAGTAACAGAAGATGCTTTTCTCCCAACCTTTCACATTTGAAGGGATGGGTATGCAGATTGCAGATACTTCACTGGACCTAAGGTGTGCATCTTTTGTTTGCCCATTATTACAGGCTTATCTTGTTTTGCCTTCTTTTGTGTTAATATTTTGGACTGCATCTCAGCAATATTAATTTCAGTTAGAACTTTGTATTGCTTCAAAAGAAATGCTTTATTCAGAGAGTCTCCAACAGACTGGAAGCAAAATAAGCCAAATCATTCTTGGATTACAGTCTAATTGAAATTACCCTACATAGCAATTATATTTTATGCTTAAAATATACATCTGCACCCTGACAATTTAATAAATAATGTATACTTTTTGTATTAACTTGCTAGCAACCACTTATTTTATCTGTACAGATTTTGAAACTTTCCATTTGTAATAATACTGATTCTTTGACTATTATTGACCCCTTAATTTTTACTTTATAAAACATTTGTATACATATATAGGCTTATATTTTTGAAATATGCAAAAATTTGCGTTAACTTTTTACACCATAAATTTAATCAATAGTAGCTTAATTAGCTAAATTAAAATTAAAACCGTTTTTAGATCAATGTTTATATCTATAATAGAGTTTTCAGTCATAGTTCTGTCAAAGCAATTTTGTGTTCCTTGGACAATTATAGAAAACACTGGGTAATAAAAACATATTAGGGTAATAAACTCTCAAAGTTTAACAGACTAATGGGTAGAGCAAAAATATCATAAAATAATTAGAAAATATCTTAGTCCTAATATTTTAGCCAGATCCTTGACATTATTGAAATTAAGTCTTTAATAGTAACCATTGTACTGTATATATATGTACTTACACATTTTCCATGTATCTTTGCGTATCTTTGTTTATTCTGTAACATCATGTCATAAACCTCAGATATACAAAATAAAACTTATTTAAAAAACAAAAAGATGAAAGGAGTAACAGCTGAGTGGAGACTTGGAAAGTACATGTGAGTAATCCAGGCAAGGAAGGAGGCCAGACATTGTCATTCCACTGTGCTTTTCTCATAATGCACACACAGGCCCTGGAACACTGTAGTTACTCAATAAACTTTTGTTAAAAAAAAAAAAAAAAAAAGGATGAAATCATTGTTGGCCCAAGGCTGCCACGTTCATTTCTGCCGATTATACCCTGTAAGAATGTTCCCCTGTGGGCAGCGGGACACCCACAAAGCCAGGAGCCCCACGAGGGTTGTGCCTGTCCAGAGGAAAGGTGCTCCTTTTCCTAGTTTACTGGGCAGCTTCTGCTCTTCAAGCCAAGTGCTCACAGAGCAGCCCACAGAGGGCTGTGGGACAGTGATGACCCTGTTGTGCCAGGTTTCATGGATGAATTGGATTTTTGAAAAGGTCATTGTAATGGTAAAGATTTATGATGTGGATCAACGGGGGGAGAGTTTTTGCATGTCAGGTATGGGGACAGATTTAGCATAAGTTACAAAGTCTGAGATGATATTATATGTGCAGTAGTCAGTGAAGAGACTAGACTGATTGGAACAAAATATGCATGTCTCTGATGAGTAGCAGATTAGAGTGGAAGGTGAGCAGAGGTCAGTTTTTGAGGGCTCTGAATGCTGTGTAAGGAATTTGGATTTTATCCTCCAGATGAGAAATCACATAGGCATTTGTCCAAATTCATCATAGGATCAGTAATATCTTATTTAGTAGATTAACCCAGGATTATGCAGCATAGAACAAAAGGAGAGAAAAATGATTAAAGGTAAGGAGATAAGGTTAGAAGCTGCTATTTATAGTACATGTTTTTAGTATGGAGCCCAGGATGGAAGTAATGAGAATGAAAAGGAAGAGCCGATGTGTTAGTGTTTTCCTATATGTGGGCATTTAGATTGCTTCCAGTCTTTCTAATCATTGAACATATTTCCATGTGCATAAGTGAAAGAATATTCAGTGCTTATCAGTTACATCAGCTAAAGTGTTGTGCCTACGTACACTAACTTCTGCAGGCAGAGCAGAGGAGTTCCAATTTAATCACATCCTCAGTAATCCTTTTTAAAATTCTTGCCCATCTCATCTGTGTGAAAAAGTATCCTTTTTTCGTATGTGAAATAATATCTCTCTTTGGATTTCTCTGATAATGAAGTTCAGCATATTTTCATATGTTTATTGACCATTCAAGCTTTTTATCTGTAATATGCCCATTTTTCTTCCATTGCATTTGTCTTTATTTTTGTATATTCTGGATACTAATCTTATGACAGTCACATAGTTTGTCAGTGTGTTCTCCAGTGTCCCTCCGATCTCTTAATCTTGTTTATTAGGCATTTTATATTAAAAATATATTGTAGGCAATTTATTAAGCTGATCTTTTATGATTTAGATATTTTCTATCTTGATTAATAAGTTCTTTAATGTCAAATGATTTCTAACTATTTTGTTCTAGATCTTTTGGGTTAATTATTTCTTATTCCATTTTTAATTTATGTGACACTAATTTGCATAACTACCAGGTAATTTTTCAGATTAAGGAAAATGAAAAGTGGAAAAGAAAAGGAAAATTTGGTAAACTGTATTATAGTTTTCATTCTAAGTTTGTAATTGAACCATGAAGATATTTTTAATTCTTTTATATGACCAAAAGATATCCATATCCCTCACGGTTGGTGGTAATGAAAATTAATGTCTTTCTCATTGATTTTACAGGAAATCTATCAGAGTTCATCTTCATGAAGTCTTTGCAGAGTAGTTATTTCTAATTGGATTCAATACAATTTCCCTTCACACATATTTCCAGCCTCAGTCTTTATAATTTCTTGCATATGTCCAGAAGGAATACATTGTCGTTTTTAAAACAGTTAACACAGGATTCATTTTACTTTCAGCAATTCACAGAAGCTGTGAGTCCTTCAGTGCTACCCCCTTCAGCTTTGCCACTGGACCTGCTTAATAATGCTATAACTGCCTTTAGTACCTTGGAAGACCTTATTCGATATCTTGAACCAGAGAGATGGCAGTTGGACTTAGAAGATCTATATAGGCCAACTTGGCAACTTCTTGGCAAGGCTTTTGTTTTTGGAAGAAAATCCAGAGGTAAGCTCCCTCTTCAGATTAGAACCTCATTTAATTTTCTTAACAGCTAATGTTTCAGATTCTTCTGCCACAGCTTCTAAAGGGTAGAGTTTAAAATTCATCAGTGATATATTCAATACATTTTCTTATCATTTGAGCATATTTATATATTGAATAATAATATATACAAAAGGAGGAACTTAGTTATAACCCAGTGGGTGTGGAAAATTGAAAGGGGGATACTTCTGAAAATTCCAGTTATATATTATCTTCAAAAATATCATTTTGATGAAGTCCTTCATTGCATTTTACAAAAATCACTGCTTACTCAAACCTAATACTTGGAATATGTTGATTTTGGGACTCAAAAGAAATTATCATAGCTGCAAAACCAGGTTAGGGATAGAAAAAGGGGATCCTCTACAAAAATGTTTGTCTACAGTATCTCCCATGGGTCAGTATTATATGACTTTGCATTTTCTAAGCCTAGACAATTCTAAGAACTATGAAAAATGGCAACGACCCAACATAAAATAGAATTCATAGTTTTCAAGGCAGGATTCATAGCAAGAAAACAAGAACCTAAAAGAACCCACACCATAATAATTTTTAACTATATAAATTTGCTGTTGAAATAATCACTTTTGCCCATATGGGTGTATCTTTCTCTAAGAGTGAAAGTGATGTTAATTAAACCTAATTCTGCATGGCCAAGAAATTGGAAATAATCTTAACTGAGTTTTCTATAAAATTACCTAATTTTTTTAGTAACATTGGAATTGGAAAGCATCCATAGCAGACACAAATGAAAACGTATAGAAATAACTGTTTAATTACAATGCACTCAAAATATCTGTTTTAGTCTGTCAGAAACAGTGAAATCGACTGCTTTGGAGAATGCAGTGACAGCCTAGAGAATTTATATGAAAGGAATAATGTTCGGTTAATTTGAGCCATTCACAAGGGCAGATTGCACCAGACTTGCTCTTCTAAACCTTGTCAGAAGGAAACCCGATTCCTGCCCTTTCCTGCTCTAAGAGTTGCAGCTTTTTTGGATCATGAGCTTTAATCTCAGCAGGTCATGTTCAGACTTGCCCAGCCCTGGTATTTCACTATGCCAACAGACGTGGTTTCCTTTTGGCAATATTTGAAATCAGTGTTCAAGTGCCTGGGCAGTTGAGTCCTGTCCAGATGCTGAAAGCTGTTACATATTTATAAGATTTGATCTTGATGAATAACTTGATGAATAACTTACGAGCAACACTTCCCTTCCCTCCCACTTAGGAACAGGAAGATGAAGATCTGCAAGACTAGCTGAAATATCCATGAATAGAGCCCTTGTTAGCAAATTTGAAGTTGATTATCATGTTGATCTGTAAGAAGCAGGGGCAGTGAATCAGGTTCTAAACTGAGATCTAGTTTTTTGACAGCTGATTTCTGGATTTGAGCCTAAAAACCTCCCTTCTAGCCAAGGCTTTATGCCTGAAAATGTACGCCTGGTGCTCAAAGATTTGGCCAGAGGCTAGCCTGCATTCAAAAGCATCGGAAGCTGAACAGATCTTTCAGATATTCATTTAACACTTTCAAAATTGAAGCCCTTTGCAGTTTTCCAAATTTATTAACTTTTTAAGCATGCAAAAAGTGTGAGAAAAGCAGTGTACATTTTTGGAACTTTACATAAACTAAAATACAAGTGTAGGATAACATCTATATAGACAAAACCAACTCCCCTCCTGAGAGTATCTCTACAAAGGAATAAGGAGTCAAACTTTTAAAAGCTTCTAATTAGACATTGAAATAGATTTCCCACAGAATAAACATCACAGTGTTACCACATTCATCTTAGAAAGACCACCCTCAGATTACATTACAGTAATAGACTATCTTTGGACTGAATATCTTAAAAGAATGAACAACTAACAAAGAAAAATATTACTGTTTTTTGTAGCAAAACGTATAATATTAATGACATTTGCATTTAAAAATAATGATTTTGGTTGGTGATGTGCTCAAAATCTGCATTCTTTAGAAAAACAAACTAATACCTGTATTTGTTTTCTTAGGAGATAATTATGAAAAGGAAAAAAATCTGAAGACCAACTTTTACAAATATTTGGCAGAGGGAAACTTCTTTAATATTATTATAGTTAAGCTATTCAAAAAGTATCCTTTGGTACATTATCTTTCTTTCTTCTTTTCCTTTTTCTCTTTATTTGCCTTCCCCCCCCAAAAGTACTATACAATGTTTCAAGAATGTATGACATATGACTTAACTTAATGAAGCTTATATGCGTTTGAAGCCTTAGCAGTAGGCAGCATAAATTTCAAAATGAAATGCCAAATTTAAAATCCTTAGTTATATTTTTAGAAAACTGTGGACTGCATAAATGCTTTACTTTTTTTTCTTTCACTTTCTTCCTCTAGTTCAGGGTTTTCATTCATACCTTGCTACTGCTACAAAAAAATACTGTATTTTCTAAGTCAAGCTTAACTAGTACGTAAAAAGGGCTTTTGACTTTTGTGTCAAACATGATAAATGAGTGGAAGCTAAGTTAAAAGTGTGTTTAAATTTTCACATTGTAGCAGGTATCACAACTAAGTTCACTTGGGAAATCTGTCTAACCTTTTATTGTGGTTAAGTAAACATTTTAAAGGAAACGTATACAATCTCATTTTCTATTATCATGAAATAGCATATTTAAAACTACTTGACATAGGTGAATATGCTTTGAGAGCTGAGAGCTTCTTCACTCACATTCTAAAGAAGTATAATTCTTAAATAAGCATTGAAGACTTTGGCAACCAGATTTTGTGTTTGTGCATATTTTAAGTCTTCTTCCTCCTTGCCCAGGCATTAAATACTAGAGAAAAGCTTCAAATAAGCTCATATATAGTTTTAACAATTAAAGAGGAATGTATGCATATACTATTAGATCAGCAAAATGAAACCAGGTAAAATATGTGATACCATTTAGCATAATGAGCTCATTACTTTTATTAGGGATAAGTTGGCCTATTCAGAGCATTTGAAAGAAGGATTTGCTTTAAATATTTAAAAGCTTTGCCTTCACAGGATCATTTTCAGATTAAAAAGAAATCTTTCAGTAGCCAAATGAAACAATGACTTTCCCTTGAGTTAGAAAAATAATTTTTTAGCTGAATAAGGTGTTGAAATGGACTCATTGAATTGGGATTTCTTTGGTGCTTTCCTATACTTGACTCAGGTTTTAGTCTATCATATAGTTTACATACATTTCTAATTTACAATTACCTATGCATAATTTTATAATACGTTTCTTAAAATACTTAAATTATCAAAGACAATTAAGACAATATAAGTATTAAAAACACCTGATCACATGTATAACAAATCCAAGAAAATAAGCATTTGATTCTTACCTTGTCACTTAAAAATTAATAAAACTTAGCTTTTAATTTAAAAAATTGGATTACATCGTGATTATTTCTACTTGAAGCCATCTTTAACCAGAAAATAGCTTTCTTTTTTTTCATTCATGTCTGTGTTATCCATATTAGTGGAAAGGTATTTAAGTAGGTTTATTATATTTTAGATAATATTTCTAAATTTTTAAAAAACTTTATTAGGAGAAAAAAACCCTGAAGGCATATATGTTATCTGAAAGTATTCAATCTCATTGGAATTGCTTTATTTGAATATTTCTAGGGGAAAAAAATAGGCAGAGATGTAAGGCAGAAAATAAATTATATTAGAAGTCTTTATCCTAATAGTAATTACCTACTATTCATGTGATATGTATAAATTCACATTGAACATGGCATGTTATTTCGATATAATTTTCCTGAGGCAGAATCATTTTGTAGTTAAAAACAATGGTTCTTTGAGGATTTACTGCAATAAAGAATATTTTGTTAGGTCCTCAAAAGTAGGTATTCTTCATAGAATAAAGCACAAACAGCATAGTTAACCAACTTGCTAAAGGAGTAGAGGCTGGGGTTATAAATTAGATAAATTAAACATTTCTTCCACCCATTAGCAGGGGAAGGATAGGTATCTGAAGGAGTTTAGTTTAGTTAGTCTGAATTTCCAAGATGGGAAATCATTCAATGCATTTGAAGCATTGCCTTCCAACAACTTCTGCTCTTATAAAGTATGTCATTTTTTTTCACTCATGGTCTACACAGCTGTCTTCAAATGTGCGTTCTCTTCATGCTTTTTTTATATTTTATGATGGTTATTGCCATAGAGATTATAGAAAGAGCTGTTGACACATTTCAATAAATTGTTCTTCACTAATTGTATGAGCCTAAAATCCTTTTAAGAATTATACTTGTTTTTTAATCAAAGCATTCATCATCTTGCATTTTATTCTTCTCTCCTGTGTTCTCCATGTCTATTTTTTTTTTTTTTACTAAGGTTAAAACGTGTGGCCTTTTTTGTCTGTATAAAGTTTCCTATTTATAGCTTTCAACTGTTTTGTTGGCTCTGTTCTTAATATTACACAATGGCATCTCTTTACTGGTCGCTAAGTCATAATGAAGCTTTGTTTGCTATGAACTAGAAGGTCCAATTTGTAGTTGTATATCTCTAAAATCTACTTACAATAAGAGCGGATATTGTTATGGATATTGTTCATGAAATAACGTAAGATTTCTTTATGAAAAGAGCTTAATGAAATACATTCAGGCTCAAAGCATCAACATCTATTTTTCTTTGCTTTCTTTTATACCATATAGTGGTGGATCTGAACCTTCTAACAGAGGAGGTAAGATTATACAGCTGCACACCTCGTAACTTCTCAGTGTCCATAAGGGAAGAACTAAAGAGAACCGATACCATTTTCTGGCCAGGTTGTCTCCTGGTTAAACGCTGTGGTGGGAACTGTGCCTGTTGTCTCCACAATTGCAATGAATGTCAATGTGTCCCAAGCAAAGTTACTAAAAAATACCACGAGGTAGGTATACAATTTTCTTTTTGGTTTCCTTCGGGTATTTTATGTCTTAGAACAAAACAGTGAATCTGAAATGCGTTTATGTTTGGAAAAAAGACGTAGTATTCATGGGGAAAAAAAAGAGGTCTACAAATAGTTTATGTTTTTGTTTTTTAAAATTAGCACCTTTAATTAAAATTCCAGATATTAGGGATTTAGAAAGTATATTCTCTGGTAGTATAACATGAGTGGTCAGTGAAGTTTTTGCCTCTCATACCAAAAATAAAGTGTTTTCTGAGGGAAAAAAAAATGAGTAAAGTTTTTCAACTTTTAAACTTTTCAAAATATGAAGGAAAAATATTTCAAAGACAAGCTCAGAGATAAATTATTGTCTACTTTGGAGAAAGGAGAGCTTTGATATTTATTTTTCTACTTGGGACAACAGAGACTCCTAAGATGACATATTCATAATTATAATAAACTTTGTATTATTCATGTTGCTTCAAATAACATGTTAAACTTTGTGTGGATGTTTTAACCTTTCATCTCTTTATTCTTTGGAATAAAAGAAAATATAATATGACATGTTAGTAATTATTGTTTTTTAGAACCCTGGAAACCTTAGAACTTGTACACTTAATGTTTTTCTTAGTGATGGAGTCTCCCAATTAAATCCCAACACCTCCCCCAGCAGCATCATACAGCATCATTCTATCAGGAAGCCATCCTTCTTGATGAGTCAACTTGAATTTCTACAAAACATTAACATTAGACCAAGTCAAAATCTGCCCTTCTGACATCATTTCAATATGACTGCCTTTCCTTTCATTTTTCCATTAAATAAGAATACAGAACAAATATCTAACTAATAAATAAAATGATTTTTCATATGCATCAAGATTTCAGTGAAATCCTTAATGAAGTGAAAGCCGAGCTCTAGAATGGAAACAGGGTCCCTTGTCTTCGCGAATCCAGTGCTTTTTTTCCCACTTTATCAATTGCCAACACAATATTGGTGAAGGGCAGGAAAATCATGTCATAGGAAGTGTAGTTTAGGAAACCATGCATGTTTAGGTTACCTAACAGATGAGGGTTTCACTGAACACTTTATGCATATGAAAAGTCATTTTATTTATTAAGTAGGTATTTATTTCATGTTATTTTATTTAGTGGAAAAAAGTAAAGGTCATGGAGTAATTTTTAAATGAAGCCAGAAGGGCAGATTTTCATTGGTGTAATTTAAAGGTTTTGTAAAATTTAAAGTTGACTTTTCAAGAAGGATGGTTTCCTGATACATGTATGGCACCTGATGCTGCTGGAGGAGGAGATGGGATATAATAATTGAAGAAAACTAAAAGATACTGAAGCATGATAATGTTATTAATAAGATTCTTACTTTTTGTGTCAATCACTGGATCTCTTTGTGGGAAGACATTTTAGCCAAATAAATATATTTTCTTAATGATTTTTCTAAGTTCCACATAAGAATTTTCAGAAAAGCAAGTCAGGAACCTTATATATGTATAAACTTAGATGTTGTATCTTCATTGAAATGCTGGTGTCCTACCAGTCCTAGCATGACTAATTCATCCTCAGTGCATCTGTAGGGCTTCAAAGGTACTCTATTAGAGAACTTTTACTATTTCAAAATTATTGTCTATTTTTCTTTGTTTCTATTGAATTGAGAGCTAAGGAAAACAAAAGTCACATTGCAGTGTAATGCTTGAGAACACAAACTCCAAAGCTAGACATCCCAGTTTTGAACCTAACATTTGTTTGCATGTGACTTTGAGCAAATTGCTTAGCCCTCGTGCCTAAATTCCTCATCTATAAGGTGAGTCTCCAACCCTCATACTTTATTGTGGGGATTTAGTGGGTTGATATTTACAAAACACTTAGAATTAAGCCTGGCAATTTTCATGCCATTAATATATATTAGCTGCTCTCTCACTCATCTTTGCTTTTTCACTGTGCCTAGTCTTATTCTTTGGTTATGGTAAATGATCAATAAAGATTTAATGAATTTTGCCCTGAAGCAGGAAAGGTATTCTGGCCAAAAGATCTACAGGATACTCTGACAATAGTAAAATATTCGTTCCTTTTTCTCTGTTCTTACTTGGCTTAATAATTTTCATCTTGTTTATATTTTTACATATTTAATTTTTTATGAAATAATAGTCTTACATTCTTACATTATGTCTGTTTGTTTTGCACAGACAAACCTAAAAATCTGTAGCATTCAGTTGCCTGATTCTAGTGCTGAATCCCTGTTCCCAGTGCTCTGTGGTTCTCAAAAGTTCAAGGTCATTTTGTTTGAACGTGTTGAGCAATGGTCCATGAGCATTTGTTCCTTGCCGGTTCTCTCTGTGTCTTATCTACTATCTTCCACAATCTCTGGCTCAGCTTCTCCCTGGACATTCCTTTTCATGGACTTATCATTTTAATTTCAACCTCTCCGTCTAAATTTTCTGAGATGAACATTAGCCCTGTTTCTTTTCTGGTGGCATAATCTATGTCCTTTTCCTCTTTAATATTGTCTGGGACCTGCTGATCATTTTCCAAGTCTATTTTTCTCCACCAAAGTCAAAACTTTCAAAATGAATTAAAAACAAGAACACTAATTGTGTCCTCCACCATTAGAATTTCTTATCCAGGACTTAAGTTTCTAGAACATAAGAGATTCTTCTGCTATTTGTAAATCTCCATGAGCATCAGCAGACAAAGACAGGAGACTTTGATTCAGCAAATGCATCTTGGCATATGCATGCTAGAGGAAGCAAGGATTGCAGCCTGGCCTGACTGTTAGGACCGTGTATGGTGGCCTCTCTAATCTTTACCTTACATAGTAATTTTTTTTTCCTTGCTGAATGGGAAAATGCATACAGGTGGACATAGGAATTGAAGACGTTGTCTATGCCAATATTGCAATTTATCTTACCCACCCACCCAATCTCATTCCAGAAACAATTTGCAGCAAGACTGTGATAAGGAATAGTGCCAATATCTGAAATGTAGTTAGTCTGACACACTAAATTTTTCAAAAATAATAAATCAGTACTAACATAAAATAGTATTCAGTAGCCATTGAGTTAAATTTCACATTAAAGAAATAAAGTCAAAGTAATTTTTATTTTAGAATTGTGAAATAGATGAGAAAACTACTTTAAAAGTTTAGAATTTCTAATAGTTATTACAAGACTTTGAAGTTTATCTCTTCAGGAAGAAAGTTACTAAATAAATAGAATGTATGAGCAGTGATATTCTGAGTCTATAAAATTATTATCTATCTCTCTAATAATTCATCTCTGGGCTAGGTACAAATAAAGGCTGTGTCACTTACTCTGTCTAAGCCTCTGTTCACTCATGTGTAAAATAGGGGTAATAATTGTAAATTACTTCATAGAATTCTTGTGAGTTAAAGTATGTAAAAACGTTATTATTGTGCCTGGCACCCAGTAAGCATTCAAAAAATGTTAGCTAATTAACCTCTGATATTACCACATACTCCAGTGAGGTATGCATTCTCTGTTTTTCTTTTAAGTCTTTAAATAGAACAGTCATAAGACTTGACTTGTGCCTTTTTGGATTAATGAACATTTTTAGGACTGGTAGCTTTTAGAAATGGCTTTATGAGGTTATCTATGTCGTATCCAAAAAGTAGAGATGCTAGAAAATTTCATATTATTTTGTGCTCTGGCCTTTGTTCATAATCCAAACAAAATACAATTTCCTAAACTTTATTGTTTCTATCATAAGAAATAAAATGTAATACACTTAAATAGGTAGCAACACCAAATACTTTAATTAATATTTTATAGAATACACAACTGCATCTTTTTGTCATAGTATTAAGAGGAAATATGTGTAGCATAAGTGTCAATCTTGCTGTATTTTTATTAAAACCTTGACAATCTGAACTGCAGATAACTTTATTTAATAGAGGCATCATTGTTATTATTGCCAAACCTCTTCTCACTGCACAGTAGGATCCAGCTGCAGGAAGTTAGCTGTGACTGGGGCTGATGTCTATGAAGTACATCTAATCCATCTCATCAAGTTTATAGAGGACTTGAAGTGTAGCCAAGAAAATTAATGAGTGGCATAATTGAGCAGACTCAGCTGTGGAGTGATCATGTTTCTTTCCACAGTATTTCTGCACTTGAGTGTATTGCATCAAGTATAAATATTTGTTAAATGTGTGAATAAATGAATGAATGAAAGAAAGCGACAAACAGAAAAACGAATTTTATATTGGTAGTTCCAAAATACTTAAGGTGAAATTCTAAAATAGTCAGATAAATAAAATAACAATTGCGTGGTGAGTCTTTCCATTTAAGTACTGTTCCTTATTCAGAGACAGAATGCTTCCAAATTGTTGGCATTAAAATGTCTGTGCTTTCATGAAATGATGATTTTTTTTTTTTTTTTTTTTTGGTGGGAGAGTGTTTTCATAATGCGTGCTCTAGGAAAAATTAAAATATGTGTCTTTCTTGGGCCCCAAGATTCTTTTCTAAAACGTTACTTGTTTATAAAAGCCAGTCATAGACATTCGTTGATTTTTAAAAGTGGCTTACTCTTATTCCCTTTCAGGTCCTTCAGTTGAGACCAAAGACCGGTGTCAGGGGATTGCACAAATCACTCACCGACGTGGCCCTGGAGCACCATGAGGAGTGTGACTGTGTGTGCAGAGGGAGCACAGGAGGATAGCCGCATCACCACCAGCAGCTCTTGCCCAGAGCTGTGCAGTGCAGTGGCTGATTCTATTAGAGAACGTATGCGTTATCTCCATCCTTAATCTCAGTTGTTTGCTTCAAGGACCTTTCATCTTCAGGATTTACAGTGCATTCTGAAAGAGGAGACATCAAACAGAATTAGGAGTTGTGCAACAGCTCTTTTGAGAGGAGGCCTAAAGGACAGGAGAAAAGGTCTTCAATCGTGGAAAGAAAATTAAATGTTGTATTAAATAGATCACCAGCTAGTTTCAGAGTTACCATGTACGTATTCCACTAGCTGGGTTCTGTATTTCAGTTCTTTCGATACGGCTTAGGGTAATGTCAGTACAGGAAAAAAACTGTGCAAGTGAGCACCTGATTCCGTTGCCTTGCTTAACTCTAAAGCTCCATGTCCTGGGCCTAAAATCGTATAAAATCTGGATTTTTTTTTTTTTTTTTGCTCATATTCACATATGTAAACCAGAACATTCTATGTACTACAAACCTGGTTTTTAAAAAGGAACTATGTTGCTATGAATTAAACTTGTGTCGTGCTGATAGGACAGACTGGATTTTTCATATTTCTTATTAAAATTTCTGCCATTTAGAAGAAGAGAACTACATTCATGGTTTGGAAGAGATAAACCTGAAAAGAAGAGTGGCCTTATCTTCACTTTATCGATAAGTCAGTTTATTTGTTTCATTGTGTACATTTTTATATTCTCCTTTTGACATTATAACTGTTGGCTTTTCTAATCTTGTTAAATATATCTATTTTTACCAAAGGTATTTAATATTCTTTTTTATGACAACTTAGATCAACTATTTTTAGCTTGGTAAATTTTTCTAAACACAATTGTTATAGCCAGAGGAACAAAGATGATATAAAATATTGTTGCTCTGACAAAAATACATGTATTTCATTCTCGTATGGTGCTAGAGTTAGATTAATCTGCATTTTAAAAAACTGAATTGGAATAGAATTGGTAAGTTGCAAAGACTTTTTGAAAATAATTAAATTATCATATCTTCCATTCCTGTTATTGGAGATGAAAATAAAAAGCAACTTATGAAAGTAGACATTCAGATCCAGCCATTACTAACCTATTCCTTTTTTGGGGAAATCTGAGCCTAGCTCAGAAAAACATAAAGCACCTTGAAAAAGACTTGGCAGCTTCCTGATAAAGCGTGCTGTGCTGTGCAGTAGGAACACATCCTATTTATTGTGATGTTGTGGTTTTATTATCTTAAACTCTGTTCCATACACTTGTATAAATACATGGATATTTTTATGTACAGAAGTATGTCTCTTAACCAGTTCACTTATTGTACTCTGGCAATTTAAAAGAAAATCAGTAAAATATTTTGCTTGTAAAATGCTTAATATCGTGCCTAGGTTATGTGGTGACTATTTGAATCAAAAATGTATTGAATCATCAAATAAAAGAATGTGGCTATTTTGGGGAGAAAATTATGTGTGTGTGTGCTCAAGATTTATTTCTTGGACTCTGAGAAAATGAAAGATAAAATTTTCTGTTATGATTTTCATTTAGCAAAAGCATATGTCAATTCAAAAGACAAAAAAAGGGAAGATACCTGTGAGCCTTCTCTGCCTCTTGTTTCCAATGCCTTTGAGCAATGGTTTTATTTTTCTTACTGGTCTTAATACAGATTTCTGGTAATTTAAGTTTCACCTGACTTGAAAGTTGTATGGTTTATGAAATGCTTGGTGATAGGTGGTATGGTAGTATGAAACTGGAAAAAAACTTGCAGGTTTCCACTCATGTCTTCATTGTCACTGGCAACTACTAAATGGGGTGAGCATAAATTGATTTGGTGCATGGATTATTGTACATTGCACACTTCAAGATATGGTTCCTCAGTTCCAGACATAGATTCCTATTCAGGGCTGGTATCTTCAGCATCCTTTCCTCAGCCTTTCAACTTGGCAGAGATGTCTAGTGTCCAGGGCCTTCTGTCTTCAGACTGCTCTTCAGGCAAGCACCCTTTTCCTGTGCTTTGACACCTGCAGTTCTGCCCTGCCTCCAACTATGTGGAAAACAAAGAAACAAAATGAGCCTATGTGTTCTGTCTTACTTCCTTACCTTTTCCTGGTTTTGTCCTATCCATATAGAGGCCAACTAGATATATGGAATATGCAACGTAGTAAGTAGTTGGCAGTTTACAACTTTCATTAGTATAGTAAAGACTACTAAGTCTTAGTAAATAGCCTGTTTAACTGTGTTTAATCCATTGTTTCCCATCTTTGAACGAAATATATTTTCCCTTTTTTAATATTTATTTTTTGTTTACTTATAAAATCTTGACAGCCAGAAGAGATCATAAGGGTAGCAGTCCTCAGTTGCCAGTCGGTGAGTGGTTACCATGTGAGGACTAACCACTTTATAATCACTTACTCATAGATCGTCCTGTGTATTTTACTAAACACACACACACACACACACACACATAAATAGCACATGACCCTAATTTCTGAGAAGTACAGTAAGTATTGACTGTATTGACCACACACCGTTTTGTGTATGATATCTGTTTCAAGCCTTTGTCCTTGAGACATGGGCTGTTTTGCCCAGTGATGTTTACTAAAATAAAAGCAAGCCTTAAATGTCATGAGGCAGGTGTTCATGTCTACATTTTTCATTTCTGCATCCCATTTCTACATTCCCTCCCTCATCTAATAATTCTCATGTGCACTTGGTAAAGGTGCAAAGACCAAAGTAATGAGAAGCTACACTGTGAGAAACATCCTGGCTATGACTTGGTTACCCTCGGTGCATCCCTGTCTCCAGGTGCATTGACCATGGTTTGGTTACCCTCGGTGCATCCCTGTCTCCAGGTGCATTGACCGTGGTTTGGTTACCCTCGGTGCATCCCTGTCTCCAGGTGCATTGACCGTGGTTTGGTCCCTCGGTGCATCCCTGTCTCCAGGTGCATTGACCATCGTTTGGTTACCCTCGGTGCATCCCTGTCTCCAGGTGCATTGACTATGGTTTGGTTACCCTCGGTGTATCCCTGTCTCCAGGTGCATTGACCGTGGTTTGGTTACCCTCGGTGCATCCCTGTCTCCAGGCGCATTGAACGTGGTTTGGTTACCCTCGGTGCATCCCTGTCTCCAGGTGCATTGACTATGGTTTGGTTACCCTCGGTGTATCCCTGTCTCCAGGTGCATTGACTATGGTTTGGTTACCCTCGGTGTATCCCTGTCTCTAGGTGCATTGACCGTGGTTTGGTCCCTCGGTGCATCCCTGTCTCCAGGTGCATTGACCATGGTTTGGTTACCCTCGGTGCATCCCTGTCTCCAGGTGCATTGACTATGGTTTGGTTACCCTCGGTGTATCCCTGTCTCCAGGTGCATTGACCGTGGTTTGGTTACCCTCGGTGCATCCCTGTCTCCAGGCGCATTGAACGTGGTTTGGTTACCCTCGGTGCATCCCTGTCTCCAGGTGCATTGACCGTGGTTTGGTCCCTCGGTGCATCCCTGTCTCCAGGTGCATTGACCATGGTTTGGTTACCCTCGGTGCATCCCTGTCTCCAGGTGCATTGACTATGGTTTGGTTACCCTCGGTGTATCCCTGTCTCCAGGTGCATTGACCGTGGTTTGGTTACCCTCGGTGCATCCCTGTCTCCAGGCGCATTGAACGTGGTTTGGTTACCCTCGGTGCATCCCTGTCTCCAGGTGCATTGACTATGGTTTGGTTACCCTCGGTGTATCCCTGTCTCCAGGTGCATTGACTATGGTTTGGTTACCCTCGGTGCATCCCTGTCTCCAGGTGCATTGACTTCTGCTTGTGATTTGGTTTAAGAAAAGGCAGAAAATGCAAGTTTTACACTTAAGGTAATATCCTTATCTCTAAAAGCATAATGTGATAGCCTCCCTTCTGATATGTCGGACTGTTCCAATTATGCATTATAAACACAGTTAAAAATTATGACATCCTTTACATTCACAAGAAGGAGAAGGAAAATTGAAAATACAGCAGAACTCTTAGTTCAGATGCTGTAACAAAATACTACAGGCTGGCGAGCTTTTAAACAACAGAAACTTACTTCTCACCGTTGGATGTTGGAAGTCCACCATCAGGGTACCAGTATGGTCTGGTTCTGGTGAAGGCTGTCTTCTGAATTGCAGACTGTCATCTCTGTGATGTCCTCACTTTATGGAAAAGATGGTGAGATAACTCTCTGTGGACCCTTTTGTATGGGCACAATCCTATTCATTCACAATCCTCCACCCTCATGACCTGATTACCTCCCAAAGATTCCACCTTTTAATACCATCCCATTGGGGGTTAGTCAAATATGACTTTGCGGGGACACAAACATTTAATCCATTGCAATAGATCACTTGCTTTACATACTGTTTTCCCTACATGCCCCATATGTAATCTATCAGGAAGTCTCATTGACTTTGATTTTTTGATCTGTCTTGTATTTGTCTCTCCCTCTCCATTTCTGTAGCTCCTGCCCTAATACAAACCCTCATCACGCCTCACCGCCTTTATCCTGCAACAGCTCCATTTTTTGACTCCCCCTCTCCCTGTCTCTGTTCTCCCTCTCCTCTGATCCATCCTTTACTCCACTAACAGAGGGGTCTTTCAGACAAATCTGATTGTCACTTGGGTGGAAATTTTATGATGCAACTCCACATGATTAAACTTTAATCTTTGTATCGTGGACAGAATCCTTCAAAATGCCATTGTTTACTATTTTCTGCTCATTTTGTACCATTAAACATAATACAGCTATTTTATGCTCATTTTGTACCATTAAACATAATACAATTCAATATTATGAATACTTGTGATTTCCTGAAAATACCAATATCCCTCAAATTTCTGTGCTGGCCCATGCTGTGTTTTCTTTGGAGCACTGTTGGAGTGCTGTTCCTACACTTACCTATCTCTGTCACTTCTGCTTAAGTCTCAGCTCAACTGGACTTCTCAGTGAAGCTTTCTTTCCTACCTTCAGTCCCACTGGCACCATTTCCATTATGCTTCCAAGGATATTCAATTACAAATATTGTCATATCATATTATAATGACTTGCTCCCATTTTGATTTCTCATTAGACCCCCAGTCTAATTGCACTGCTAGCAAGAATTATCTCATTCTTCTTTCCCTCAATGCCTAGTTAGGAATTTAATCAAATTAGGGGGTCAGAAACAATTTACATTGATGAGTAAGTAAATATACAAATGAACCAATGTGTTTTTCACTGAATATGAAACAACTCTAGAGTTCCTAGATATCTCTAAACTTCAGCTACCTAATCTATAAAATGAAGTTAGTAGATTGGAACTGGGTGTTTTTTAGTGGTAAACAGTCCATTCTACTAGTACTGTTGGGGCATCTACCAAAAGGACTAACTCTAACCCTAAAAGGAGCAAGCCAAAAGTCTTCCTCCTTTTGGTGCAAGGTGATACAGTTACTTTTTGTTTAACGGTGCTTTGAGAATGTGTTTGGTTTTCCAGTGAATGACTTTCCTGTCAACCCTATCTCAGGTACCATGACAGATATCTCAGATAACTCTTTTTAAAGTTACAGAGATTAACACATTTATGTATTATTTGTATCTTAGACACTTTTTCCATAGTATGATTAAATACTGTCAGAATTTAAAACTATATTTAAAATATGAATATATGAAAATATCCATGATTGATGACTTAGAATTTCCTTATGAATAATCCTGACTGATTGAAAAAATGCTGATTGATTTTTGCATCATCAAACCTAACATACAACTCTAGTGAACACTCAGTTTCCTGAAAATACTGATGTCTCCATATATCTCCATGCTAACACATACTGTGTTCTCTTTGTGGGGCACTGTTCCTGCACTTACCTAGCTCAATAATTTCCTCTCACTTTACTAAAATACTAATTATATCTCTTTATTCTCTGCCTCAGAAAGCATTTGCACACCACCTATACCAGATTCAGTTTCTTCCAAAACTGCTAACCTGTTGCAGTAAATCTTATCCAATATAAATTTATATGCAATTTAAAGAAGAATTTAACCATTTCTATAGAGAGTATGTATTTTCGGATTAATAACTATGATTTTTTAAAATTCCACATGCAATTCCAGCTGGCTTTTTTACAGAAATTGACAAAGCTGATCCTAATATTCATATGGAAATGCAAGACTCCCAAAACAAAATCTCGAAGAAGTGCAAAGTAACACTACTCGATTTCAAAACTTACTACAAAGCTACAGAAATAGTGTGGTAAAGTTAATAAAGTTAGACACGGAGATCAATGGAATAGAACTGAGAATCCAGAAATAGATCCTTAAATGTATAGTCAACTGATTTTTGACAAGAATTACAAGAAAATTCAAAGGATAAAGAATAGTGTTTTTGACAAATGGTGTGAAGACAACAGTATATGCACATGGAAAGGAATAAGATTGGAACCTTTCCTCATACCATATGTAAAAATTAACCCAAAATGAATCAACGACCTAAATGTAAGAGATAAAACCTTACATTTAGAAGAAAATTTGTGTGTCTTTGTATTAGGCCATGGTTCTCAGGACACCAAAAGCACAAACTACAAAAAAAAAAAATGGATGAGCAAGATATCATCAGAATTAAAAGTATCTGTGCTTCAAAGACACCACAACAAAATGAAAGTGTTGTTGAGGATGTGGAGAAATTGGAACTGGTATATTGTTGGTGAGATTATAAAATGTTCCAGCCACTTTGGGAAATGTGCAGTTGTTACAAATGTTAAACATAGACTAAATATGACTCAGCAATTTCATTCCTAGGCATATACCCAAGAGAACTGAAAATTCTGCACAGAAATATTCTTCACATTTTTCACAATAGCCAAAAAATGGAAATTGCCAAAACATCAGTCAACTGATAAATGGATGAACAAAGTATGGTATATCTAAGCAATGGAATATTATTAGGTAATTAAAAGGAATGAAGTACTTATACACCCTACAGTATGGATCAACCCAGAAAACATTATGCTAGGTGAAAGAAGCCATTCATATTCTATGATTCCATTTATATGAAATAGTCAGCATCAACAGATCAATAGACACAGAAACTAGGTTAGTGCTGCCAAGGGCTACAGAAAGGGGATAAATGGGGAAAGACTGCTAATGGGCTCAGGTTTTCCCAGAGTAATGAAAATATTCTGAAATTAGATAGTGGTAATAGTTGTAAAAGTGTGAATATACTAAAAACCAAAGATTTATACACTTCAAAAGGGTGAATTTTTCAATATGTGAATTGTATCGCAATAAGGCTGTTTTCTTTTAAAAAATTATAGTTGTATATAATGTAGTATTTAAGAAATAAAGTTTTTCTCCCCCTCCCGCCAAACGAGGAATAAAGTAAAAGAAAAATCCCCCAAATTCTGTCACCTCAGTGTACGTCATTTCAAGCTACTCTCTATGAATAGAAGAATATAGGTAAAAAAAAATGGATGATGTGATAGAATCATTGGTCTCAGTTCTGCCTCATACAGTAATATTTGACATCTGTACTTTTGCCACGGCCTAATGGCGACGGGAGTATATTTTCCCACTTGTTGAATTTAGTCTTTGTCATATGTCTTGCTTGAACAAAAGGTGAAAAAAGTGCCTGTAATGTGTATTAAGGCTTCAAATGTGCTTGCACAGATGGGTTTGATTTCTTTGACTTCTGCTATCACCAGGGGAAAACATGCAGCAGATTTGAATCCAATCCATGCTGTGTTGGCAAATCCAACTGAGTCCAGACAATCCACAGATCCTTCAGTGAGAAATTAACGCTTCTTGTTGGAAGCTACTTATATTAATTCTCACTCTGCTATAAAGAAATACCTGAGACTGGGTAATTTATAAAGAAAAGAAGTTTAATTGACTCACAGTTCTGCATGGCTGGGGAGGCCTCAGGAAACTTACAAGCATGGCAGAAGGGGAAGTAAACACTTTCTTGTCACGTGGTGGCAGGAGAGAAAAGTGCAGAGTGAAGGGGGGAAGAAACACTTATAAAGCCATCAGATCTCAAGAGAACTCACTATCATGAAAACAGCATGGGGGAACTGCCCCCAAGATCTAATCACCTCCCAGGAGGTCCCTCACCCAACACATGGGGATTATGGTTTGGATTACAATTCAAGATGAAATTTTTGGGTGGTGACACAGCCAAACCATGTCATTAATAAATGTTGAGAGTGTTGTTATGCAGCATTATTTGGCAATGATTGACTAATAGATATTATTTCATTTAACATGGGGTCACATGGGGTGACATTGTATTTTTTAGTGAAACTTGAAACTTATAAACAAAAAATTGAAATGAAGCAGGAAAAACATGCATTTTGGAAAATGTTTTATCAAAGTGAGATATAACTTTCTAAACAATCACTAAATCTGCAAAAATTATTGAAAACATTAAAAGCATGGAATTATTTCCTAAGCACCTGCTTTTATTTCAGTCAGTATGTGTTCATTTGCTATTAAGAAAGAAGAGGAAATAAGCCCTTTGAATAACTTAATTGTACATTTTAAAATAACTAAAAGAGAGTAACTGGATTGTTTGTAACACAAAGGATAAATGCTTTAGGGGATGAATAGCCCATTATCTGTGATGTGATTATTACACATTGTTTGCCTATAAAAAACACCTCATGTATCACATAAATATATAAACCTACTATGTATCCACAAAAATTAATTATAAAATTTTTAAAAAGCTGCAAAAATTAAGCCCTCTGACATCTTAGCCTACCTCTTCAACAACTATCTTCATTTTTGTTTATTATATTGTTTATTATTTAATAAACATTGAATAACAATATACATTTAATATAAAAAAGTAAAAACATTTAGTAAACATTTAAGTTATGTTTATGTCTTAATAAACACTTGTATAATGTGAAGCATTTGGGGAAAATTTCCTCTGTTTTTTAGGTTATTTCTCTTTCCAAACTTGTTTATTACCTCTGTCTGTGTGTGTCTCTCTTTCTCTATTTCTGTCTCTCTCTTCCTCCTCCCTTCCTCTCCCCCTTCCTTTCTTCTTCCTTTTCTTAACATAAGATATTTGCATAATTCTCATGCCTTTATTTTTTTTCTGATTATTTACATGGTTCATAGTTTATGTACTGGTTACTATTTACTCTGATGTGGGAAGAGTGAATTCTTGATTCCATTTTCACTTTTCTAAAACGGATTTGCCAAACTGAGCTATAATTGAGTGATTAGGTACAGTCTACTTAATCTTCTATTTCATTTGGAAAAAGGAGCTTAAGAACAACTGGAGGAAAGTGCAACATTTTGATGAAGGAATTCTGCTCAGCTCTGTCAAGATATCTATTGCTGGGCTTAACTCTGGTAGAGGCTTGTATCCATTCCTCATGCAGTGCACTAAGGGAACAGCTGAAACAGGCTTTGGATCTTATTCACCACTCAGTGTGAAGACGTCGAGGCAACGCTTTCATCTGAGGGCATCAGTCTGAACTTTTCAATACCCATGTTTCACCTGAATCTCCCCCAAAACCATGTTTTCTTCCCCTCTACTTGCAACAGAGAAAAGAGAATACTACCTCCTCAAACTGCTTCTCTTCAAGCTTGGCCGTATTAGTGAGGATGCTTAGAATTTTATCTCAGGACTATGAGGTTAGAATGAGATTTATCCTAAGTCTCACCATCAGCATAAGCTACTCCTTCATTCCTAAATGATCATGCTCTAAAATGTATAGCATGAAGTGTGTCTCTTTCATTGAATTCTATTAGTAAATTAACTCTTTGTTGGAATTTTGTTTCTGTGATTCAGCTCCTTTTCACTACTAATATCCTGATGTTAGAAAACATTTTAAGATCATAAATTGTTATAATTTACCAATAATTTTATTTTTGCTTGAATGCTTATTTTTTATTGAGATATGTTATTTTCATTTTATAGTTATAAACTAAATAGTATATGACCCTATACAAACATATGCAGTCTATATTGCAATCTTGCTATAGATTCAATTAAAAATGTTGTTAACGCTACTTCATACTAGGAAGATTATGGATATTCTGCCCATCATGGAGAACATTGGGATATCATCCTAATCTCATTTGTGACATAGGCTCTTCTACAGAACTCAGGTAGGAAATACAATAATTTCCTAAGCTAAATTTAAGACATTGTCTACAAGTGTTTTTCATCTGTTTAGGAAAAATCAAATTAGTATAAATTTTGTAATGATCTTCAATCCAACTTATAAGTAAATATTTTACTAAGTTCAACTTTTAACTCTGTTTAAAGATCTCAGTATTACTCCCTTAAATGACAGCTTCAATGTAAGTCTAATTCATGACAGCCCACTAAATACTATTCAAGTTCATATTAACCAAGGGATTGTAGGGGGCAAAAATCAGTTTTTATATAGTTATTCTAAGAAGTAGCTGCCTGGACTTACCAATAGACAACCAGTTCCAACGACATCCTCAGACAGAGCGATGTATATAAAATATAATTTGTATGAAATAACCTGGTTTCTAACATAACTAAAATGTCTATATATTTAATAATAATAAGCAATAGACAATTTTTGAGGAGTAATCTTCTTTAAAATCTGAAAAATAAGATGTATTATTGCTGTCTCATGTTTAATTTGAACAACAAGTAAAATTAATGTATCCTAACCTTTAACTTTTTTAATAATAGTACCTATATTAGTGGTTGTCTTCCAAATTTCCAGATTGATAAACTTAATTTCAAATGTGTTCATAGATCAACAACGAAACCATGTCATATATATTGAAGGAAAAAATCTATTACAAGGAAAGTAGAAATTACATGAATAATTCATTGACATGAGTTTGATTTGCTTTGTTTTCAGTCCTAAAGCAGCAATCTGAAAACTTGATTTTCCCAGCAATTGAAGTATAATAGTGGTGGGGCGGGGAAGAGGAAGAGGACTGAGTCTGCTTCTTCTGGCCTAGCTCATCAAAGAACTAGAGCTCGAGGGACTATTGTACTTTTCCACTGTGATAAGTAAGAAACTGACCTTAAGCACAAAGTATGACATGAAAAGGCTTAAGCTTACCAATTTTACTTTGAGTATCTTTATATATGTTCTGGAAGAGACAATAATTCAACCAAGGAATTTTGATTATCATTATATATTTTGATGGCTTATTGTGAATGATTTGTTAAATCAAAGTCTTACTGTATTACATAAAGTTTATCTGTTTTGACAATATATTTTGTCATCATTGTGAAATAAAAGCACACAAATTGTTGTTAGCAAGACATAAGTCTTATTGCAATCTTAACTGGCATGGTCATAAATCACAGTGATTTGTTTTTTAAACTGTCTTTTATCCAAAGATGCTTAAATACTTCATAATGATTTCTTTTGTGGAAAGTTTTTCATCTTAATTTTTGCAGCTGGTGATTCACTCAGGAAGTGGGAATGTGACATGACTGAATAATTGGTCAACATCACACACAATGCTGTTAAAAACATTTGAAGAAAAGTATGAGGTTCATATTCGGTTTCTATTTATGGGAGAAGGCAAGCTATTTTGCACAGACATACATCTGCTTTTAAATTTAGCTATAAGGTTCCCTGAGTAAACAAAGCCTATGTCCTCCTTCTGTAAAAGCAAGCTTCATTTTTAGTTTGGAGCTGTATTAAAGGTGCTTCCCAATATCTACTTAGGAAAACCTCTGTCCTAGGTGTGCAGCCAAACCCTGGGATCAAAACAGGTCATGAAACCCTCTACCCTTTATCCACAGACGATTGCTATTTCCATCAGGCATGATGAGGGTTGCATAAAGTCATGAATGAGCCACCTCACCACCCTGTAGTTACAGCTGATCAACTTTTGGTTCAAAGACACTTAAATACTTTGACAAGGAATGGCTTCAAACTTTCAGCCCAGCTCTTCTCTTCCTCAAATTTTATGGGCAGCCCTAGGACATCAGTCATCCCATAGAAGTAAATTCATCACACCATGCTCAAAAAGCAGTCTAAGATTTCACACCTAGTAACTGCTCAATTAATTTTGAATTGATACATGTAGAAATAAATATCCAAATTACTTTTCTCAGGCCTTTAATTTTTTCAATTGGTCAATGAGATAATTTACAGTGACTTAATCGTGTGTAACCGTGGTTAAATGCCTCCATAGTGTTTTGATGTAATTATAGATGCAAATTCCTGATATTTTTCAGAAACCCTCCTTCCCATGCCCCTCCCCACAAAAAACTAAATTTCCCTTTTTGTTTGCTTAATGAGTTGACCATCAAATTTGTCTGTAGAAATGTACATAATTTCTCCAATTTATGAGTGTAAGCAATAGAGTTAAAATTACCTTTTAGGTCATCAAGTCTTCAATGCAGTAACTAGTTTCACAACATAATCTGAGTGCAACATACATTCTGCCTCCAACTCTCCTCTTCATCTGTTAGATCTGTAAGTAGTTTGAACCAGGTAATCTCAGAGATTTCTTCCAGTACTTAAATTTAAAGCTTTGTTTGAAACCCTTTGCAGAGAGAGAAGACATTATTCATTGGGCTGGGATTCTGTTGGACAACCCACAAACAACAAATCAGCCTCCCTAGAACTTTCATTTATGAGACTAGGTCCTAACCTTTTTAACAATTAAGACTATCTACTTCAAATAAAAAAACAACTTCCAAATTCTTCCCATGTTTTATTTTCCACAAGTAAAGCTTACTAGTGCTTGTAACCAGAATTCAGATACTGTGGTTTGATTATTGTGTTCTATGTGTTCCCCACTTATCTTAAAATTGGTTTGCAAGTTACAAAGAACACTGAAAATAGAACCTCCTTTGATGTAGACATAGTGATCCTGTTAAAGCAGCCTACACTTACATTAGCTGATCTAGCACTTTGCTACTAGAAGTGGAGTTCACACAGTAGCAGCATCAGCAGTAGCTGGAGTTTGTTAAGAACTCAGAATTTAGGGCGCTACTACAGACCTACTGAATTAGAGTCTATATTTTAACAAGTCTCTCAATGATTTCTATCTACTGTAAAGTTTGAGAAGCACTGAATTAGTAGAGTGATACAAGTGTTGATGTGACTTGAGCTTGTAGTCAATGACAACCACTGGTTATTTTGCAAGTCAGAATTCTTGAACCTGATGCTGATGCAACTGACTTTTACAAAAGAAATGCATGACTTTATATTGTAAGGCTGTCAGTGAATAAGTGTGATACTACTCTTTTTTGAAACTCTTTTTTCTCGTTTCACCGTATACCCTTATTCTTGCTTCTCTTTCATGACCTTAGCTGTCAGTGCATGACCAGGCTGTCAGTGAATATGTGTGATCCTACTCTTTTTTGAAACTCTCTTTTCTTCTTTCACAGTTTACCCTTATTCTTGCTTCTCTTTCATGACCTTAGCTGTCAGTGCATGACCAGGCTGTCGGTGAATATGTGTGATACTATTCTTTTTGGACCTTAACATTGCATTCCATCTCCTATGCTGATTGCTGTCTATGCATTCTTGTTTCTTTATATGCTTTTCCTGACTCCACCTTTGCACTTTCATGACTTCAACTACCAGCCCTATGTTGGGTCAATTCATACTGTATACCTCTAGCCCTGCTCTTGTCTCGGAGCTCCAGCTCACTTCAATGGAACCACCCACCTGATGGTTCTCTACCACTTAAATGGAATTCACACTTATCAATTTCCTGTCTCACACCTACTTCTACTCTTTGGTTTCTCAATTAGTGAGTTACTGGCATCCACCTTACCTCCTAAGGCTAATAACTTAGGGAGCATCCTGAACGCCCCCCACTCTCCATGCCCACTGTGCATCCTGTCAGCTACCTCAATTCCACTGTTGTGTTGGCCCTTTCTGTACCCTCTGCTTCAGCTTAGGCCACTATTGTTTTCCAAGCTTTATTATAAATTTCTTTCTTTTTTTTTTCTTTTTGAGACAGAGTCACTCTGTCGCCCAGGCTGGAGTGCTGCAGTGGCACAATCTCTGCTCACTGCAACCTCCACCTCTCAGGTTCAAGTGATTCTCATGCTTCAGCCTCCAGAGCAGCTAGGATTGTAGGCACACGCCACCACGCCCAGCTAATTTTTGTATTTTTAGTAGAGATAGGGTTTTGCCATGTTGATCAGGCTGGTCTCGACCTCCTCACCTCCGGTGATCTGCCTGTCTTGGCTTCCCAAAGTGCTGGAATTACAAGTGTGAGCCACTGTGCCCTGCCTATTATAAATTTCTTAATTGATATTTCTTCTTGCCAATTATTACTCTTTCTGCACTACTTCTGCCCCTTCTCCAGCACCTCAGTCTCACAAAGACACAAAACACTATTGCTGCAAAGATGGATTTAAAACACAGATCCCTCCTTTTCTCAAAAACCTCCTATGTCACATCATGCAGTAAAACTCACATGGCTTTATGCTACTCTGAGTCCTGACACTTTACTAACCCTACTCATCAGTCATTTCTTCCACCATGCCTTGTCTCAGCTCAGTATCTTCATAGGTGCTATTTTTCTTCTGCCTTAAATGTCTTTCCCTTTTCTTTTACTGCAAAACCTATACTTTTTCTAGATCTAGCTCAAATGTTGTGTGTATGCTTCATAGATTGCCTTAAACAACAGTTACCTTGTGTTGTTTTGCAGGGGCTTTGGAGTCAACTCTCAGTCCTGGCAGTAACTACATGATTTTTGGCCATTTATTAATCTCTTTTGATTTATCACATTGCTCATGTATAGATCAGAGATCAGAGGATCTCTACTGAGAATTAGATTATGAAAATAAAGTATTATGTAAAGTGGGTGTTACACACTAGATGTTAGTAATCACTTGTGCCTTATAGGCACCTGCAACCATGGTATTTGATTTCTTCTCTCAGTAGATTGTGAACAACAACCTCAAGGAGGCACAGGTCCTACTCAACTCACAACATCTTCAGCTTATCCTAGAACAGGCACTCTGAAAATGTTTGCTAAATCAAGATCTTCTTCAAATATGATGTTTTGCTTCAGTGCCCTTTTAGTAATTACAATACAAAAAATATTCTCAAACCCTAAGTTCTCAACTGTGCTGTACATGGCACGGTTGTCTATGGAATAATCCAGCAATATTCCTCTTTTGATTATTATTTTTTTTAAACCCAAATACGCCTCTTTTTCTGCTTTCTTCAACAGAGAATATTCTTATATTTCCACACTCCTCTCATTAATTTCATTGTACTCATTTTTGTCATAGCCATAAAATATGTTTTATAATCCTTTACTATTTATCCCACTTTTTTTTTTTTTTTTTTTGAGATGGAGTCTCGCTCTGTCTCCCAAGCTGGAGTCCAGTGGGGCGATCTCAGCTCACTGCAAGGTCCGCCTCCCGGGTTCACGCCATTCTCCTGCCTCAGCCTCCCGAGTAGCTGGGACTACAGGTGCCTGCCTGCCATCATGCCTGGCTAATTTTTTGTATTTTTAATAAAGAGGGGGTTTCACTGTGTTAGCCAGGCTGGTCTCGATCTCCTGACCTCCTGATCCACCTGCCTTGACCTCCCAAAGTGCTGGGATTACAGGCGTGAGCCACTGCACCCGGCCTCAACCCATATTTTGTTTATTGAACAAATAAAATTATTCTTTGTATTGCTCTACAAATACTTTAGTCAAAAAACCACTCTTACCTCTGTTTCTTAGACAATCCCTTCACTGAGGTTCTTTCTAGGAGATACTTCTATTTTTCAAAGTATTCTGTTTAATCTCCTGCCATCTTGAGTTGCAAACTAATTCAATCATGTTGCCAACTCACAGGCCAGAGATGTGTTTTGACAAAGATGGCCTAAGAAAGTATAGAGGTGAAGGATAAACATATCTTTTGTTTGAAAAAAATACGTGCAGAATTTTTCCATTAAGATAAATTACACATCCTGCATCTCAATGTGTTGGCTTAGTATTTTCTTCAGGTTTAAAAATTTGTTGTTCATTGATAATTTGTTTTAGGAATGTTACTGTGTTTGAGGGATTCTTCTTTCTAAGAATAATTCTATTGCATTTTAGATAAAAACAAATTATTTAGCTATGAATATCTACAATTGCAATGTAAATCAATGGGAAAGCAGGATTCCATTATAGAATTTTCTCAAGAATTCAGCATTGCTCTCAAGTAGAATGTTTCCTGTTTCTCAAATTCTATTACAGAAATGCATTTATGGGTTTTAGTACCTAGAGCAAGTGCTCTTAGACTGAGGCCAATGGTTGTGCTTGAAATTATTTGTGAACTTCAGAATGTGGTACGTAGCCATTTTGTAAAAACTAGTTTTCTAACACTGTGAAAAGGCTTCTTGATTGGAAAAAAGTTATGAATCAGTGATGTAACAAACAGAGTTAGAAGACAATGCGCTAATGATTTTTTCAAATTCTGAATTTCTGAAAAAGTAATAGGAATAAGCCTGAATTTGTAATGAAAGTATACAGAAGACTGGATCTATTGAAAGAGGCCGCACGGCAGGAAGCAGTATGTTTCACTTACAGATGATCTCTTTTATCAGCACTGCAGTTGTTAACTTGTGTGTTAGTCCCAATGAAAGCAGATCCTGCAAATAAGTGCCTGTGGGAATCGGGCTTGCAACCTCACTACATTTAAAACGTAAAGTTCAAGGATATTTTCACGCACCAACCTACAGCAAGGTGAATTTCACTTCCTTGCAGAGCTACAGGAAGATTCTCATGGATTAAGTTGCCAGATGTGTGTCAGTGATAATTACAAAGAAAGAAAACAGAACCTTCTTTGGTGAAATTATGGGAGAGATGACAGAGAGTGCAACAAAAGCTCAAGCACATTAACCTCCAGTCAATTTTAAACTCACCTCCAACATTGTGACCACCTAATTTTCACATGTTCGGATTTTGAGGCCTTCCCCTCCCCAACCTCCCTGTCCTCTAAGAAAGCAAACCTCACCACGTGCGGAGAGGAAAACCATATGGCTCAGGCAACATAGTCCCAATTTAGATGGGATAAAATAGGAAAAGAACTCTTGCTGGAACATGCCTCCAACAGGTTTCTAACTTCTCAGTAATCTGTGTCCCTGATGTGAAATCTTTCCATTTAAAATTTGGCTTCATATTTGTTTCAAAAAATACACATATCCTTCAAACCATTCAAAAATGAAATTTACATGTTATATTTCATTTCTCAACATATGAAGCAAATGTGACAACAACAGAAAGAGCCTCCCTTGATAAAGCCTATCACTGAATGCAATTTTTTTCTTTTGTTGTTTTGTTTTGTTTTGAGATAGAGTCTTGCTCTGTCGCCCAGACTGGAATGCAGTGGTGCCATCTCAGCTCACTGCAACCTCTGCCTCCCGGGTTCAAGGGATTCTCATGCCTCAGCCACCTAAGTAGCTGGAATTACAAGCACCCACAACCATGTCTGGCTAATTTTTGTATTTTTAGTAGAGATGGGGTTTTGCCATATTGGCCAGGCTGATCTTGAACTCCTGACCTCAAGTGATCTGCCCACATTGGACTCCCAAAGTTCTGGGATTACAGGCGTGAGCCACCATGCCCAGCTGCAAATTTTGGAAGAGTATTTTTATTAGACTTCTCTTAATAAAATATTTCCTAATATGAACTCTTGCCATAATTCTTTCCCATTACCTTTTATAAACTTGGTATCTTAATGTCAGTACTTCCTGCTTTCTGCTATTAATATAATAAACATTTTCCATGTCATTCAAGTTGAATAATTTAGTTGAATGGTTTCATAATATTTCATTCCATGAATATATAATCATTTATTTAGATCTTCTCTGTCAACATTTTATTTATGACTTTTTGTTGTTAGATTAACATCTTTGAGTCTGCTAACAAGTGGATTCCCGTGATAAGTATGATGGTAGTTGGCTAACATTTAACATTTATTATGAATAAATTATAGCAAAATCAATGATGGTACAAATAAACTTTTTTTTGAGGGGGTGTCTCTTCTCTTACATTAGTGTTTAATCAGCCCAAGATATCTTCTTCATGGCTGAAACCATTTTCCACAGCTTGAATTATGTACAACATTAGGACATTATCAAGGAGGCAATAAAATAAAGTTGTTTGATCTTTTTGGGGGTCTCCACTGCACAAAAATTTCATCTGCATTGGAAGTTACTTTAAAAAATTCCAAATATGTGCATACTCCACATGCTTCTTTTCTTGTATGTAGAATGTTTGTCTGGATAAATAATTCTCCCTTTTTGTCTCTTTGAAAATGCTTTAGTCAAATATGGAGCCCATTAAGTTTAAAGTTTATTTTGCTGTCTGTTTAGCTTAATATTTTTAATTATTATTTTTATAAAATCAAATCAAATAAATTTTGGTTATTTATGGAGAATGTCCGACCATATGGCTCACCTTTGTCAAATATTTATAGTTTGATACTTGCCATTAATACAGTAGTAAAATTACCTATATTTTCCCTACAGTCAGTTGAAGATTTTTTCTCCTTATTTGTCACTTAAGGAATTATTTTTATACTTGTGTAGCTTTTTTGCAATGGGTAGACCTAATCTAGCCAGTAAAACTAAAAGACCCACAATATAAATGTTAAAGCACTATCAAGCTTAAGAGAGAAGAGTTGTAAAACCTCAAAGAGAATGAGGAACATGATGGTTTAAACTCCAATAAGAAGCAGGTGTTAGCTATGAAAAATTTTCTTGAAAAATCTTGTCAATTTTGCATTATTATAAAGTTGTGTTTTTAATGTCAAGGAAATCTCAGTATTTTCCATGAGAAGTAGCAAGAAATAAACACTGCTTTATGAGGTCATGGATTTACTAATATTCTATTCATAGAATCTGACCACACAGTCATACGTGCACGAACATACAAACATACTCTCTCACATACACAGCATGCACACCCATGCACGTACATTTGTACTTTATCAAAATGTGTACAATGTGGAGTTTAGAAGGAGATTCAATAAAGAGTATGGTTTTTCTTTTTTTTTTTTTGACATGGAGTCTTGCTCTGTCGCCCAGGCTGGAGTGCAGTGGCGCCATCTCAGCTCACTGCAAGCTCCGCCTCCTGGGTTCACGCCATTCTCCTGCCTCAGCCTCCCGAGTAGCTAGGGCTACAGCTGCCCGCCACCCCGCCTGGCTAATTTTTTGTATTATTAGTAGAGACGGGTTTTCACCGTGTTAGCCAGGATGGTCTCGATCTCCTGACCTCGTGATCCACCCGCCTTGGCCTCCCAAAGTGCTGGGATTACAGGCGTGAGCCACCGCGCCCGGCACAGAATATGGTTTTTATAAAAGTACCGAAAACAGTTGATTCTTGCACAGCACAGGTTTGAACTGCATGAGTATACTTATACATGGATCTTTTTCAATGCATATATTGGAAAAATTTTGGAGATTTGTGACACTGAAAAATCTCACAGACAAAATTCATAGCCTATAAATATTTTAAAAATTAAGAAAAATTTAGATAAGTCATGAATGCATAAAACATATGTAGATAGTATTTTATGATTTACTACCATAAAATATAGACATTAAAAAGTTCAAATTTATTAAAACTTATGGACACACACACAGATTATACACCTTGCCATTCATAGTTGAGAGAAATGTAAACAAGTGTAAAGAGGCAGTATTAATTCATAACTACATAAAATTAACTGTTGTACATACTGTACTTCTGTAATAATTTCATAGCCACCTCCTGTTGCTATTGCTGTGAGCTCAAG
Source organism: Homo sapiens (assembly GCF_000001405.40). Classification (NCBI taxonomy): domain Eukaryota; kingdom Metazoa; phylum Chordata; class Mammalia; order Primates; family Hominidae; genus Homo; species Homo sapiens. Next base: position 156,743,376 of record NC_000004.12, on the reverse strand, counting down.
TGTTCTGAGTATCCACTTAAGAAGCTGCGTGACACTAATCATCTCTGTGTGAGCAGTTCCTCTCTCCAACAAATTGCTTATCACACTAAAAAGTGATCTCTTGCAGTTCTTCTGTATTTTTCATTGTGTTTAGTGCAATACTGTAAATCTTGAATAACATCATGCGACCCATACCAAGTGCCACTACTGATACTAGGAATGCTCCCAAGAACCAGAGAAAGTAATGACATTACAGGAAAAAGTTGAATTGCTTGATATGAACTAGAGATTAAGGCCCACAGTTACTGACATTCACCACTTCAAGATAAATACATCTAGCATGAAGACCATAGTCAGAAAACAGGAAATTTGTGAAGCTGTCACTGCAGCTATGCCAGCAGGCATGAAAATATTGTACTTTTTGTGAAATACCTTTTTGTCTCATATTGAAAATGAGCTTTTATGTGGGTGGAGGATTGCTATAAGAGAGTCATACCTACCAAACTCTAATATGATTCAAGAAAAAGTGAAGTCATAATATGCCAACTTAAAGCAAAAGGAAGAGAAAGATCTAAAGCTGGAGAATTTAATGCCAGCAAAGGATGGTTTGATAATTTTCAACAGAGGTTTGGCTTTAGAAATGTAAAGATAACGTGAGAAGCAGCTTTTACCTACCAAGAGGCAGCAGGTAAGTTCCCATTAAGAAATCCATTAAGGAGGAAGGATATCCTGCCTAAACAGACTTTTAGTATTTTTATCATGCATAATTTATTTTGAAATCAATAAAAATTCTGTGTTGAGGAGAATCAGTGATCCTAAACCCTGTCCTGATCAAGGGTCAACTGTGTGTTTTGGAACTGTGCCTGATGCTTAATGAATACTCAATGAGGAGTTGCTATTGACTGGTTGAATAAGTAACTGAGTAAATGAATGAAAATACAAATATAAACCAAGAATATTATGAGGGCTAAAAATGTAAATGCCCAAAGTAAATAAATTAATGCTCTGAAACATTCACATGTAATTTTTCCTTGACATACCCCCCTAGAATCTGTTTTATCTTATGTGATTCAATCTTGCCTTGAATCGAACACACAGATCAAGTGTTTAAGATATTCTTTGCATCCAAGATTTATCTATTTGACATTTTTTCATGTTTCTTTCTCTATTCTAGCTAATATTCTTTCCTGTGAGATAGTTATACCATACCTTACATCCTACAGGCACATTGTAATACTTTAAAAGCTACTTTAAACATTTTGGAACCATTTAGCTTTTCTTGTTTTCGCTCAGTGCTACAGGATGGAAAGGGACACTTTCTAATTAGAAACAAGTAATATTCTTTCCATATATAACAGTTCATCATTGTACATTACCATAGGGAGCTAAATCATTAATATTGTATTTCTAAGAGAATTTCCTTTTCCCTTTTTACCTAAATGAGAGGTGGGGTTGCTTCATTTCCCTTGACAAATGTTTGAAAACCAGAGCCTCTGCTAAATAGTTTCCAACTATCTGAAATCTGCATTTCATACATTAAACTACCTTCTTAATGTACTTTCATGATTGAATTGAGCTCACTGTCATACTCACTTCTGTCTGGTGGTGAATGATTTCCATAAAATTGATGTTTAGCATCTGTCTATACTTTACCACTATCTCATTGTAGTAGGACTGATAATATGTTTCTTATAGTAATTTCAGCACCCCAAGAAGGTATTTCCTGTGATAATATTTGCAGGCATCATGAAGGATAATAAAGCATAAAGTTCATGGTTAGGGCTCTAGGGTCAGAGAGAATGTGGTTGAAATTCCAGCTATATCAGTCATCAGCTGTGTTACCTTGGGAAAGTCACTCAACTACACTGTATGTCTCAGAGTACTCAACTAAAAAGAAAAGGGATGATAAAAAAATACCAACCTGATCAGGTTTTTAAGGATTATACAAGAAAATTCATGAGAAATTCATTTAGCTCAGTGCCTGGAACCCTGTATGCATACAGTAAACATTAGCTATAAAATGTTCATTATTAATTGAATTCAAATTGCTGTCTATCCTAATACCTAATTTTGTATTTCTTTAGTGCATTGTCCTTAAAATAATAGGTACTTGTGACTGATTGCTTAATTTCTTACTCTGTTCCCTATGAACTGCAGAGTATTCTCATTGAGTTCTTGGATCCTGGTGTATATAATACCCATGTCTTTTCTGTATGCTTTCTTAGACACGAACACAAATGGTGAGCAACCAGTGCAGGCTGTCTACCCATACATGCAGCTCTTCATGGATGATAAGAGAGTATAAGGCCACAATAATTAAGTCTTCATTTTAGAATATTTTAGAGGCATTTTCCTAATCCTGGTGTATAATCAATTGCACTTCAAGTAATCACAGGGCTCTTTGGTCCTGCCACAGGGATAGTTGAAGGGAGAAGTGAAGCCTGACAGTCTATGAGGTGTGGACATTAGCATATTTCTTGGGAAGGAAGAGAAAAGGAGAGGGTAGGTGAGCCCTTGAGAACTCTTGGCAATTGTTTCAAGACTACTAAGTGGGTAGAGGGGATCTGGCTTTGGGCTCAGGAAGAGGGATGAGGAAATGTGAGAGGCTAGAAAACAAGGGATTTGTAATATTACCAGGCATGCAATGGTTGGCTTTCCACATTACATTCTCAGAAACCATTTTAAAATTCACTGCTATTAACATTAACCTTTAGTATTCAACATAGAAGTTCTCTGGAGCAGGTCATTTCTTTAACTAAGATAAATAAAAGAAAATGTCAAAAAGTTTTTTTTTTTTCCAAAAATAAGAAGTGATTCTAATTGAAAGGGAGCAGTTTACATTGTTCTAAATGAGAATCATGTGAATGTGTTGTTTTTGTTTTTCTTCTGTATTTTGGGGATTTTTTTTCTCTCCCTAGGAACGGGGTGTTGCTTAATCACAGTTTATTGCAGCCCCGAATTCCTGGCCTCTAGTAATCCTCACGTCTCAGTCTCCTGAGTAGCTAGGGCTGCAGTTCCCAGGCCCTGAGACATAATAGAAAGTTGGTAAATACTGAAAAATAACAGAAATCATGCTTTGAGGTTTACTCATTAAATTATGGAAAAGGTACCTTCATAATTTATGTTATTGATACAGTCAACAATTTAGCTATAGCCATTGTTACATCTTTTGAATGTGTCTCATTACAGTCAACTATTGAGTAGCTACGTTCAAGAAAAATATTCTCTGCTAAAATTATAAATTTAGGATTAAGTTTGGGATCACCTTCTCTTAGTAAACCTATACCTGGAGTTTGAGGCTCAAATAGCAATACTTACACCTGCTTATAATGGCACAAGTCTATAATTTCTTTTCTGACATATAGGGAGCCCATTATGTTTTGGAATTTAGAATATTTTAAACCTTAAGAGGACAAAACAGTGGGACATATTCTGGATATGGCTTGAATCTGGGGAAGCACTCCAGATTCAAGCAGTTCAATATTTCTGAAGCAAAATGCACAAGTAAGCACTTAAATAAATAAACAAAACAATCAATAAATACTATAAATAACCTCATTAGTTGAAGTTGTATGTTTTTCTAAGCTAAATTTAGGTTAGGTTTTATGGCCAAGTGAATTTAGAAAGGCTTTTGAGTTTCAGATTTGCTTGGATTTAGGAATTGAGGATGAGTGACTTATAAATAGCATCTTTGCATAGACCTTCCCTGTTTTTCAATTATCTTTTTTTTTTTTTTCAGAATTAGTGTTTCTCAATATATCAGGTCCAGTGTCTCTTTTCTAGTGGAAATAATTTGTTACAATATCTTTTTGCTGCTGACATAAAGCACAGAGATAATGTAACCTAAAACCTAAATACAATAATATATTTTTTAAAGATCAATGTAATAACCTATGTAAAGCATAAATAAAAGGAAAGAAATGAATAAAAAATTAACATATGTAACAACATGTAAGTGTTGAGATTCTAGCCAATCTAAAATACAATAAAGTATTCTAATATCTGCAGCTATGGTTACAATCACTGACTGTGCCAGCTATGAATGTAGACCGACAAGGTTCACTTTATCATCTGTGCCCATACCTAGAGTGGTGTACCAGGCATGATTTTCAAAATGTTCAACAACTCTTGGTAAAGTTCATTTTTTAAAGGAATATATTTTTTATATTTCATGGTAGCTGTTTTTCTGAAAAATTCAGTATTTCATAAAATAGTGCTTTTTTGGAAAAAAAAATTTGGAATTGTATGTAAAATGTATAATGTTCTAAGGTCAGATTATTTCAAGCTGGGCTTCCCCCCTCCATGAATGAGTGTCAGGACACTGGAAATCCAGGCACCTGTGCATCATGCAGGACTGCCCTGCCATGCACACTGCTGAACATCTCTCCTCCATGGCCCTTCCCACTAAATGTCAGCAGTGCTCCCTTAATCATGTTGACACCGAAAACTGCCACTATACATTGGCTGAATGCCCTGAGCCTCCCATGAGAATCACTGACCCATCTAATCCTCACAGCTACCTAATAAGCTCATTTTCTTACTATTGGTTTATAGAGGAGGTCATCGAGGAACAGAGAAAAAGAAAGGAATTACCATTATTGAGTGGCAAAGCTGCATTTTACCTACCACAGACATTTTAACTCCTAGTCCAATTCTTTTCACTATATAGGGCTAATACTTATAAATCTATAATACTTACTTGTTCTTTCTCATTTTTAAATTCTTATGAGGCAACTCTGTCACCTTGTGCTTTCTATCCCCTTCCTGAAACTGCTTAATTCATAACGTTACCTACTCCAGATTTTTTCAGTAGTGGAGAAATTTGTACTTGATGGTCAACTACTAGGAGAAAAAGAGTTATTTGCATTTGAGGATTCAGCCTATTTTTGAAGCTGCCCTACATTCTATTTGAAGATAAATGACCTAGTGAGTGATTTGCCACCTGAAAGAAAGCCAGGCCTCCAAAACACTGGGTGATTGTATTCATTATCTATTCCTGTATAATAAACCACTACCCAAATTAGCAGTTTAAAACAACAAATATTGTTATATCAGAAAGCTTCTGGGAGTTACAAACCTAGGATTGGCTTAGCTACGTAGCTCTGGATCTGGCTCAGAGTCTCTCTTAAGGTTTCATTCAGAACATAGGCTGTGGCTGCTTCATCTGAAGGCTTGACTGGGGCTGGGGGATTCACTTCTAAGCTCATTCACATACTGTTGGCAGAAGCCCTCAGTTCTCCACTGTTGATCACAGGTTCTTAGCATGTGAGTGTCCCCTGTCCATGACATGATCGCTAGCTTCCCCAAAGAAAACAACCCTAGAAAGGTAGAGGGGAAGAGAGAAAACCCATTCTTGCCTTTTATGATTTAGCCTTCAAGTTACAAACCATAACTTCTGCCATATTGAATTTGTCAGAATAGAGTCACTTATTCCAGCCTGTACTCAGAAGAGAGGAATTTGGTTCCACATCCTGACAGAAGGAATAACACAAATTGTAGACATATTTTGTTTTAACCACTATAATGATCAATTCAGTTCTGAGAATCTTTTCTGATACTTAGTTTCAGCAGAAAACCTAATTCCAGTCTTACTGGTCTACCCAGATCCCTTCAGATGCCCTTCACGTTTTTGTTTGTTTGTTTGTTTGTTTCTGCACCTGCCATCCAGCTTCTGCTTTGCTGCTAAAGGCTGGCGCTTGCCAAATTTAGAGGCTTGCTCTTGGCCACTGCAGAGCCTCACGTATCTAAAGAGCCAGAATACTGGATGAAGCTTTCCATGCCCCAAACACACACACACACAGACACACACATGCACGCACAGACACACACATGCATGCACACACACACATACCAACAATCTGTAGCCAGTGACTGACTGCTATAAAGGTTTTTTTAAAAAGCCCACCTCTTTACCCTAGGGTGGAATAGACTCTAAGGTCTGTTTTCCTTTTCAGAACTCCCTTTGAAATCAGGCTAAATCTGGCCTTCATCCAAAATTGTATTTTTGCTTGGCTTTTCTCCTTTTTCTTTCCTGCATCCTCCTGAACTGGTTCCTCCTGAGATGTTGTTCTTCATAAATTACTTGCACCTGAATCCTTAATTCAGACTCTATATATGTCACATTTTCTTTACCTAGAGCTTTGTAAAAATTTAAAGCCCTATATTTATGTTACACTTGATATTTTATTTAAAGGTATTTTGATTGTATAACAAAAAACAGACTCAAGCTAGCTCAAGTGAAAAGGAGGAGTTATAGAAATATAATATATAATCTTATAGCTATTTGTTTAGGGCATATTTAATATGGCCTGGAGTCACAGGGACTTAAAGAAGGAAACAGAGTTTCCACCTCACGTGGCCACTTTCATCACTGTCTTGATAAGCGGGTCTATTCCATTATTCTGATTTCTCAGAAGAATCCATCAGCTTATGTATATTAACCATGGTCCTATGTAGGTGTCGCTATGGCTTTCTCTATTTATATAAACTCTCCATTCCATTGCCAATTATCAATTCCTCGTTTCTTGCTTTGTTTCTTGTTTTAATTCTCAAGACAAAAATCCTGATGAGTCAAGATTCTATATAAAAGCCAGGCACAGAAGGGAGTGGAGTCATTTGATGTTACCGATTGGCTTGCAGGAAGCAAATGGTGAGACAGAATTTTATATAAAAGTGGTTTATTGGCATGTGTTCTCAGGATCAACACCTCTAGAGGAGAGAAAGGAGCAGGATTGGACAGCAGGAGAGTCATGTTCCAATGCAGTTACAATGAAAGCCTCAGCCAACCCCGGAGAGCTCTAAAGCTGGAATGCCCTTCCCAGTTCTGAGTTGAAAGCAGGAAGCTGAGCCTTAACCTTCCTATATCACCTGGTCATTCCATGACAGAGGGTGTAATCTTGGAAAGGGTGGCTCTCTTCAACTAAGGACAATCCAGGGAAAGGACTCACACGCAAGATCTCAGCCACCAAGACTCCCAGCAGCTTTACTGTCTCCGTCCTGAGGGGATGAATCTGTGTACCCCAGCATCCACCAACACAAATACAGATTTGGATTAGATAACCTCCCATAGTCCAGCCTGAGTGGGGTGGATTTATGGCCTTTGACCCAGTCAGCAATCTGCTTGTGCATTGCAGTCTTTGAAGCAGGCTTGTGCACAGGACTGATCCCCTGCAGACTCTGACTGGGGAGAGAAAGAAACTATGGGCAATAAAATTAGTGATAGGTCTGATGGAGATTCAGAAAATGGTTTAGGACATGCAAATTATTTTCTAATATACTTTAGAAGTCATTATATGTATTGAACAGTTAGCCTTATCTGAAGTTCTGCAAATTTAGAAGATGGAGGCAGTAGTCAGGCATGATGTGCAAAATTGGCTTTATACACTAATCATACCGTAATAATACACTAGAGTTAAATCCACATAAGTCCTTGCATGCTTTACTGTTCTGAGATGAAAAGGATCTTTAATTTAGAATAGTCCCTTTGGTTCTTGCCCCTTTAAAACTCACTGAATGCATACGTTTGCTCCTTTGAAAATGCAAAGCCAAATGTTTGTTTATAGTACATTATAATTCCCTTTACCATCATTTTAAGATGGCATTTAAAGAAGTAAGTGCAGCATCCCTTCCAGTAGAAAAGCCATGAATAAGACTCATCATATAAATATTTTGCTCTATGCTACTGGCATTAACGTATCACGGCTATAAAAAACAACACTCAGTCGTAGTGCCAGAGTTTTGCCATGATCTTAAATAGGGGAGCTGAGGTTTAAAGGATTGTAAGCACAAAAAGTTACTCTTGAGTGATTTCTGAAAAGGAATAATTGCAATGCACTTGCCTTCATTCTCTTTACTCAGGAGGAAAAGAAGAGTAACAAGTATATGAAACACTTCCACATGCACAAGGTGGCCATGTACACTTTGAGTGGCCAGGCCTATGTATATTCTGGGATCTTGCAGAGGCACTGTGTCAGTTGGGGTGGGGAGGGGACGAGGGTTTAAATGCAAACCACAGAATCCTTTCTGGCTATCTTACGTGGAAAAAAAATGAATGAGAGGAAATTAGGTTGTTCACTGACTCTGCAAGAGCCAAAGATTTATGTTCTATTTTTCTCTGCTTGCTCTCCTCATTGTTATTTTCCCTCTGCAATTAGCCTGTGGTGAGTGCTACTAATTTTTGAAAAGTATATTTGACTATGATACTTATTCATTGAATTTGTGATATTAGAAAGACAGTTGTATGCAGAATCCAAGGAAAAAAGTATTCAAAGTATTTCCCTTTGCTTTCATGATTCGTCATTCATTCATTTAACATATTTTTAAGATGAATAGTATCATTTAACATGTTTTTAAGGTGAATAGTGTGCTAGTAATTGCTACCTTAAACATATTATGTAACTTGCAAATTGTTATGTCTTAGGGAATCAATTTCAATGAACGTTCCCTGCATATTGTATTTCTTGGCACATATTCTGTTCTCTACTAATATTGTTTTAATGTTTCTTCTGTTTTATAAAATTAGATACAAACAAATAAAAAAGTGAAAAAATAAAAATAAATTTCATCTAATTAAATTATTAATCATTTCAATTTGTCTCTTCCTTTTCTTCTTCTTCCTCCTCCTTTTCTCCCTCCATTCCTCCTCCCCTTCTTTCTTTTCTCCTTTTCTACTAAGTCAGTCAGTCAGACCTTCAATAATGATTTATTGATCACCAACTGTGTATCAGACTGTGTGGGCTGTGCTGGAAATCACATAAGCAAATAACTTCTTATCACCCCAGGCATAAAAGGATTCATATTTCATTGGAAAATATATAGTTCTGTAATGTAATATTTCACATTTATTTGTTGTAGTGGGCATCTATTATTTATTTCCCAGCATCAATCCCCCCATCTTTCTGTAAGAGTGCCCTGGGCCGGGCATGGTGGCTCACTCCTGTAATCCCAGCCCTTTGGGAGGCTGAGGTGGGTGGATCACCTGAGGTCAGGAGTTCGAGACCAGGCTGACCAACATGGAGAAACCCTGTCTATACTAAAATTACAAAATTAGCCAGGCCTGGTGGCACATGCCTGTAATCCCAGCTACTTGGGAGGCTGAGGCAGGAGAATCGCTTGAACCTTGGAGGCAGAGATTGCAGTGAGCCAAGATTGCGTCTTTGCACTCCAGCCTGGGCAACAAGAGTGAAACTCTGTCTCAAAAAAAAAAAAAAAAAAAAAAAAAAAAGCAAGAAAGACTGACCTGAAGTTATTTTTGGGAACATCCCTTTCCCATTTAAATCTTAAAGTTTGGTTAGAAGTGATACCAATCACAGATCCAATGACAGCCACTGCTGGTTCTATTTCCCTGGCAACAGTAATTGGCATATAACCAAATTGAGAATGAAGGCAAAAAAAAAAAAAAAAAGGAGAAAGAGGGCCTAGTGATGGCCACTTGTGATATTGCTTAAAAAATGGAATCAGTTCTAAGCTTTGCCTGGAGCCAGAATGCTCTACTGACTTTTGTCACAGTGTCTCTTTCCCTCTGTCACAATGACAAACAACATTAGAGATCATTGCTTTTCCTTCAGCAGGCTACATCAGAGAAATAAAAGTAGCAAAGGAAGTAGAGAGAGGACCCATATACCCTTCATCCAGTCTCCCCTACGGTTATGTCTTATATAATTGTAGTGTGATATCAAACCAGGAAACCAGCATTGGCACAATGTGTGTATCAGGTAGACCTATGTCATTTCATTACTTGTGGAAATGTGTGTAAGTGCTCTTAAAATCAAGATAAAGAACTGTTTCATCCTCCCAAGATGACACTCATACAACTCTCTTATTGTAACACTTATCACCACCACCCCCCTGCTATCCCCAATCCTGAGCAATAATTAATGTTTTGCACCACTATAATTCTAACATTTGGAGATTTGTAGCCTTTCTGAGCATATTTTTTTTTTTGCATAGGTTTTTTTTGTGGTTGCTCTAAGTTTTTTACTGTAGGTTATTATAGATATAAAATGTATCACAGTCTATTGATGCTAACATTTTGCTAGTCCAAGCGAAAGGTAGACATTGTGCTTGTCTTTATTCCTTTACCATCACCCATTTACAATATAATTGTCTTAAGTATTGCTCCTACATACGCTGACGACTACATTAGGCAGTTTTATAATTTTTGCTTCAACCATCAAGCATAATTTAGACAACTCAGGAAAATAAAAATACATAATATTTACTAATGCTTTTGGTCCTTCTGTTGTTCTATCTTTCTTCTTGTTGTTCTAATACTCCTTCTTTTGTCTTTTTATGTCTGTTTAGAGTATTTCCTTCAGGCAGTCTTTTAAGATAGGCTCGCTGGTGATGTTTTTATTTTTAGTTTTTACTTTTCTATCACGTGAGAACGTCTTGCTTTCTCCTTCACTTCTGAAGGATATTTTCACTGCATATAGAACACTGTACGGACAGTTTTGTTTTGTTTTTTCTTCTGTCAGCACTTGAAAAATGTTGTACCAGTTTCTTTTGGTTTCCATAATTTTACATGATAAATCTGCTGTCATTTGCATTGATTTTGCCCTATAAGTAACATGCCATTTCTAACTGCTTTTAAGATTCTTTCTTTGTCTTTAGTTTTCAGAAGTTTTCACATTTTTTTTTCTTCTTGCATTTATCCTGTTTGGTATTGGCTCAATTTTTTGAATCTGTAGGTTTATGTCTTTCGCCAGATTTGGGAAGTTTTCAGCCGTTCTTTATTTGAATACATTTTTAGCCCCACCGTCTTTCTCTGCCTCTAGAACTCAGATGACATAAATGTTAGACTTTTTATTATAATCCCATATGTCCTTGTTCACCTTTTAAAATTTGTGTGTTTTCAGTCTATTTCATCTCTGTAACTCAGATTGAGTAATTTCTATTGGTAATTGAGGGTTTTGATTTTAGCTTTGACTTTTTTCAATCTTAAGATTTTAATTTGGTTCTTCCTTATATCTTTTATGTCTTTGCTAAAGCCCTCTTTTTTATTTCTTTCACTTATGTTCAAATTGTGGATGGTTTTTAAAATAATGACTGAGATCTTTGCAAGATAATTCTAACATCTTTGTCTTCTCTATGTTTGTGTCTGTTGATTATCCTTTCTCATTCAAGTTGAGATCTTTCTGGTTCCTGATACACTGAGTGATGTTTTAATTGAGATCTGGACATTTTTGTTGTTATGCTATTCTCATGCTTCAGCCTCAGCCTCCTGAGTAGCTTGGATTACAGATGTACACCACCATCCCTGCCTAAATTTTCGTATTTATAGTAGAGATGGGTTTTGCCATTTTTCCCAGGCTGGTCTTAAACTCCTGAGCTCAGGGAATCCACCTACCTTGGCCTCCCAAAATACCAGGATTACAGGTGTGAGTGACTGTGCCCAGACCGTATTTTATTTTAAATCGTGCATTTTAGCAGGCATTTCTTGACACCTCTTTAGCAAGGGAAGTGAGTATTGCTTCTCTACTTCCAGATGGGAGTGGAAATCTGGGTTCTTCACATGGCCTCCATTGTCATATACAGAAAGAGAGGATCCCTGCTATTGGTTGGTGGGAGTAGACATTTAGGTTTCCCGGTAGACCTCCACTGATACCACTGTGGCTGGAAGGGAGAAGGTGCCTCCTTATTGCTTCCTCTATGGGCTCCATGACATTATGAGGGGTAGTCCGAGTACTACTGAATTGTAGTGAAAGTCTTGACTCTCCACTAGACTTCCAATAAACCACCCTAGTGAGGATGAGGAGGTGTGTCTCATTATGAGACACATAGGCTGGGTCGGGTGGCGTGGACATCTGACATCTAGTCTCCCCACTCAGCCTTCTCTGACACCACCCAAGGGGGAAGGTATCTTGTTATAGCCTTATGAGGGAAGTTTAAGCTTCTACTTGCTACTTGCTGACAGTGATGGGGGTGGATCCGTTTTTTATGTGGTATTTGGCTGCAGCAGAATGTTTAAGTTCTAAAATACATCTGCCTTCTAAGATGCTCATTTCCCATTCCTTTGTCTAGAGAGAGCAGGCTTGTCTTGAGGCTTCTTTTTTTGGTCTGACCCTATTGGCATTTCTAGGTCATCTGCTTCTCCAGTAGCTCATATATCCAATCTGGTATTTATAAGGCAAAAAGAAAATCCAGTTCACTGGCCACTGTGTCATTCTTCAGATCTCATGGTCTCCATCCAACTTGCCTTCTTCTCTTCACCTTTCAGAGGTGTTTTATGTTTGTTTTATTTATAACATTCAGGGTTATTACCTGTCCTAAGTGAGAAGGATAGTGAAAACATATCTACTTTTCAGAAGCAGAAGTCCAGAATACTTTTTTAAAAAATAAATATAATGGCAATTTATCAGAATTATTTCATCATGAAATAGTTATTATATTTGTTATCACTTGCAGAATTAATATAGATCATTTAATTAAAGAAAACAATGGTTCCACTGCTGTGTAATAGTTAATTTTCATGTATTTGACTGAAAAAATATTTGGTGGTTTCCTTTATTTCATCTCTATTGTGGTAATGTTTGACTCTATTTTAAGCTCCCAAGCATTCTCTTAATAGTGATTTATAAGCAGTTTAGCTTCATTTCATCCCAGAGATCTAACAGTCAAGAAAATACCTCCTAATTCTTTATCTAAAGCCTCCTCAAAGTTTCTGCCCTATGATGCAGTTTAATTCATTTTGAGAAGCGATGTTCTTGGATCTATTGCAATTCTTTGAACACACGGACCTTTTTTTATTATTCTTCAATTGCTGTCTATTGTGCTTATTTATTATTCTAATTCTATCTAAATTAGCCTCACAAAAGGAACCTATAAAATGAAGTATTTCAAAAATTAAACTCTAATCATTCCGAGAGTAAGCTGGCCTTGGTATAATTTGCATGGTGTTAGCACTTGGACAATGAGGGTCATGAAATGGAGAATGATTTAAGAAACAAATGGAAAGACTTGCAAAAGTACTAGCCTGTCTTTGGAGAAACTGCCTTCCTGTTTCATTTTTCAGACCATTGTTACTTGTTCTTGTGTTGGCTTTTATGAAACAAATTTATGTATTTATGTATTATTCTTTTTTCTTTTTTTTTACTACCAGAGTAGAGTACTCTTCGAGGTAATTTGAGACTTTTAATTTTTTGCAATATATATCTGTTTCCTTTTATTAATGTTACAATAAACTGTTTAGCAGAAACTACGCTCCCAGAAGATCTCCTGATAAGGTACACACATAGAAAAATAAAGAAATGCACCATATTTGATGGGAATGAGGAAGGTGGGAACAAATCCAAAAATGTGTATCCTAAAAACTGTTTTAATAAGAAACTAATTTTATTTCTTATAAGGTTGTATTAAAATATGGTTGCCAATTCTTTAGCAAATTAGTATAAAATCCTAAATATTACTTATCATTTATTTAATAAATATGAAATGGTGACTTCTGATAGGAAAAGCATTGTATTTGCACTGTGTAGGGTAGAAACAGATAAACAAATGACGTACACTTCCTGCACTTCTCTAAAGAAAGTGCTAAATCTGGTTCAAACCGAATTGAGTGTGAAGTGAGGGTGGCAGAGGGCATGGAAAGCGGTGGAAGCAGGGTGAACAATTTGAAGAAGTGATAAAGCACAAAACAGAACTCTGGAGTCAAAAAACTATGCCAGAAGGAGTAAAGGAGAGTGCTTGCAAATGGAAATTGAGAAAGAAGGAGCCTTCAAGAACAGATGTTTTGTGGAGAGGTGGAAGGATGAGAAAAGTGACTTGGAGTTGAGTGTCATATTTTGACAGCTTTGGAAATTGAATGTAGGAGTTTCTATTTTACCCTGAGGCCTTAAGAACTCTTGACAAGTTCAGATAAAAAGCAAACATATGATGAAAGTGTCATTTTAGATTACATTCTGCAGAGCTGTTATTCTATATATCGGGAAAGTATAAGACCAGAGGCGGAGCATCCACTAAAAATTAATATGGCAAAATCGGTTTTGAGTCCATCAAGTCTAATGATAACAAAGGGAATAAAAGGGGAAAATGATAATGAAAGAAATGCCAAACATCTTTGTTCCTGATAACAGGCATGTAGGAAAGGTGGATTAAGAAGAGGAATGGCTGGGGTGCAGGAATAACCAGCAAGGAATCTTAGTGTCATTTGTTGTTATTCTTGAAAGCCAATTTGTAACTTGTTTAAATTGTTTGATGAGAAATTGGAGATAACATTTTGGAATATTTATTCAATAAACTGGCAATGAGAAGAACTAGAGAAATAATAAGGCAGTTGTAGAAGACAGTGGAAATCAATGAATACATTTATCTGACAAGTGGAGGGGGTCAAATGAAGTAAAGAGAAGGGAGTTAGTCAATAAAATTAATTGAAGATACCTAAGAGACAGTATGAAGCGGAGAAAATCAAGAAATGTGGGATCACTGTTCTGGTGCAGGTAGAATGCATAGAACGGACAGAAGAGATGACCACTGAAAGGTAACATGTGAATTTATTTCCCGCTGAGATAACAAAAAATAAAGCGAAGATGAAAGTGGAATTGTATCTTGAGAGATAGTTTCTATAACAGTGTCACAGATTTGGGAGTTGAGTTCAGTTTCTTCCTTGCTAGTTCTGTGACTTTAGGCAAAGTAATTACCGTTCTAAATTTCAGAAGTTTTCTTATTTGTAGAAAACTAGTAGTACCTATCTGGTTTGGTTATGGTAAGTAATAAATAAAATAAATCACATAAAGCAGTAACACAATTGCTGGCACACTGCATCACAATAAATGATATTATTAGTGTTGTTGTTTTGGAAATTTCATTTTGGAGTGATTCACTCATGCAATTCTCTGCTTGAAATAGTATACAGAAAAGTGCTTTCCTTTGCTCTCAGGGCTCTTCTGAGAATGTTAATTCCCCTAGACAACATTTGTATTTTAATAAGGTCCTCAAGTCTAGAGGACAGGATGGGGAAGAAAAGAAGAAAGCTTTTCTGTTCCTCAAATGGCATTGCAGAGATGAACACTTATCATGCCTCTCTTTGTGTAAACTGATCCCTCTCCATACCACATTTGTAATAGGATTTATGAAATTTTTTCTAATTAGTTTCACTCAGTTAAAAACCCATTTAATAATATGTTTACCTTTAAATCATTTCAAAATCTCTTAAAGTCACATAGTGCTTGTCAGTTGCATTTCATTACAGCATGGGAACAAACTCCTGCAATGTTGGGGTATAAAAGAGAGCACCTGTCACATCCTTTGCCATTCCTGGTTTATTTTTCTGGAGGAGCATGCTCTCAGAAGCCCGAACCTAGGGAATATATGTATATCGTGGTGGTAGAATTATTTTGAAGATTCTTTTAAAAATGGAAGATTAAATTAGAGCATGATTGCTAAATTTGCTTGTTGTCTTTCAAGTTCTGAATTAGTATTACAAAGATTATTTATGAGAAGGAAATATTTGGCCAAAACTGGTGAATATGTTTTGAGCCCAAGTTCTTTTTGTAGTATTAATTTACTGATGTAAATGTATGTTTTAATTTATATTCTTATACTTGTTTATGCAAAGATGGCAAATGCTGGAGAAAATTCATTTCACATCTTGGGACCTTAAAATGTTTTTCTAATCTGTAAAATAAAGGTTTTAGTCCAGATCTTAAAGGTAAAATAAAATTAAGTGAAAATTAGGCTCCCCTTAGACCTAAATAACTTGTAGGAATTTAGTTATCTATTCATTTACATCACTGCTTACAGCAATGACTTTGAGGATAATTAAAAAGAAGTCTTGGTAGAAATAGTAAAGATTCTACTGAATATAAAATCAGAATAAAAAAATCAACTTGCATATCTTTATGATTTATTTCTTTTGTGGGAATTGAATTCAGAAACTAGAAAATTCTATAAATTATTATGCCACATATGTGGCATAACTTTATAAATTATTATGTAAATTCTGTAAATTATTATGTGGCACATATGTTAACATATATTAATATATGTGGCACATATGTGGCATAATAATTTACAGAATTTTCTAGTTTCTGCATCATAGGGCAGTGTTTGGTAATTAAGGCAAGTGACAGCTGAAAGGAACTGACAGTTACCACCAAGCACAGTGTAATGATGGGGTGCTTGGTGAATGAGCTCACACCTGGTTCATATGCAGAGACTCCCTAGTCATCACTGCCTCAGTGATTCTGCAAATCCAGCAGGTTGAAACTTAAACACAGAACATATTTATTCCTCAGTAATAACAGATCAGTTACCATCGAAGACAAGATTGGAATCTTGCATGGCAATATGTCGTGTCCTATTTCTCCTCTGGTGCACAGAAATCCAAATGTATTTTTTTTTAAATAATTTCAACCCTTACTTCAGACTCAGCAGATACACATGCAG
Organism: Homo sapiens; assembly: GCF_000001405.40. NCBI lineage: Eukaryota > Metazoa > Chordata > Mammalia > Primates > Hominidae > Homo > Homo sapiens. Next base: position 156,727,014 of record NC_000004.12, on the reverse strand, counting down.
GTTTGTTACCTGGGTATATTGTATGATGCTGTGATTTGGTGTACAATTGATCCCATCACCCAGGTCCAACTGTATTTTTAAATTGATTTATTAACTTGGCATCTTTCTTTAAAAAATCAAAAATTTAAAGAACACTTTAATGCTAAGATTTTGTTCCCAAAAATCAAGTTAGTTTACACTTTTTCATGATGAAATATTGACTAAAAATTAAAATACTTTGTTTGCATTTTAAATTTTGGTTATTGAAAACTAAATGATCTCTGTGAGTGGCAGTTTCTTAAACTTGCCAAACCTGCAGCACTGTCTATTAATTAGATGGTTTATAATAAATGAGCCTGATTTTCTCATCAAAACTATTTCCTTCTTTGTAATCTTTTTGAAAATGACATTACAAACTTTTTCCAGACTGGGTAATGTTAATAGCAAATTTCTTCATTTACTAAATGGTTTAGACGTAATTAGTATGGTGGATCTGGTCTCCCGGAGTGCAGACTGGAGTATCTACTGGCAAGGCAGAAAGTTTATGAGGGTGTGTTATGAGGATCAGCACTGACTGGGGGAGGAAAGGAAGCACAACTGAGCAGGGGGAGATGGCAAAGCTGTGATGCAGTCTCAACAAAGCCCTCAGCCAACTCTGTGGGGAGCTCTGGAAGTGAGTTGACCCTTCAGAATAGTTCTAAACTGGGGTGACTTAGATGTCAGGCTGATATTCTCCCGCACTGAATGTGGGCTTCTCCCAGAAGTAGGCAAGTCTTACTTCACCAGAGGCCACTTTTGGGTGGGAGAAGGCTGACAGCTAAGGTCTGGAACCTGACTACACTCACAGAAGCTAGAGATCCTTCACACCTAGGTTGGGACACAGATAACTGGATAGAGGATCATGGTTTCCAGTACAAAGAGTTAACACTATGAAAAATACATGGCTCCTAAAGAATCCCAGACTCAGCAATCATCTTAGAAAAAGGAACTTAGTAAAGTTTGTGTGAGAAAAGTGCAAATAGCTAAAAAAATGAAAATCACTTAAATTATTTTAGTTGTTGAGATTATAATATATTCTTCCACTCAAAGAGTTTTATAGTCTTATTTGCTTTCTCTACCTATTTTCTGCTAGGTAATTTTAAAAAAAGGTTTTTGAAAACAAAGTTATATAAGGATAAACAACATGGACTGTGGAGTTGATTGACTGTGCTCAAACTTAGTTTTACAGCTTATTAGCTGTCCCATCATGAACAATAACATGTTAGAACCTCTGTTATTTCTACACATGAGAACAATGATGAGGTGAAAATTAAGAGAGATGGCAGTTTTTAATAGATTCCACTTTAATGCCTTTTATTTTGAGGTAGCTAGTGTTTATTTCTTTTTTTCCAAGTACTGCAGATAAAATACTGTTATGGGATCCTTAGGGTGATGCTTTTCCAGCTGGAAACCTCTTTGGCCAGTGGTGCCTTTGCCTGAGTTTTGCTCAGGCCATTGGGCCGACTTGGCCTGGCAGGCTGCCCTTGGCTTGTACTACCAGCCTGGATCCCATGCCTGCCAAGGGCAAGTGGAGTGGTGAGGAGTAGGTGAGTGAGCAAGTGTCAGGTCTGGACACTGCACACAGCCAGGCATGCCAGCTGTGGCAGGGTGGGCAGCTCCAGGTGCTGGCATGGGCTCCAGCTACCTGTGAGGCTGCGGTTGGACAAGGAGTATTGCAAGTAGCTTCCACAGTTGGCACCAGGGAACTCAGTGGCAACCAAAAGCTTGGAGACCCAGTAACCGCAGAGCCCCGAAGAGAGTGTCACAGCCCTGACTTGGGGAGCTCCTAGGTCTGGGCCCCTCAAAGGTCTGCAGCTTTTCTCTCCTTCTCTTTTCTCTCCTTCTTCTCATCCCCTATGTGGAGAGCAAGGGGCATGTTTCAGCCCTGTTTCTGTTACCGCTCTTTTAGCCCCACCATTTGGTGGGTCCTGATCTTGTCTTGCGTCCAGGAACAATGACATACTCGGACAAGTGGAGGGTGAAAGGCTAAGAGGAACGTTATTGAGCAACAGAACAGCTGAGAGAAGACCTGCACTGGGTAACTCCTCTTCGCAGGCAGGGTGTTTCAACAGTGTTCAACTCTCAGCAGACAGGAGACCCTGGAATGGGCATCTCCTCTCCACAGCTGGTCATCCCACTGGGTGTTCGGCTCTCAGCAGAGAGGAGACCCTGGAGTGTGTAGCTCCTCTCTCCAGGTAGGTCATTCTGTCATCTCCTCCAGTCTGGATGAGTCCAGAATTTTTATGAGCTTCAGAGGGGAGGAAGTCTGTGCTTATTGGTTCATGGGGAGCCATGGGCAGGCCCAGAAAAATCACCCAAAGTTCCCATTCTGGTCCATTAGTCTGACCCTCAGGCTTCAGGCTTTCCCTGGCTTGAAGATGGTGCCTCATTGGGACCCACCCCTTTCCACCCAGGAGCCTGTTGGCCTCCTGCCATCATCCACAGCACCCAGGCTGTTTGTGCCAAGGGGCACCTGCAGGCCAGCACCGAGCTGCTCTCAGCCCCACCTCCACCTCCCTCCCATGCTTATTGATGTCCAAAGTCCGGAGGCGGCCAAAGCAGCATGGGGTCCCAGAGCGGGCTGAGGCAGCAGGAGGTATCAGTGCTGTCCTGAGTGGGCACGCACCTGGCTGGGTGCAACAGTGCCCAGGCCTGGCCTCAACTTTGCTCTGAGGCTCTAGTGTGCTCCAGGAGCAGGGAGAGGCCAGGCAGCAGCAGCAGGCACTGCCAAGCCTTCAGAGGCAGTGGGTGGCCTTCCTGCCCTGGAGAATGCACAGATGCCTGGGTCCCCAGCCAGGGCTGGGCGGCTGCAGCTGTGTCCAGGAGGGCGGGGCTCCTGCCTGCTCCTAGGCCCCAAGAGCACAGGGAGGCCCAGTCCACCCCTGCAACTTGGGCAACTGTGACTTGGGCAGCTGCGACTTGGGCAGCTGCAGCTGTGCCTGGGAGAGAGGGGCTCTTGCCTGCTCCCGGCCTCCAAGAGCACAGGGAGGCTGTGGTCTGCAGCGGCAGCTTGGGCAGTTGCAGCTGCGCCTGAGAGGGTGAGGCTCCTGGCCATTCGCAGCTCCCAAAGGCTCCTTGGAGCACACAGCCTCCACTGCACCTCCCCCACTGTAGTGGGCGTCATGGCAATGGCTACTCCAGACACGTTGCAGCTGCCATCAATAGAATTCACTATTAATATCAATATTAGGAACTTTGCATTATTGTGTTACATTAGACATCACTCTTTTCTTTCTGGTAATAAAAATCTTCTTTGATAAAGATGGTGTATCTAAGAAGACATTGGAGCCTACATGTAGGGAGTTCAATTAATGCTGACAAATGAACAGTTGACTTTTACCACAATGAGGCAGCAAATTCCTAAATGGTTAGACAACAACATTTTGTAGCAAAAGAATATGGTGGGCAATTTTATTGATTATGATTAAACGCTCCTTATCTTTTTTCTACCATAATTAACAGTATACGAATTTACAAATATTTCACAAAATTAAAATGACTTCATTACAGAATTATTGATCAAACTAAAAGATTCCTCAGAAGAAAGATTGTTGACATTCTATTTGCAATTGCTCTCACCCTCCATAAGAAGTGGTGATATAGTTAGACAGTAGGGCCACAAGAGAGATTGATGGCAGGAGAGGTTCATTTTTAAATATCAGAGCCTTTTTTTTTCTCTTTTTAAGCTCTACATTTAATTCATTCTTGCTGTTCTATGGCTGAGAAATAAGATATTTCTGTCTCTTGTTTTCCAAAATGCACCTTTCTTCTGACCTTTACTTCTTCAATTCCTTCCCCTCCATATGCTTTTGAGTCTGAGTCTAACCAAACCATTTAGTGAAAAAGTGAAGAACGTCAGCCAACTTAATGGGTTAATTTTGGAGGAAGAAGGTGTGTGCATACTTTTTCAGGGGCCATTCAAAAAAATTTGTGGGGAAAAAAAATCAGACTGGAAGACAGGGTCTGGATCATGAAATTGTATGAAATGGTAAAGAAATTCAGTTTTTTCCTTTGGCAAATGGAGGACAGTTAATGAATTTTGAGCAGGGGAAAGATTAAATTTACATCTAGGAAAATTAAAGCTATAATCATAATAGTCCATTTGCTCTAAGTTTTGGTATCTAAAGCATTAGATTTTTGTGACCTTAAATACTATTTTTAGTGGACTCCTTACTCTATAAATGACTCTGATATAGTCCGACTGATATTTCCTTCATCTTACAACACACCCTTGGAAGTTTGTTGTAAATATTTTATTTCATTTAATACATATTGAAGGGGGATTGAATGACTTTAAGTGTCTTCCTAAAACACCAAGAGTTTACTCTCAGGTGAAGATGACAGGACTACTTCACTGGAAAACATTTCAATTTCCTCCCATCAATTCAACTCCTATTTTTAACTAGAACTACATTTTCAATATATTGCTAGCCATTTCCATATGCATGTGCCTCTCATACTGCTGTCTGAGTATGATGAAAATCAGCTCATTTCTCTGTCTTTTAGCTTCACCATTTATTAGCTCCTGCTGCATTCCACTTCCAATCAAGCATAGAGTCCTTGACAATCTACTTCCAAATGAATCTCAAATATTTGCCCTTTTTTCCATATTGATCATTATTATACTGGTTCAGATCCTCATCATTTTAATTCTGAAGTGTTGAAATAGCCCCTTGACTCTGACTATCTAATTTCTCATCTCTCCAATGCACTCATCACACTGCTGTCATCATTATCTTTCTGAAGTACAGCTTTGGTCATGTCACTCCCCCGAAGAGCCTTCTGTTGTCCCACAGTATCAAGTTGAAACTTGTTAGCGTGCAAAGTCAGTCAAAATCTGTCCACATTCTTTCTTCAGCAAGGTCTCAGAAAGCGAACTCTCTGATCCATGTACAAATAAATTTGCTGATGAGAGTAAAATTAAAAACAAAATCTGAATGGAAGAGGAAAGATTAAAACTGCCCTGCGGTATCCTGTTTTTTTGATTCTTGGGCAGAAAGAAGGGATTGGTTATTTGAGGGTTGTTGCAGACTGTTGCCAGACAAAGAGGTCCTTTAGTACACCAAGTTTAAGGATCCAGGGAGCGGTTCTGTCTGATACCTTAAAAATTCAGTGGAGCAGACACCCCCCCCAAAAAATCAAAAAAACTGCTGGAAATGGGTGACATCTGAAAGGGACCTAAGTTGGGAGGCAACAATGATATTTATGCAAATTAGAAAAGGGAGATGGAGACAACCCTCCAGTGGGAATTGTAGGAAAAAAATAACTCTTGTGGAGACACACCTAAAAATTCTCTACCAAAAAAGTATTTTCACAAATTGAAAATAACTAAATTAACTGGTTTGTTACATTCCAGAATTTAGGTCTGGCACTGGCACGAATTCAGAGAAATGCCCCAACATCCTACTGTCTGTGTGTCCTAACATGCTCTCCATCACCCCAAAGACTGCGTAACCCCTGTTGAACCACACTGGAGTGCTTGTAGTGGCCTACATGCACCTCAGGACTCTCACACAATGAATTTCTTTACCATGAAATTCCAATACTTTCAAAATCCAAAAAGCCCGTGTTGAGAACCAATTAAGCCAATTTCTGTGTTCTTTTTCATAGAGAACAGTAGCCATTTGTAAGTCTGAGTTAAAAGAGGGTCAGATACCCCTTACTACATTCAATCCTTAATGAACACAAATCTCAAACCAAATTTCATCTCTCATATACACTTAAAAAACACATTTATTAGTAACGAGTCATAAAACAGTTATAAGACCTGTTCTCTAGGTTCAGTGCTTCAAAGACCATGTTGAAAAACTTTTCATTGAAGGCAAATGCAGAAATATCCCAGCAGCAGCCTTCTGTTCTGCTTAGAGTAGCATTAGGCTTCCAGAAATCCAGATAACTATTAAGGAGCAAGCTCTGGGCACCATAGTATTCTTGTCCTTGGCTCACCTAGGGGTGAATGTAGAATGCATTTAGCTGTCCATGTAACCTCCCCTGTGAGATCACACTTCTCATATCCTTATGCCAATAAACTTCTAATTTCTCCAATGCAAAATCCTTTTCTGATTTTCACTATTTTACTCAGCAAAATGTGTAATATTATTTAAGGTCGGTATAACAAAACAGTAGCAGTAGTTGTCTCTGTGTGCCCTTTATGACACAATGCTAGCTGGCACAATGCTGGCTGACCACCCCTGGAGTGTGGGTTTTTGCTTAGAACAGCTGATTGCCCCTTACTTATATTACTCCATGCAGATGTACTTTAAAGTTAGTTACAGAAATCAAAACAATCTGGGTCATATCATGGTGCAGAAAAAGCATATCTTTGGGGTGATCCTCAGTGCCTAGAAACCTGGGAAAAAAATTACTCAATTGGAGAAAACGCTATGAATTTCCTGACCCCCAAAAGTCTTTGGAAATCAGGCAGATTGGGATTAAATCTTAGCTTCATCACTTAGTTCTGAAATGACCTTGAAATAACTAGTTAATTTTACTGATCCTCTCTTTCTTCATCTATACATTAGGCTAAAGATTTAGGCATGTGTGTATTCTATAAACACAACATCCAGTGGTGTGCTGGAGCTGACTTGAACCTGCTTACAAGCATCCAGTGGCAAATTTTCAGAAATTTTACAGGATAGTTATTAACACAGCTATTGGGAAAAATCATATTATATATATTTGTAATTAAATAAATTATATAAAAAGAGACAAGACAAACTCAAAGTTTGTCACTTCCCAAATACTCTATATCTTACTGTTTTTTCAAGTTCTTATGTTACTTATGTTCATAGTATAACATTGTACAGCTGTATATCTCTTCCCAACTTCATTGACATCAGACAACTTGGTAGCTTGGAATCAGGCACAGTGGCAGTATTTATACCATGGAAATCACCAAGCACTCAAAAATCAGGGCTTGATTCATCATCTTGTGGATTGTTTCTAAACTAAAGAGAGGGATGAAGAAAATGTCAACAACGTGGAATAAACTTAAAACTATACAATATTTTTACTATGTTCTGAGTGCTTTACATATTTTATGTACATATATATGTACATGCATATATTATGTTCTGAGTGCTGTACATATATTATTCATCTAATTTTAATCACATCTCTGTGAGCTAGGTAATACATTATTATTTTTTAAGATGAGGAAACAGTACCAGTGTTTAAATATCTTGTCTAAGATCTCAAAAGTGGTAAGTGATAGAGCTTGAATTTGAACCCAAGCAGTATAGCCTGAAAATTAACTTCTGCAAAGAAGTATTGATTTGTAAGAGAGAGCATGTCTTTTGAGAGAAAATAAACTTTTTCTGTTTTAAAATATAAAGAGCCTGAAGAAATTAGAGCATGTAATCTATCCATAAACCATAATGTGGTTAGAATTCATGATAATGTAAGTTAGGTTCCCTCCCAACAGAAAATGACATTTTACTGACTGCAGGAGGAAAGAAGGACAAGAGAAAATCTCACCACTCTAGGGTTAGTTATTGTTGTGGTCCCATGATATTTCTCGAATAGATTTGAGGGGACTGGGTCCCAAATGCTCTTGGGAAGAGAGAAGATCCATGTCTCATCCTTAGCCTACAGCTTGGAGAGAAACAAACCTCCCAAAGAAGTCTCCACCAAAGTTTATTTCACAGCTCTGAGTAAAAATGGCAGCATGGCATGGGAGAGATCCATGAGACTCTGGGGTCTCCGTGGCCACAGAAGAGCAACTCAATAGTTTCCCAGAACTTAGAGAGATGTGAGGGGATTGAAAGGGTCCCTCAGTCACAATGAAGACATGCAACTGGCCTACTTGCTGCAGGTACTGAAACTGATGTTCAAAGACCAGACAGAAGGATTGATAAATCCACAGAAGCAAATTGATATGTAACACCTTCCATCTTCCATACTGATGTTCACAGTTTAATGATTTTTAATTTAGAGTTATGGAGTTAATTTCTAATTTCGCTGTGTTTATCTGGGGGAATGATTAAAATGTTATGCATCAGAGAGAATAGAGATTTAGAGAAGATATTAAATTGAATCATAGAAGCAGATACTAGGATTCTTGAAAAGTAGAGTTAGAAACTACAAAAATGCTCTCCTCAGACAAAGTATATATGTCTATTTAGGATCTAACAACTGAGAATATGAAAGAGAATATCTCAGTGAAAATGTATTCATTGAATATCTATGTATATATATGCACACATGCCTGCAGACCCACCCCATCTTTGAGTGTTTGATTTATTATTTACTTGTTTATTTTTTATAGAGCACCATACTTTACTGGGAAGTATCATTAACTTTTTTTTTTTTTTTTGAGACAGAGTTTCTCTCTTATTGCCCAGGCTGGAGTGAAGTGGCATGATCTTGGCTCACTGCAACCTCTGCCTTCCCATTTCGAGCGATTCTCCTGCCTCAGCCTCCCGAATAGCTGGGATTACAGGCACCTGCCAACACACCAGGCTAATTTGTTAACGTTTTGAAGCTGCCACTGTAGCTGAGAGTGCAGGTCTGGGGCCAGACTTCCTGGGTGTAAATACTGACTCTGATTCACACTACTTGTATGACCTCGAATGAATTGCTACACCTCTCTGACATGCAGTTTCCTTATCTCCAAATCCTCATAGCGTTGTTAGGAAAAGCAAATGTGCTAAGATGTCTACATAAATTCCAGAGTGTGTTTGCCGTGTTCTCAGAAGTGTTAGTGATGGTTATTATGTGTGGCCTTCATTTTACTGAACATCGTGCTCAACTTTCTTTCCTTGTCTTCATTTTGGTCACCCATGGTGTGCAGTTGTTGACAATAGGCATGACCTCTGTATTCTTTGGCCTCCTCTGGAGTCTGCAGTATCACAGTTGGAAGAGAAATTTGGAGTCTTCCTACAAGTAGTTCTTTAGAGCATAACAGTCTACAAGATCTCACTCTAGTCTCACTACTCTCCTGTCTATCTTGTTTATCAGGCTTTTCATGGAAAGTGATCTTTGAAAACAGTAGAAAAGCAATTATCTCATCAACAGTGATTCCCAGGAGAACACATTTTTAAAAACTGTTGTCAATAAAACAAAAATAAGTGTTGGAAAAAGAAAGTTACGGAATACCTTCAGTCATGAAAACTCATGTCTGCTGTGCAGTCCTTTAAATTGATGTTGTGGATGGTGCTGTGTTTTCCGTCTTTCATCACGTTCTCTGGTTTCTGCATCGCAGAGTCTGGTTTCTAATGAATGATTTTGCTGTTTATGCTTTGAAGTAATGAATCCATTTTCTGATCTTCCCATTTTGGAGGGTTTTATTGTTTTGTTTTGTTTTAAGAAATGGCTTTTGCCTTTTGTATAAGTCTTTGTGAATTTGTTAACGTTTAGTGAATATTCACTTTTACATTTAAAAAAATGAACTATCAGCACCTGGATAATTGCTTCTGTTTATCAACATGTCACTTCCTAATGCCTCTGGTCTTAAGAATGACATTCATAGAAAGGCCAGCAAAAAACATGTGCAATAAATGATGCTTTTAATAGAATAACCAACCATAGAGCTTATGTGCTTCACTAATACTGTTGGTTAAAGAAGGGCAATGAGTAGCTTGATTTTCTCACTCTGGGATTCTGTAGTTACTGAGTTATCAAAAGAACATGGATTAAAATTTAAAACTTAATTGAGGTCAAACTACAAAATAAAAAAGCAATCTAGATTTAAGTCCCCTGAAGATAACAAATAGAGATTTGGTTTCTGTTTCTTTATTTGATAAGGGTTCAGAATAGTTATGAAAGTTTTATTGCAAATTGTGGTCATGGAATTTACAAAACAATTACAAATCTGAAGGTACATGAAGTTAGGTTAGTGGTCTTTTACACTAACCTAACTTATTTATTATTATTATTAGGAAACCCTAAACTCTGATTTTTGCAGATAAATTCAATTCCAAGACTACATAATCTGAAATATTCTACAGAAGTAGATTTTGAGGTAAATTGGCATGAAGTATATTTAAAACAATTCAAAACATGGGATAATATTGCGCATTAATTTTTCTACTGTTAAAAGGAATTGCTTTGCTTTTTGTTCTTTGAAAGTTCAAAGTTATTCACAGTTAAGGAATAGAATAGAAGGCTGAAATAAAATTGAGATTATATATTTAGTATTACATGTCCTGATTTTTTGGTAACATTTGATTTCCTGTTGTTTCAGTGACTTATACTTTTCAAAAAAAATTTCCCAGAAAATAAGACACTACTCTCCTTACTTTTTATTTAGAAGTAAGTACTTCCTACTGAGGCTAATACTGAAAGAAATTCTGAAAACATAAGAAAATAGAGACATGAATTCTTGGCTAATGTGAGGTCTTTAAAAACATGGTAGAGTGTAATGAAGCCTTTTACCTTCTTGTCAAAATGTCAGTTTTGTATCTTTTTGAGAAAGAAAATTGGAAATCACATATTCACTTGGAATAATGCATCTTTTTTTGTGAGACTTATCTGATTTAAGGAAGACCTTGGGGCCCAAGTTTCTTCATGTATAAGATGAAGTTTATTAGATTATCCATCTAGCTCTGGTATTCTTAATTTTCCTAAGAATTTTAAGTGAAAAATAAGCCACTGTATTCTAAAAGAAAATATTTATCAAAGATGCTTCTAATAATTTTTCTTCCCCTAGTTCTACCAAAGTAATTGTAGAATGACTTCAAAGCAATGCTGTAATTGCTGCTACTGAGCTGGTTCTTACCTGATTAATTTCAGGCTATTGCATTCCTCACTGAAACTTCAGAATTCCATGGCCATCATCAAACAATTCCCTATAGTGCTAGCAGTGCACATTTGAAATTTGGGAAAACACTAGGGATTATAGCCCACCTGGAATAATCTAATAGTAGTTGCCGGGGTAAAAAGATAACATAAACAACTTCTTAAGTGTCTAATTTCCATGATGCCCTAAATGCACTGCCCCCTTAAATTGCCAAAGTTTACTTTATCCACAATGTCTGGTGCTTGATATCATTATTGCTCTTTACATATGTGTATTCATTTCAAGGCTACCTCCCTCTTGCTATTATAAAATTTCATTTCTTACCCTAACACCCATTCCTTCTGTCAGGTTTCCCTATCTCTCCAGTGCATCCAACAGCTTAAAGTTCAGTGGAGGAAATTATTCTCCATGAAGTTCTAATAGCTGTTTCAGCAACAGAAGACATTTATACAAGCATTTCAAATCGTGAAGATGGGAAGGCAGTGTGGTTGTATGCTCTCAGTTGTTGAGCCACGTGTATTTTTTCCAGCCAGTTTTATTCTGCTTTAAATTAGACATTTCAATGTGATTAGGCTTTCTTGGATAAAAGCTAGGGAAAACATCTCAGAAGACATGGAAATGATCTTCTTGGCTTCCTTTCTTCTATCTGAGGCTCAATATACTTACCCTACCTTAATGCTTTTTAATTAGTGGAGGTTAGAGAAAGACATGGGTGAGTTTATTGTTTTGGCTATTTAAATAAATTTTTTTGGTCACGACAATAATAAGATGTTGCTAACATTTAATGGAAAAGTTCTAGAGATTCTGCCTGTCTTGTAATGCAGAGTGTGACCCTAAAACAAATAAATGCTTTCACATTGTTTTTATTTTTGTGCTTGTCTTTGGAAAGCTCCACTGGACATTTGCATTGATGAAAACTCAGATTGTGGTTATCTGAGCCTAGAACCGTAGTCCACATACATACACATATGTAAGTACAAAGTATTTTTGAAAGAGGTAACATGTATTGAATATTCCAGGACTGCATGTACCACAGAAAGAGCAGGATAAATTAACTTTTCAAAAATGTTATCAGGAGTTATTTACTATTTAGGAAAGTCAGATGGCAATGCCATTGGTGGAACTGAATCGCCTATTTGACACATGCCCATACCAATCTGCATTTATAACTGTCACATTAACCTTTATTTTAAAATGTCAAAAAGAGTTGTAATATTTACTGAATACTTTCCTGCTTTTCTTAAATACGAACTATTCTCTATAAGTATGTAAATACATTCGACTGCTTCAATATAGTCTCCAGTATTGTGTCAAGCATTTGCAGACAGAGTTATAAATTATTTTATTATGAAAAACTTTTAAAAATTTCACTTGTAATAATATTAGAAAGTTTCACTGATTTGAAAATAAATTATATATGATTAAAATGTATTATTATGAATTTTATTTTAATATAGTAAAAGTTACAGTGACATTATAAAATTATTACTATAAAAAAGATGCTAGTTCTGATAATATCTTTAATTTTTGAACCTATATATACATTTTTATCCCAGAAGTAATAGAGTTAAATAACAATAATCCTCTAAATGAGAGTTTGCATTCTCAAGCATTTTTACGAAAAAGAAAGATATATAGATATATATGGAATCATTTGAGGTAAACTATTGGGTGAAATATGGTGTTAGAAACTAAATACATGCATAAAGGGCATAGAGAGTAACCCTCAGGAAATGTGTGTGTTTCCCTGAGATTTTCTGTTAGTAAGCTGAAAGATGATCTATAGCAGGGCCTCTACCTTCCTAGTTTCTTGCTATCAATATTTTTCCATGAAGTTGAATTATAGAGAGGGTGGGTGTAGTGCGCATTCTCCAGTTATTAATTTTGTATAAAAACATTGAATTGTTTATATTTTAGTCTCATTATTGTTAAATGTTGACCATATATCTCCAGAGTTACAAAAACAGGAGCTAACGTCATAAATCTTGTATTCTAGTCTCCAGTACTAGTCCAAACTTTATTTTTTTCATTTGTTTTTCTGAGACAAGGTCTCACTTTGTCTCCCAGGCTGGAATGTAGTGGCACAATCACAGCTCACTACAGTCTTGATCTCCACCACCACACCCAGCTAATTTTTAAACTTGATGTAGAGACGTAGTCTCACTGTGTTACTCAGGCTGGTCTCGAACTCCTGGGCTCAAGTGATCCTCCTTCCTCAGCCTCTCATGGAATTACAGGCGTGAGCCACCATGCCCCACCTTTTAGTCCTGACTTTCCAGCTTAATTATTAGCGGTGATCTTTGACAATTCATCCCTCTGTGTCCAACATTTTTAATATGTACGTACCTCCTTTTTCTTGCAGATAGGCGCAAATGACATAATAAATGCAAAAACACTTTTTAAACATAACATCTTATACAAACATGTCAAAGGCTTTCTTGATTTCAGAACGGGGTAGAATAAGTTGTACTTGTTTGTTTGTTTGGTAATAAATCTACTTGTTGGACTCCTCTTAGTATTTCTATTCTATCTTTCCTAAAAACGTCCTAGACATTGCCAAGCAGAAAGAACAATTCACCTTCAACTGAGATTTAAAGTAAAATAAAACTAAACTAAATAAAATTAAAAAGTAGTCAAGATCATCAGACATGAAGCTATGAAATTTAAAGGGAAAGAAAGATGTGGTCCAATAATTTTACAGGTAATCCTACTCTTATTTACATGTTAAGGCAACAGGAAAACAATCTTAAACCTGTTAGTCAAAATTTAATCTCCCAGACTCTTCTCTACTAAGCTCCAGTCACCCAAGGAAAAATCAGAAAGTGTTTTAAAAAGGTTGATGATGAGCACCCAAAGCAATTAAAATGATAGAGAAGTGTTCATAGATAAAAGTAATTAAAATTAGAATACAAAAGACATAAGATAAAAATTTCTTTAAAAAATTTGATTTTACAACAGATTGTGTCATACTCTAGCAATCTATTTGTGTCCTATAGAAACCAGAAGAAGAGTGGCTCTTCTTCTTTTTATCATAAGAATAATTTGAAAATACTTTAATGTAGTTTATTATAAGATTTAAATAAAATTATACCACCAAAATTTTCAATAATAACATTAAATAAAGTACAACCCAAAAGACTAAATAGAAAATAAACAACAAAGCATTGAATAGGATATAGGCTCAAAACTAGGTAGTATTATTGTAGCAAACACAAATTCTAAATTTCATCAGTAAAAGTTGAAAGGGTACAAATTACACACTTAAAATAAAATTATGTAAGGTAAGAGAAACAACAGGCAATGTTTATGTAATAAAACTTTGATCTGATATAAGAAACAAATGGATAGAAATAATACAGCTAAATTAAAATTAAGATCAAAATTATTAAGCAAGATAAATATCAATACATAATTGACAAAAATCAATTGATACAGAGGAAACTGAACATAAGTTTGAAGTTACCTCAGCTAAGCTTCCTCTTTCAAGGTCAGGGCCCTAATAAAGATACAGCAGGACTCTGAGTGTTGGGATGGGGTGTGCGAATAGATGCAGCTGAGATCCTTCAATTTCTAGATTCTTATGAACCATCTGGGCCTACACCAGCAGCCCATTCCCCATTATTAGGAGATGGTACCCCCCATCCTGTTCAAAGACCAGGCAGAAGCCTCATGTAAGGCAAGTGCCTTATAAGATAATACTTGCTCCACTCAGGCTCTGCCTCTTTCCTTGCACCTGACAACCAAGAAAAAAACAAAGAAACAGATTTCAACATAGCTGAACTGTGTAAGTGCAGGTCCTGCTAAGGGGAGGTAAGGACCATGCAACAAAGAAACTGCGGGATCTGGCTAATAGGTACCTACCCAGAATATGAGAGAGTATATATGGGATTGAATTCTCAGAGTGTTAAATGCAGGTGGATGAAACATAAAATTGGAGAACACAGAGGATACACTATAAATGATTTAATATGTGGCGAGTATTTGAGGAAAATGTGCTTTCATGTTGATGGGATGACTCTTGGCAACCTGGAAATAAATGCTGGCCATAAGTGACATTGAAATGTCAGAATTGCTATGCAGAGAGTGGAGTGGATGTACTATGTTAAGGCCAGAACATTTCCCAACCGACTCTGTTCCATGGGAGAGCCCAGAGGTACTCCATTTATCAAAGGGATAAAGAATACACAGGTGAGAGGGTGGCCTACTTACCACTACTTAGTCAATGCTATATGTTCTAAATTTTGTTATGGAATAGTTCCCCCAAGGGACCAGATTTCTGTTCGGATTACTACTGCTCTGAAATATATTATCAATGGCTTAAACAATCATTTTATTCTGCTTATAGAGAGAAGTACACTAGTTTCTACTCCATGATGTCTAAGGCCTCATATGGGAAGACCCAAAGGCTGGAAATATCTCAAAACCTGGGTACTGGAGATATATGAAAGCTTATTCACTTATATGTCTGGAGACAGAGCTAGGATGATATGAAGATCAGGATTTCTGGGCCTCTATGCATGAACTTTATATGTAGCTTAAATTCTTACAGTATGTCAGCTTCAGAGTAGTCAGTTTTCTTACATGGTAGTTCAGGCCTGCTAGAATAAGTGCTTCAGTGGTCAAGCTTGAAGCTGTATCACCTTTTTGACCTAGATTCAGAAGTCATACTTTGGAAATCATCACTTTTGCTGCATTCTTTTGGCTATTACTTAGTCATAGTCTGCTTAGAATCATAGCCCTCATCTCTCGATGGGCAGAGAGACAAGGTCAGATTTTAGAAAAGCATGTGGAACGACAGATACCATTGTCTTCATTTTTTAACAAATAATCCTACCACAGAGTGACATCAGCATCATTGGGAAGCTCAGTGATGTCTGTCCTTATCTAGGACAGGACTGATAGTAAGATGTGCTGTCACCGAACTGGCCTTTATTCCGGCAATGCTGATAATAGGATTTCAAAATAGGAAAGGCCAGGTGTTTACAACTATAGTGATCAGTAATGAGATTGGAGTGGCAGCCAAGAGGGCCCAACCTTTGGTGAGGTATAGAGATAGTATTCTGGACACATGAGTGAAGGGCAGTCAACAAGTTGACCACTTCATTTATATAATGAAAAGAAATCAAGGATGAATAAGCAGAAGACTGCAGGTAACCACCCCAGTAAAAAGTCATGATTCCTTCCCCAGTTTCTGTACCTGAGCCAACATTCAGAGCTGGAATCCATTAACTGAAGGAGAAGCTGGATTCCTATGAGCAGGGACCTTGCAACACTGCAGCAAGAGTATTCAGTAGTAATTCCCCAGTCTTCCCTAAAGTGATTTATAAACACTAACTTATGTAACTGTGCATTGCAAAGAGAGAAATACCCGAGCTTTACAGGATTACTGGAAAAAGGGTCTGACTTAATATTTGCATTCAGGGACACAAAGTCCCAACATGACCCTCCTGTTAGAATGAGGGCATGGGGCGGCCAGGGAACAAGTGGAATCCTGGCTCAGGTCCTGCTCACAGTGGAGCCACTGTGTTCACAGACAAACCATGTGGTCATTTTTACAATGTCTAATGGAATGCGCATATTTGGTAGTTGACAGAATTCTCAATTGTTATACCTGGGGTAATTGAAGTGGGAAAGCCTCTGAAACTGTCTCTTTCTCTCTAAGACAGTAAACCAATACTGCATCTTGGGAGGGAAAGGCAGAAGTAAATGCCACAGAATGCAGGGTGGTCTGTATTCTATTCTCATTTAATTAACCAGTCTGGCCTTTATAGAAACGTGATAGGTCATGATGGATGACAATGGAATTCCATTTACTTAATTAGATAGTACCCTCAATTGCAGCTATGCTGAATGTGGTATCTTTGCTAATGTAGATTAACAAAGATTCTGCCATATGACACGCTGTCACTGATCTGATGAATGCCTTCTTTTCCATCCCTATCAGAAAAAAGGATCACAAGTTGTTTGCATTTATTTGAGGCAAACAATATTATACATTTACTGTGTGGCCCAAGGTCTATGTTGTATTTCCTGGTATCTGCCCTAATACATTCAAAAGGGACCTAGACTGGACACTCTGTGGTATATCACATTGGTCCTGTCTGTTGAGGACATCATTTTAATATAGTAGATGGGTGCAAAATGTGTGTACTGTGTTAAGACACACGGATTTTTTAGGGTGGGAGGTAAACCCTATTCAGGGACCTGTCATGTCAGTGAAAAGTTTAGGGGGCATAGTGGCCTAGGGAAAGCCAGGACATCTCCTCCTAAGTAAAAGACAAATTCTAGCATCTATTACCTCCCACAAGAAAGGTAATTGCTTTTCTTTCAGAAAAGAAAAGCAATTCTTGGTAGATATTTTCAGGTTCTGGAGAAAGCATAGCCTGTACTTGGAAGTACTCGTCTAACCCATATACTAGGAGATATGAAAGGCTGCCAGCTTAGAGTGGGGCCTATAGCAGGAAAGAACTCAGCAACAGGCCCGGGCAGCAGCAAACTATATTTTATTCAGAAAGCAGAAACTGAAATGGTCCTTTTTAGAGCTCCAACCATGGAACGTCAAGTGACCAGTTTCATGTGGCCAGAGATGCCCACCTTGAGCAAAATTATTCTGACCCACCCAGTCATAAGTTCAGGCAGGCCAAGCAGTAATCCAGTTTAAGAAGGAAGTGAAGCCGGGTGCAGTGGCTCATGCCTGTAATCCCAGCACTTTGGGAGGCCGAGGCAGGCAGATCACCTGAGGTCAGGAGTTCCAGACCAGCCTGACCAACATGGAGAAACCCCATCTCTACTAAAAATGCAGAATTAGCTGGGTACGGTGGCGCATGCCTGTAATCCCAACTACTCGGGAGGCTGAGGCAGGAGAATCGCTTGAAACCAGGAGGCAGAGGTTGCAGTGAGCCAAGATAGCACCATTGCACTCCAGCCTGGATTTCACAAGTCCTAGGCACAAGCAGGATCAGATGGCCCAAGCAATCTACTCAGAAGGTGGTGCAAACCCTCCTTACTATCTCATCAACCACCTCTTGCCTCTGGCTTCAAGTAGCGGCTGAGGTCATTTTGACCACCTGATAGGGAGGAAAAAATCCAGCTTGCTTCATGAATTGGTTTTCTGAGTATATCAGTGAGAGCTGAAGATGAGCTGCTGCTCATTACAATCCCATTCAGGGCTGGTCCTCACTAAAAGTGGTGAGGGGAAATTTTCCCACTGCTCAGAGTTCTGGGTGGTATACTTAGTCATCTACTTAGTATAAACAGAAAGACAAAACAGAAAAGAATACATAGGGGCTCATGGATGTTAACACAGATCAAACAGAGGTCTGGAAAAGAAAAATGGGAAGATATGGGTTCAAGAAGTCTAGGGAAAAGGCATGAGAATGGATCTACAGGGATAGGTATGCAGGAAGAATTTCTTGTCCTAACAATGTACTTTAATTGGCATCATATGTAAACACCCACTAGAAAGCCCCTGTCACTGAAGAGACATTAAACGAGTAAGTAAACAGTCACTTGAACCCAGCTAGCTTCTTCCATTGGCTACCTCAGTGCTGATGTACTGAATATTTGGAGTCATACGGAAGTGGAGATGGAGTCTATTAATGGGCCTGATAGCATGAACTCCCACTCACCAAGTATGACCTAGCTGTTGCCCCTGCTGAATGTCCAGTTTGCAGCAATAGAGATCAGCACTGAGCTCCTATACGGTATTAGCTAAGACCAACCACCCACTTTGTGCAAAGTGACTTATTGGACACTTCCACCCTGACAGGGAAGCAAATCATTTTGCTTGGGATTGACCCTATGAGTCTGTCTTTTTGCACACAGGGCCTTGGCCAGCACAAATATTAGAGGGCTTGTAGATTCTCTGATCCACCAACATAAGATCCCAAATAAGTCTGCATTTTACCAAGTGGATTAGTTTGCTAGGTCTGCCATAACAAAATACCACAGACTAGGTGGTTTAAACAACATAAATCTGTTGTCTCATGATTCTGTGGCTTGGAAGTCCAAGAGCAAGGTGTTAGCAGGTTTCGTTTCTTCTGAGCCTCTCTCCTTTGCTTGCAAATGGCCACTTTCTTGCAGTGTCCTCACGTGGTCTTTTGTCTGTGCATGCATGCCCCTTTGTCTATTTGAGGGTCTCAGTTTTCTCTTCTTATAAGGACACCAGTCAGACTGAATCAGAGGCCACCCTAATGTTCTTATTTAACTTAAACACCTCTTCGAAGGCCGATCTGCATTGACAGTCACACTCTGAGGTCAAGGGATTAGGGCTTCAATATATGGATGTTGTCGGGGAGGGACAAGGGAGTGAAATTCAGCCTGTGACACCAAGGAATCGACTCTAGAGTGAAGAAAGAATGGCAGTGGGCACATGAGCCTAGCACATACTCTGCCATCTATAATCTACTGGCCCAACAGATAAACGGAAGGGTCTATCGAAGATGAGCCTAAGTCACCAGTTTGAAGGTGACAGCCTGAGAGGATTGACATTATATGATTCTATGACCTGAGAAGGTAAAATGCATGGGTCCAGGAAAAAAAAGTGGAAGTACTAATAGTACCAATAATTTTAGTAACCTGTTCTGTACTTTCTGTCTTCCAGCCTGAGGCTCTATGGGTGTAGAGATCCTCATTCCCCAAAAATACTTCTGACAGGGGGCATGGTAAGAGTCCCATTAAAGTATAAGCAAAATATATTGGCTGAGCAATTCAGGCCCTTCATGCCAAGCTATCAGGAGGTAAGGAAATGAATTACTGTATTGGCAGTGGTAATTGAACTTGACTTCATCTGGAGAAAACGGGCTGCTGTAATATGATTGGGTATGGAATAATATGTGTGGTGTCAGATGATCCCCTGGGACATCTTTTGGTGTTTCATGCCCACTTTGATGGCAAGTGGACAATAGAACAGTTGTGGCCTGAGAAAGGGCTAAGATTCTTAGGGAATGAAGATCTGGGCCATTCTTCCAGTCAAGACTCCCCAAATTGCCATCCAAGCATGAAGGAGATTCAGAATGTGTGGGACAATAGAATACAATGAGTAAAAGTTATGACCTTGACACCAACTTCAGTATCTGGCTATAGCTTTTTCTACTGACCCTTTTCTTACAAGTTCCCTGGGAAAATCTTTCCAGATGGGCCGTACTTACCCGAATTTGCTCTAAGAAGCAACTATCTCTATCTCCTTCAGTTCTGCTCTGATCTTAGTTATTTCTTGCCTTCTGCTAGCTTTTGAATGTGTTTGCTGTTGCTTCTCTAATTCTTTTAACTGTGAGTTAGGGTGTCAATTTTAGATCTTTCCTGCTTTCTCTTGTGGGCATTTAGTGCTATAAGTTTCCCTCTACACACTGCTTTAAATGTGTCCCAGAGATTCTGGTATGTTGTATCTTTGTTCTCATTGGTTTCAAAGAACATCTTTATTTCTGTCTTCATTTCGTTATGTACCCAGTAGTCATTCAGGAACAGGTTGTTCAGTTTCCATGTAGTTGAGCGGTTTTGAGTGAGTTTCTTAATCCTGAGTTCTAGTTTGATGGCACTGTGGTCTGAGAGACAGTTTGTTATAATTTCTGTTCTTTTACATTTGCTGAGGAGTGCTTTACTTCCAACTATGTGATCAATTTTGGAATAAGTGCGGTGTGGTGCTGAGAAGAATGTATATTCTATTGATTTGGGGTGGAGAGTTCTGTAGATGTCTATTAGGTCCGCTTGGTGCAGAGCTGAGTTCAATTCCTGGATATCCTTGGTAACTTTCTGTCGCGTTGATCTGTCTAATGTTGACAGTGGGTGTAAAGCCTGGCCCCCTTACCTCAGTGGGATGTCGGAAGGACCATTAAAGATCTAGAGCTCCTGGTGGAATTGTCAGAGGTCTTGGTTAACACTGCAGGATAACTCAGTCTTTCCCTCTGCCCAATCCTGACTTTTTAATGGGTATTTCCCTGAGACCATTCCCCAATAAACTTTCTGCGTGACCCTCTTCATCTCAGAGTCTGTTTCCATGGAGCTCAATCTATGACAGATGCACACTACGTTCAGATAGTCTACTAACAGTCAGACAAAATAAATTGGGAAATGTTTTCAGTAATAAATTGAGAACTACATTCTTTGAATAGTGGAAAGAGAATCCTTTAACCCTTTACCTATTCTTGAACAAGTCTGTGGATGATTTGAACAGGCTATAATTTTGTGTTGCATTACGTTAAAATGAATTAGTGTCATTTAAAAAATAAATTCTACACTAGTAATTTCAAAGACAACTTTCTCTACTTTCTAAATTCTTCCCTCCCCTAGATATTGTTGATACTATATTATTTAGCATGTAAAATCATACCCTATTATTGTTGCTACTTAAATCATTCTCCCCAGTCTCATTACCATGAGGATAGAGATATTATTTTATGCTTCTCTTATGAATCCTGCAGATTCATAAGAGACGTACTTGGCACATCATTGATTGCTTTAATTGATGGATTAACCAAATTTACATAAAATTAAAGCATGAATTTCCTTCCTTCTTTTAGATATTTTTCTTTCTTATTCAACCCCAACTTTAAAATTTTTTGAGTCAAAAATTCACATTAACTTAACTTCTCCAAAATGCATAGCATAATTCCTACACTGTTTTAACAACCCCCTACACAAAAGCAAAGTATCATTATCAAACACATATCTGTGGCTTAAATTTCTGACTCAGAGTTTTAGTAAATTCTTTTGGGTAATATCATTGTGTCACTAAGCAATGTAGTGCTGTAATGTTAATTATGTGCCATAAACGTGCTTTTGCATGGGGATCCTGAAACAGTGTTTGAGGTCCATATCCTTTCTGCTACTCACATAACATCTACAGTTCCTGTTTTGTCTGCCTGAATCTATTTAATGTCTTACTGCTCTTTTTAAACATTTTATGGTGAAAGGGAAGCCCTAGTCTTAAATTCTGAGTATGCCCAACTCAAATTGAAATAAAAGGCAGCCTTCTACATTGGCCAATATTTTCTACGTCTCAAAGCACCAAGATGGTTGACATCCAATTCTTAAAACACTATAAATCAAAATATTACTGAAAAATGGAAGTTATGCTTATTTTCTAAAGAAAAAAATAGTAAAACCAAAATACACATTTCTTCCTCATACCCTTTATACACACATACATGCACCCCCACCACGCACACATACCCAGGTGTACCATCTTAGTCAACAGTGTACACAATCGTTGTGGCTTCCAAACTTTAATATCTTCAGAATCACCTGAGGGAGCTTAGAAAATAAATTCCTCAGGTCCTGGATATTCTGGTTTGGTAAGATTGGTGTGAAAATTGGGCATATGGATTTTTTTTTTCCCCAAACTGGGTGATTCTGAGTTACACCAAGTTTGGTCCCAATTGAAATAAAAAAAAAATAACAAACTAGCAGTTAATATTTCACACACAAATTATATGTGAAGAGTATTTATTTATTTATCTACATTTGAGATGAAATCTCATTCTGTCACCCAAGTTGGAGTACAGTGGTATGATCTCGGCTCTCTGTAACCCCCTCCTCTTGGGTACAAGCTATTCTCCTGCCTCAACCTCCCAAGTAGCTGGGATTACAGGTGCCCCCCACCATGCCTGGCTAATTTGGGTATTTTTAGTAGAGATGAGTTTTCACCATGTTGGCCAGGCTGGTCTTGAACTCCTGACCTCAGGTGATCCACTGCCTTGGCTTCCCACAGTACTGGGATTACAAGTGTGAGCCACCGCACCTGGCCAAATTATACATGAAGAATTTAATGTCTACTTCTGATAATGTAAATTTTGTTATCTCTCTATATATAGTTTTAAAAATTTACTTTGGTAATAAAGCCGAGGCTCTGAGATGATCCATATTAGAATATTGTTTATTTTTGTCAGAATGCAATGTCCTTGTGGATAATTTCGTATAACATTTGGGATTTCCCAGGCTGTGTTTGATAAGAGTTTTTTACAATAGTGAAAAGTTCAGCAATATTTTGCTTCTGTATTATTCAAGTTTCTCCAGAGAAATAGAACACACACACACACACACACACCCCATATCTCAACAGATTGAATGCAGAAACATAAGATAATTCAGATGCCTTTTATTAATCCAGATACTAAAGAGATTTTTCAAAAATATAAAACAATTCCATTCAGGATTTTTTTTGTGTAAAGAATAATTTTTTAATAAATGTTTGTGTTTAACAGGTAATAAACTTATCAATATTTTAAAATTATCTAATAAATATTGTATTGATTTCTTACATTTAATTTTATAATAAATGTTCTTCAGAGATTTTAGTAAATGTTAAGAGCATAAATGGGCTGAGACACACAGATTATAA
Source organism: Homo sapiens (assembly GCF_000001405.40). NCBI lineage: Eukaryota > Metazoa > Chordata > Mammalia > Primates > Hominidae > Homo > Homo sapiens. The sequence goes on along the minus strand of NC_000004.12, from coordinate 156,703,921 downwards.
ATCCACTGAGCCAGGTCATCCTGTCTAAGGATAAAGTCTAAAGTCTATAAATCTTGGTGGATTTTTATGCACTGTTCTCAAAACAGTGAGTGTGTATATTTTGTATAGCTTTAATTTCACCAGTGAAAACACATTTTAACACTAATGTGGTCCTTTACTGTAGTCACAAATGAAAAACCTTTGTGACATTTATTGTGATTAGAAAAGCCTGATGTGTTTGTATATCCTATTGCTCTTTGGCTACAAACAATGACAGGGATGTCCAATCTTTTTGCTTCCCTAGGCCACATTAGAAGAATAAGAATTGTCTTGGGCCACACGTAAAATACACTAACACTAACCACAGCTGATGAGTTAAAAAATCACAAAAAACTCATAATATTTTAAGAAAGTTTATGAATTGGTGTTGGGCTGCATTCAAAGCCGTCCTGGGCTGCATGTGCCCCTGAATTAATAGGTCAGAGGATCAAAATAGCAGAAATATAGGATGATCAAGTCTAAAGATCTAATGTACACATGGGGACTATAGGAAATAAAATTGTACTGTATTTGGGATTCATATGAAATGAATAGATTTCAGCTGCTTTTGCCCTGAAAACAAATGAAAAATGGATAACAATGTGAGATGATGGATGTGTTAATTTGAGTTACTATAGTAACCTTTTTACCATATATTTGTATTTCATGACATCATGTCATATATCTTAAATAAAATTTATTAAGAAAAAAGAATAAACAGAAAATAAAATTTACTTTCATTTTGCTCCTATCAAATCCTGGTATCTAAAAATGAATTCCTTTTCAGAAGTGTTCTTACTTTTTAATAGACGAGATTACTTAGGGGATTCCATTTTGTTTTTTAATATTATATTTAAGCATTACATGGAGGACATTTTCTGTGGGTTGTCTACAATGCAATTATCCTGTTTTTTCTTAGAAGATGAATGATAATTTTCCACTTGATCTTAGCCAAAAGGCCGAGAAGCGATTATGAATGACAATTTTTCATAGTCTGTTTACAAAGAAAAATTTGATAATTTCAACAAGTTGATAAGGACATTTTCTTTCTTAAATGTGTTACTATTCAGTAAATGTGAGTAGAATTCTTTAAAATAGAAAAAGTAATTTCAAGTGCTAAAGAATAATTATATCAGTGAAAGTATAAATATAAAACAGATTTAGGATTGAGAGAGAAAATAAGCATTTTCCCCTCTCTTTGTGGTGCAATTTTAATTACCTGTAGCCACAGAAATAAAGAAAGCTTGCCTTATAATTCATGTTTTGAATTGTCTATCTTATATAATTCTCCTGGAGTAAGTATATATCTAACTTGATTCCATTTTATTTTTCTCATAATACAGCTAAGAGCTTTCCTTATACCTTAATACATATGGCTTCTAAACACATGACCTGTTTGCGAAATTGGAAACAAATAACATATTAAAAATGCTACTGGTACAGTTGATGAGTGGTTTTTTCAAATATTTATTTCAAATAGAAAACTTAAGAGAATTCTACAAAGATTATTAACAATTTTTACCACAAAGAATACTTGGCATTGTAATATCTGAACTGCTCAGTGAAAATCAGTCCTGAGTTTGTTTTCAAATATAAGATACATAACTTCCTGCAGCAAAACTTTGGGGTCTTACTGGGCTGCATTGGGCTGTCCAATGACATAGGAAAATTAAAATGTACTCTGATTATATAAGGTACTTGAAGCAGAATGTAAAATTTTCTTGTAGGACTTGTTAAATTACCAAAATTCTAAACATGTTTCAAATGAAAGTGATATAAGTTGTAGGTGTTCATAAACATGATACAGGATTCAAGCTGCTGTCAGCTTGGAGCTGGGCTGCTATGCTTACGACTTTCTCCTGAAATAGTCCCCATGTGGACCATTCATAAACATGGGTGGATCCATTTTGGGAGTGATACTTCAGCTCTGTGCATGTGTGTATGTATATATATGTGTACATGCTTGGTACATTTAATTCATTTTGTCCATTTTGGTATTAACCCTCCATTTCTAGTGAACATTTTATCTATAGAGGCTTTTAAGCTTTCTACAATGTATTTTTTCTTGTACTTCTATTTAAATTTGATTTAAAAGCTGCTTAATGAACATGTAACAAATACACCACACACACACACAGACACACACACACAGTGTCTGAAAACCTAGAAGTGGTACAATTTTGAAATGGTGCAAACTCCTAAGCCTTTCAGGCAGAGATTAAGGTGAGTTAAGACATTAATGCTCCACCCACCAGGGTGATTGACAATACCCCTTGTATTGTCCTTTCTTACTTTCCAAACACTTAACAACTCTGTGAATTCCCAGTCTCCTTTATTGTTGCACTACTCTTATTTTCAACTAGATAAATAATGCTTAGGTCCTAACAAATGACTGTTATCCATATAACTTCTGGCTCTATCTCAATATTAAAACTTTGAATCAAGAAAAGGACTAGTAGTATTTAAGACAATTTAATTTTTTTTCCTGTTGTTGCCTGGTTCCAGGAAGTCTCTTCTGTTAGGGCATTTGAGAATATTGTGGAAGACAGCTGCTGAGCATTTATAGGATAAGCTGTGTAGAATTTTCTCTGGAAAGAATGAAACTGGTCATAATTGATTTAAAGTTTAAAAATGTATGTTAATTATATATTCTACATTTTTATAAATGTATATAAATAATATATCATAAGTTTAAAGTGGCATATGAATATATTTTAACTACGTAACCATTACTGTTAGTATTTTAGTAACTGCCATACTCAAATGTTGAGTAATATGAATCCATGTGCCTATTTTAAAACAATATACCACAATCAGGCTTACTGAGTTTCATTGACCATAGTTTTCTCCGAGGTTAAAACCATTAGCTGTGGGAGTTTTCATTTTACAGGTATTACTATTATAATTTTTACTGCCCTTACTTAAAGACTTAGAAGGAAATTATTGAAATTAATATGGTATGTGTTTCACCAAACACTATTACTGTTAGGCTTACCCAAGGCTTTTTAAAAACAAAGTAAGGCAAGGAAGGACACGCTATCTGGTTTATCTCTTCAGCCTCAACTAGCAATAAATACACGTGGAATTCTCTGAGATCATACAAAAAAGGAGTGATGTTTGTCTCATTCCAGTTGTTACAGATTTGCCTGGGTCTTGAACCATGAAATACTCTTAAATTTGAGACGATCCTAAACTATTTCTTGGTGCTTTTCACTATGTGTAGGATGAGGTTCAGTTGTAAAAATTGTGAATACAGCCACACGCCACGTAGCAACGTTTCAGTCAACTATTGGCCACGTATACGAAGGTGATCCCATAAGATTATAACGCTGTATTTTTACTGTACCTTTCTATGTTTAGATACACACACATTTATCGTTGTGTTACAACTGCCCACAGTAACATGCTGCATAGGTTTGTGGCCTCAGAGTAGTAGGCTGCACCCTACAATGGAGGTGCACAGTAGGCTACACCATCTAGATTTGTGTAAGTGTACCTTATGATGTTTGCACAAAGATAAAATCGGCTAAGGGCACATTTCTCACAAGATATCTTCTTCATCAAGCAACACATGACTGTAAACAGATCCTTTTGCCTCTGTTATTTTCCAGGTGAGAAATTTTTTTCACTCTGTTTACATTATCCTTGCAATAAATCCCTTTCTGTGTGAATTTTCTCAAGGTCATTTTTTTTTAATTTTATTTATTTTTTTCAGCTTTACTGAGATATAATTTACAAATAAAAATTGTACTTATATAAGGTATATAACTTGATATTTTGAGATATGTACACATTGTGAAATCATCACTGTAATCAAGTTAATTAACATATTCATTATCTCACATAGCTACCATTTTCTTTCTTTTTCTTTTTCTTTGGTTTTCTGGTGAAAACACTTACGATTTACTGTCTTAGCAAATTTCAAGTTCTGGACATCTGATGTATAGCATGGTGACTGTAATTAACAATACTGTAGAGTATAATTAAAATTTTTTTTTTTAAATCACCATTAACATTGCTAGTTTTCTTTAGGCAAAATTGACACTTTTCCCCAGCCCATAATTTAATTTTCAAATGTACTCTTTCTGATAGAATCTAAAATATTTAAAATAGTATGAGTTGGTGAAATATAATAAAATTTCTGACATTTTGTATTTTAATTGAGGACTTCCAAATTATTTAATTGGCAAAATAAGCAATAATTATATTTGCTTGCTTCTACAATGAGCTATTGCACAAACGACTGAATTCATCTAATGTGATACAGTTAAAACCATTTCCTAATTTCAGGGCTGATAGAGTACATAGCTTTTTTATTTACTTATTTATTTGTATTTATATATAATAGTTGTACATATATTTGGGGTACATGTAATATGCTGATGCCTATATACAATGTGCAATGATCAAATCAGGGTAAGTGGGATATTTGTCACATCAAACACTTATTTTTTTCCTGTGTTGGGAAAACTACAAATCTTCCTTTCTGGCTGTTTTGATATACATAACAAATTATTAACTATAATTTCCCTACTGTGCTATAGAATATTTAAACTTATTCCTTCTATCTAAATGTATTTTTGTACCCCTTAACCAACTTCTCTTCATCCCTCCCTCTCTGTTTCCCTTCCCAGCCTCTTGTAACCACCGTTCTACTCTCTAGCTCCACAAGATCCACTTTTTAAACTCCTACCTATGAGTGAGAACACGCAATATTTGTTTTTCCGTTCCTGGCTTAATTCATTTAACATAATGACCTCCAGTCCCATCCGTATTGTTGTAAATGACAGAATTTTATTCTTTTTATGGCTTAATAATATTCCATTGTGTATATATACCACATTTTTTTTATCTATTCATCCATTGATGAACACTTAGACTGATACCATATTTTGGCTATTGTGAATCATCCTGTAATGAACATGGGAATGCAAATATCTGTTCTCTATATTGACCTCTTTTCTTTAGAACATATATCCTAGAGTGAGATTGCTGCTGGATGATATGGTAGTTCTACTTTTAGTTTTTTGAGGAATCTCCCTACTGTTTTCTAGAATGGCTATACTAATTTACACTCTCACCGATGGGTTTTGTTTTAATTTTATTTTTATTAAAATTTTATTTTTATAAAATTGTATCTGTTTAAATCAAATTGTTTCTACTCTGTATTTTCCACTTCATTATTAAATTAATTTAAAGACACTTAAAATGAGAATTTTTCACTGACTTCAAAATCTTTGAAAATTAAGATGGTGAAATGTTCATCCACTTTTTTCTTATTTTATACAATTTTTTTAAGAGGTGAGGTTTTGTTCTGTCATCGAGGCTGGAGTGCAGTGGTGATATCATACCTCACTACAGCCTCAAACTCCTTGGATCAAGGGATCCTCCTGCCTCAACCTCCCAAGTAGCTGAGACTACAGGCATATCCCCCTATGACTGCCAATTTAAAAAGATTTTTGCGTAAGGATAGGGTCTTGCTATACTGCCCATTCTGGTCTTGAACTTCTGGCCTCAAGAAACCCTCCCACCTTGGTCTCCTAAAATTACTTTGTTTTTTCCTAATTTTATTTTATTTTTTTGAAAAGAAACCTACCTGATTAAAAATTTAAAATGATCCGGATTTTATACTTTGCAGTCTTTTTTTTTTGGAGTGGAAAACATGGTAAGCACTGGATCTTAACAAAAATTTAAAGACTGAATGCATAAGTCTTCTAGCCACACACTATTTCTTGGTTATTTATTCTAGCAAAATATTTTAAATTTTAAAACATTTGAATGCTTTTAAAGATAATCTTTACTTACTTTTACAAATATCTTTAAAGAAAGATATCTTAAAATTTCTACATTTTTAAATCAAACACACTTAGAATTTTACAAGCATGGAAGTATAAAGCAAAGGCATTTTAATCTTCCCATTCTGACACAATTATATCTCTGAACTTTAAAATTTTTAATTGAATAAAATAAAATACACTTTAGTAAGTTTTGTCCTGAAATCATTTTTAAGAAATTCTGTTAAAACAATGACTCTCTTTTACAAATATTTTACCTTCAGTGTTTGCTTACTACCATTGACTAGATGTGGGCTTTCTATAGGGACGTTCAAGGACTTTCCTCCTCGCAGACCCACAGGGCCCCCGTTTCTCTTTTCTGGAGAGTAGCCAGGTGTCACTTCATTTTCCTGTCCCCAAAACCCTCCCAAGCCTCCTAGTCCTCAGGAAATATCAAAGTTTTTTATTCCCTGTTTTCAATATATTCTTTGGACCAAATTTGCCATTTGAAATAGTAATTTTGTTGTTAATCACATTTATATGAAAAAAATGCTACAAGAATAGTTAATTTAAGAATATGTTTTAGAACAGCATAAGTTTATCCTACGAAGTCACGAGAATAGCTTGAGTGTCTAAAATACACATTTTTCAGCAGGCTGCAATTTCTGGATTATGAACAGGCAACCCCAGTGTGGGTAGACACTTTTTCCTTAATAGTCAAATACTTTTAACCCTGGAAAGATTGGGAATTAGGTATAGCAATACAGAAAGTAACACTCTGATATTTACATTTTTGTGTTAGGTTTAGAAATAATTTTTGTATTTTAGATATCATAAATGCTTGTGATGCACATTAGGATGTCATTTATCCACTTAAAACTTGCAATTTAATAATTCATTTAGGTTTTTTATTTAAGTTAAAAATAACCTTACAGGCCAGGAGTGGTGGTTGACCCCTGTAATCTCAGCACTTTGGCCGAGGTGGGAGGATCACCTGAGGTAAGGAGTTTGAGACCAGCCTGGCCAACATGGTGAAACCCTGCCTCAACTAAAAATACAAAAATTAGCCAGGTGTGGTGGTGTGCACCTGTAATCCCAGCTACTCGGGAGAATGAGGCAGGAGAATCACTTGGACCCAGAAGGTGGAGGTTGCAGTGAGCCGAGATCGCTCCATTACACTCCAGCCTGGGTGACACAGTGAGACTCCATATCAAATAATAATAATAATAATAATAATAATAATAATAATAATAATTTTACAACTAACATCAACACATTTAAGAGGGCTTAAAAATAACATATTTATAAATTTAATTAGTAGATTTATAAGACATTTTTAAGTGTGTGGAAATGTTTTGTTAATTATGACAGACAATTGCAATATTGTAATTGTAAGAAAATGGACTAGGTTGATTTCATAAATGCATGTTGAAATAACTTAGGGCATTTAATTGATCAAAGGTTAAAAATCCCTATAAAATGAAATAATATTTACAAGTTGGATTTAAAACTTCCAGAGGAACTTTATTCTTGAATTGTTTGTCATTTTAATGAGTTAAATATTAATTTAAAATACAAGCTAATTTTTGTATATTTTTTCTATATTAAAAAAGTGGCCTAAAGAACACCAAAAAATGCTCACATTGACAGTGTAAAGAGTAGTGTGACTATTTCAGCTAAGAACAAATGATAAACGTGATGAGAGCTGTGCTGAGGAAATGGTGCAGAATTATTAAAAGAAGAATTGTCAGTGGCCTGAAATGTGAATAATTTTATTCCTATTGAAATAACACTGAGTATTTATTCAATATTTAGAGGATTTGGAAAGGAACCAATTTTTATTCAAATAAATTATATGCATGAATAAAATCCCTTAGCACTCAATTTCCACTGGAGGAGGCAGAAGCAGTGTTTTAGATATATATTTTTTTAAGATATATATATTTTTGGTCAAAATATTTTCTATTTCTCTGTGTGTGCACTTTAGTTTTGTTTGTTTATTGGTTGGCTGGTACTTCTGTGCATGTCCATGCTATTTTTAGACAACTTTTTGGGAAGTATTTTAAAGGGTTTAAAGTTGAGACTGAACATTTAAATCACTGGTTTCTTGCACACTACAGCATATGTTATTGGCTTGCAGAGTTCTACCCTATTGCCCACTGCAGTTGTGTACACATATTGAGAAAACACTGTGTGAAGATCGGTTGGCAAATTAATTTCCTCTCCAGGTTGCTGGCTGCTTAGAGGAGCAGGACAAATTTACACTCCCAATCACATAAAAGATTACCTGTGGGAACATTATTTAACTCTCTGACCCTTTAAAAGGGCCCTGGAGAAAATTCATCAAGTTGTTAGACACAGAAGCTACAAGAGGGGAGTCAAAGAATTCTCGTAATTTTCCAACCTGGGTGATGTGGAGCGTGATGATGTGCCTAAATAGACACAGGAAATGCTGAGGAGTATGGACGATAATTAGTTCATTTGGAGTAAACTGAGTTTGAAATTACAACTAGCCTGTGGTTGGGAAATGCAGGACTGAAGCACAGGACACAAGCCAGCATAAAAGCGGAAGATGTAATAGTTATTTTTTTGGAGATAATATTGAAGCTGTAAGATTGTTAAGAAAGAGCTTACAAAGAAGAATAGATCTCTGGTAACAATGGTGCATGGTGGACTGCCGGCTGAAGAAAACCTCAGACTGAAGATGGGCACAGGGCCACTGGCATTAAACTTTGGCGAGATTCTGCTGATTGAAGTAGTGGCTCATACAATGTGTGTCTGTGTGTGTGCGCGCGCACAAGCGCGCATGTGCAGGTTTAGTATGAATGCATATTTGCATATTTAGTAATGGGTTATTACACATACAAATCTAGATTTCCACATGGCCCTGAAGAATTCTCTGTATGGCATCAATTTGTTAGAGCTGAGTGGGATGGGACATGCATTTTCCTGCTTGACCTCAGTTCACGGTACTCAGATAATCTATGTTTTACAGTTACACTGCACTGCTTCCTGCCTGTCTCTGTTCACCTTTATGTTTTTGAGTTTGAAATCTATGGCCCCTTGAATCAAACAGAGAAAACGTTCAGGATGAATAGTGGTGCTAAATTTGAAGCTGAACTGTTTATAGTAGATTTATTTTGGGGGGTAAGCACTTACTTTACTTTGTATGTGTTGTGGGTTGAATTGCATCTCCCCGAATTGACTCACTGAATTGTAGCCCCCAGTACCTAAGAATGTGATGTTATTTGGAAACAGGGTAATTACAGGTGTAGTCAGTAAAAATGAGGCTATAATACAGGAGGGTGGGCCCCAATCCAATATGACTGCGCCCTTATTATAAAGGGAAATTTGGACACTGATATGCATAGAGGAAGAATGCTATGTGAAGATGAAGGCAGGAATTTACAAGCCAAGGAAAACCAAAGATTGCCATCAAATCACCCGAAGCCAGGAGACAGGTACAGAGCAGATTGTCCCTCACAGCCCTCAAGAGGAAACAATCCTGCTGACACATCAATCTTGGATTTGTAGCCACCAGAATGTTGAGACAATAAATTTCTGCTCTTCACGGTACCAAGTTCCTGACAGTTTATTAAGGTAGTCCTGGCAAACTCATGTAGATGAAAAGCATATTCTTCCTGAAAGGCAACTTTTGACTCTAAAGAGCACAGGCAACACTTTTCCCCCTCCCAGTGACTGTGAATTATCAAACTTGAAAAAGACAGCATGCCTAGGAATAACATTTGGCACATTTAGAAAAAGATATCCATTTAGTGGACTGTGTGAACAAATCTCTGAGCTCAGAAAGAGAAGCCTCGGTTTGAATCCTGCTCCTCAGGATTACTGTAAATTTGGAGGCTTGTTACTTGATTTCTTTTAGCCTAGGATCGTTTCTAAATATGAGTCCCAGTTGTATCTATTTCCATAGCAGTGCTTTAAGGAATAAGTGAGAAAAAACAGGTAAAAGGACTAGCATAGTGCAAACACAGGATAAAGACTCAATGAACTGTAGCTAATATTGTTATCAGCTATTATCAATCTCTCTTACTGTTTTAAGAATCACACATCAGAACGTTAAAGTTACACATTATACATTAAACCCTTAGGACTGTAACAGTTTTGACTTTGCTTTTTTTGGGGTCACCATTGACTTCTTACAACATACTTCTAAAAAAGCTGTGGCTTGCTGGTGTACAACTATGAGTATAAAGAAAAGCATAGACTAAGCCAACTTAATTGGAGTTGAATATTCTGGAAAATTTAATGTACCTTTAAATGGTGTTTGCTTTAAAAGTAGTGTGGAGGTCAAGTCCACGGAGTGAATTGTACATAGTGGCTGCTAATAACACTTTACAGGTGTCTTATCACCTTCTACATCATAACTGGTTTATGAGTTTATTTCTATCCCTGAAATGTGAACTCCTTGAAGGCAGAGATCTTGTTTGTCTTTTTTTCTCTCTAGCCTCAACACACAGTGGCATAACTAATGTGTTCTGAGTAAGTTGAGAGCAACCCTCAGTAAACAAAGAAAAGAGGTAATACTACTTAAAAGATGGTGTTATTTTGTACTTCCCCCAGTCTAGTGAAATTAACACTATACTTCATAAAGTGATGGTTAGGGTAAAGTTATAGAAAATATTTTCTTTAACTCTGATTTTGCTTCTCACTTTAACAAAATGATCTATACTTTCTTAGGATTAAAGAACATTTTTGAATAATATACGTTAATGGGTACATTTATCTGGGTTATTTTCCAGAACTTTTCTATAATAGCTACAGTTATAATTTTTGAAATGCTTGGCTACACTTATGTTTAGTTAAATGTTATTCAGGCTCTAAAGCTTGTGGTAGACATGCATGTATTGAAGTTAAAAATTAGCATTTAACATACAATTTTATTCTCTCTCATACACTTTATAAATCCCATTTTTCTAATACACTTTAAAGGCAAGTGGAGCTGCAGAGAGATATGTGCAAAACAAAAAATATGGGTTAATAAGCTGAAAATAAGGTATCTGAAACAAAATGTTGTTTCCTGCTTAGGTCAGACTAAATTCACTGTTATTTTTTCACATGTTATTCTTAAAAGTACAAACCAGTAATCCTAAGAACCTAGCTGGCATATAAAATCAAGAACCAAAATATATATATTTTAGCCCAAAGTTCACAGGAAAATGTTCATTTTATGATATAATAAATGTAAAAATGTGTACATATATACTATGGTAAAATAATTCAGGACTTTATTTTTAATTTGTAAAAGTATTTTTAGAATTGTATGAATAAGGAACAACCAGTGTTTTGTTTTAAACTGTATCAGCTTTCATCATTGAAAACTATGTTTTATATTCATAATGATGAAAATTTATAGCTATTTGTGTTTTTGATATCTTATGGAGAATGAAGTGACCTCAATTCAGTCCTAAAGAACAGCTGGCAACATTACAAAAATACCTAGTCCACATAGCATTTTATTTATAAGCAGAGAAATGAATAAGTGTAAAAAGCCATCTTTACTTTTATCACCACAGAGTTTCTGGTTGACATGGGAACAGGTGGTGTGGGGGGGTTACTATTTAAGGTTTCAGTATCAGTTTAAGACAATGTAAAAGGCGTGTGTGTGTGTGCGCGCGTGTGTGTGCATGCATATTTGTGAGAGAGAGACAGAGAAAGAGAGAGAGAATAAATAGATTTTCTTGTTATGAATAGAAATCAATTTTGATCAGAAAATTCTTTAAACCAAAATTTTCTCAAGCATCAGTTGGGCAAGGCAATCTTCTTTCAGCCCCATGCGTCCTTGTACATACTTGCTGGGTATGCCAAAAATGCAAGACCTTGACCTGTCTTCTTAACCTGAAGCATTTCTTAGGATTGCATTTGTCCTTCAGGCTTGCTTTGTGCTTACTCAAAAAGCAGTAGATTTCCCAAGCTCCCATTTGTCAGTTGTGATGATGCAAACCCACTGCATGCTTGGTATCCTCCTGGCCTGTTGTGCCTCCCTTGTGGAACCTGGTGGGTAGGGGAATCAGTGCAGACTTGATGCTCATGCTGCTTGCTGTGCTACTTGCTTGTCTCTGACCCAGGAGACTTGTTTCTTCTGCCAGTATCCATGAAACATTGACAAGTTTACTAGGGGAAAATCCCAGACCCAATAGTGTCTCAGAAATGAAATTGGAAAATGTACATAGTAAAAAGGGCACTAATGAGAGGGGCATAGAAGAGAATTTTGTGTTAAGAATGTCTTTCTTTTTAAATTTTTTGAGACATGATCTTGCTCTGCCCCCCAGGCTGGAGTGCAGTAGTGCAATCACGGCTCGCTGCAACCTTGATTTCCTGGGCTCAAGGGATCCTCCTGCCTCAGCCTTCCAAGTACCTAGGACTACAGGTGCATGTCACTGTGCCCAGCTAATTTTTTGTATTTTCTGTAGAGAAGGGATTTCACCATGCTGATCTTGAACTCCTGAGCTCAAAAGATCCGCCAGCCACAGCTTCCCGAAGTGGAGGGATTACATGCCTGCACCACCATGCCCAGCCAAGAATATCATTCTTGACAATCTAAGATGCAACCACAATATAGCTAATATTTTTTTTCAATCCACCGTTTTCTTTTGGTATAAAAATCTTCAGTGGAACCAAAATTAGTTACAAAATACTTTCAATGTAATTAGATATAACAAATCAAATCTTTTGTACTGAGGTATTGTTACATGCTAGCCTTATTCAAAGAAAATATTTTATAACTACTTTGACAGCAATTTAGAAGAAAAATCACATCTGGAAAGCCTTTTAAATGAATTAAATAACAGCATATTTTGAGCTATCCAACATCAAGATGATATTTTATAATTTGATTGTTCTGAGCAGTATTGATTTGAAGGTTGAACTGTCTCCTTACTGAATATAGTATGGAATAATAAAACACCTGTAATATAATTTTACCAATCCAATTTTTCTTTTATGAACAGTTTTGGAGACAGCAAGCTTAGGTTGAAAGCACTGGATTGCAGGTACTCAGCATGGAACCTAAAGTATCTCCAAGAACTGCAATAAATATATTAATATTTGGAGATAGAAGATTCTGATTCCTCTGTGGCCTCTTAAATTAGGTGCAAAATGATATTCTCATGTTTGAACTTTTAAAGAAATGCTGTCAGAGCTATTTAACATCTGTTAAACTATCTTTTAGTTTAAAACAAAAATGACTGTATATTGATTTCTGTCCCAAAGATTATGCTACCAGAAACACATGCTATTTTATAAACAGGGAAAGAAAATAGGCATTAAAAAAAAAGAAAGCGTGGGCCATATATTTGAAAATATTACATTAGTAACAAAAATGAGAAGAATCTTTCAGTCCATTAATTTTACATTTTGCATCTCTTAGTATTTGCGATGTTTATGGCTCAGAACTCTTATTTCATCATGAGGAAGGGCCTAATGGGGATCATTGCACACAATAATAATGAGTTCCTGGCTTAATTTTTCTTACACATTTTCTGTTTATCCCTCATTCTTTTTACTCTGTGGTTTAATGCATGCTGATTATTGTTAAATTTACTTATTTTCTTCTTTCTTCATGTGACTTTTAGGTGCTACTTTATTTTTTAACCCATGCATTTGCAACGAATAAATTTAGGGGTTGTCTTAGTTTTTTTTTTTTTTTTTTTTTTTTTTTTTTGACAGAGTCTCACTCTTTTGCCCAGGCTGGAGTGCAGTGGCATGAACTCAGTTCATTGCAAGCTCTGCCTCCCAGGTTGAAGCAATTCTTCTGCCTCAGCCTTCCAAGTAGCTGGGATTATAGGTGCCTGGCACCGCGCCCACCTAATTTTTATATTTTTAGTAGAGATGGGGTTTCACCATCTTGGTCAGGCTGGTTTTGAAAACCTGACATCATGATCCACCCGCCTCAGCCTCCCAAAGTGCTGGGATTGTCTTGTTTTATTGAGTAGGTTGGGATGGATGAAATAGTAGTGAGAAGAGAAGCAAATGCTTCCTTGTTAAAACGTACTGATGTCCAGTGTCATTGGGATGTAGCAACTTGTCTGTTTATGACGAAACGATCTTTGGATTTTGTATATTTTGTGAAGTTTCTTGACACTTTGCTCATTAAACAAATGCACATTGTCAAGACTGAAGTGAACCACATTTAATCTTACTAGTGTGAGTGAAGTCTATCTCCATGTCTGCAGCTTTAATAAATGAAATATTTTTGAATTTTTGTTTCATTCTTTAAATTGGTTTTCAAAGTTTGTGGAAATGGTGCTTTTCATTAAAAACAAAACAGAAACCACACCACTCTAAGTACTGGAATATTCAAGTTCCCCCTGACCCCCATTTTTTTGAGAAATCTATTGAGGTATAAGAGAGAAGAAAATATGAAATAACAGCTACCTTTGTTTTCAGTTTTCTAGGTGAAGGGTTGCTTTCAGACACATAGCATTTCCTACCACTAAAAAGGGTTGCCACCTCATCAGCAATTATTTAAAAATAAAATTGTTTTTCCTCTACCTTTTAAATAAGGATTTAATGATTCTAAATATTAAATAAAAGAAACTGACTCTTTCAATCACTCTTCATTTCCTCATTGGTCTGCCTGATGATCCTGAAATAAGAGAGGCCAACTCTCTGTGAACTCCATTGCCGCCTTTCCAGAGAGATCTTTCTTGAGCACCTCATCTGAAATTGTAATGCTTCCCACCTGCTTTCCTGCTTGATCCCTTCTGTTAGCACTCAACACAATCTAACATAATATATGTTATGCACGCTTGTTTATTGTGTCTCAGTCCTAGAAAATAAGCCCTGTGAGGAGTTTGTCAGTCTTGTTCCATGTTACCTCCCAAATGTCTTCAGTGGTGTCTGGCACACTATTAGTTAGTGCTCAAAAGATAGCGTTTGAATGAATGAATTCACATTACTCTGTTGTTTTGCCAATGATTTGCAGCAACATGACAGTCCCTGTAATTTTTTTCAAAAAGTAAACTTTTTTTTTTTTTTTTAGACAGAGTCTCAGTCTGTCACCCAGACTGGAGTGCGGTGACACAATCTTGGCTCATTGCAACCTCTGCCTCCTGGGTTCAAGCGATTATTGTGCCTCAACCTCCTGAATAGCTGGAATTACAGGTGTGTGTCACCATGTCCAGCTAATTTTTGTATTTTTAGTAGAGACGGGGTTTTGCCATAATGACCAGGCTGGTCTCGAACTCCTGGCCTCAAGTGATCCACCTGCCTCCCAAAGTGCTGGGATTACAGGCGTGACCCACCTTGCCAGGCAAAAAAAATATAAATTTTTATTTAATAGACTACAACACATTTTTTTTAAAGCTTGAAAATGTGATGCTGCAGTGCCAGGTTTTTTTGTTTGTTTGTTTTTTGTCTTCCATCTCAGGGAAACTTGTATGCCCTCATTTCCTTTAAAGAATTATGTAGTCACATCATGACACAGTTATGGTGGCTGCCAGAGGACTCAGAAACATATGAATGGGACGGTTGTTTAGAGACATTCCCTGTGCCCTTCAGTCCTGCTATAGAAGCTGCACCTTTCAAAGGGCCTCCTTCTTAGAAACAAACAATCACTGCCCCAGGAAAATCAATGAAACTGCTTGACATCTTCCAAAAATGTATATTCCTTTGTACATGGAAATATTTTAAAAATAGAGTAATTTGCTTCTGACTTTTCACACCAAAGTGCTGCTAAAAATAGACACGTATTTCTTATCTTCCATTACATAAATCTTTCCATGTAAAAATTCCATTAACTGAAATCCAGATCATAATCTTTTTCTTGATAAGTTAAAGAAAAATTGTAAAAAAAAAAAGAAAAAGCAAGTCAGTGAACCAATCATATTATTTACTCCATAAAGGGACACAAAGATTTATCATTTGAAATCCATATGAAGATAACTTTTCTTTTCTTTTTTTTTCTTTTTTTGATGGAGTCTCGCCCTGTCACCCAAGCTTGAGTGCAGTGGCATGATCTCAGCTCACTGCTGCCTCTGCCTCCTGGGTTCCAGCAATTCTCCTGCCTCAGCCTCCTGGTAGCTGGGATTACAGGCACACACTACCACGCTGGTCTAATTTTTGTATTGTTAGTAGAGACGGGGTTTCACCATGTTGGCCAGGCTGGTCTCTAACTCCTGACCTCAGGTGATCTGCCCGTCTCGGCCTCCCAAAGTGCTAGGATTGCAGGCGTGAGCCACCGTGCCTGGCAATATTGAGGATAACTTTTCTACTAACTCTTGTTCTGCCACAACTACAAAGGGTAATTGAATCACCTCCATCATTCTGGAGAGAACTACCCTGTGGTTGATAAAGAAGAACTTCAATAAGATATGTGAAAGTGTTTCTCATTATTTGTAAACATTATAATGCACATATTAAAGCTTATCACCTCACACAGTTTTGTAGGTGACACATAGATCAGAGCTATCACTAGGAACGATAGTATTAAAAATGTCTGTTTCTGAAAACCTGTCATGGTAACTTTCCTGATATTTGTGCTTATCAAAACTTCTGAGGCACATTTAGAAACATGAAACTATTTTTAAAATTCCATTTTTCTTAAATTTAGCAAAGTAACTTCTTTTTTAAAAAATGAGCAAATTCCTTGTTCTATAATGTTACATTGATGAGCTTATTGCTGCTTGTAAGCATTAAAATATAGTTTACCAGTAATTGGAAGTAAATTAGTAACCATTCTGTATTCTCCAGAGATTGCTATATCTGACAATTGGACACCAGCATCACCAGCTTTATATTTGCTACACATATCTAAATGTACGCTATGTCCACATTGACAGCTACTGTATAGGAACACAGCTTTCCTTCTAGGGAAAGTAGTGACATTAGATGAAATTTTATACTTCCTGGTGCTAAAATGTGAAAATGGTGCAGCCCAATATGTTTCCCATCCTTTGCCTTCTTGTTCAAAAACCTTACAGCCAAATGTATTGCTTGAGTATGGTAATCTACTCAATTCAGATGTCTAGAGCGGTTACTCCAATTTTCTTCAGGAAACTTTGTTATATTTATTTGTAGGTGATTTATATCATATTGTACTTTAGTTTCTAGTCTGCTTCATATATTTTTTCAGAATCTCAATCAAATGTGAACAATAAAAATGAGTTTGCAATATCATTACGAATAAACATGTACTTACCTTTAATTCCAACAATGAATAAAGTTTGGATTCAGACAGAACATTCTGAATGCATTCCTACTAGGAATATATTTTCATTAAACTTCTTCTTTTGGTGGCTAAATATTCAGAATGTCTTCACCCCCGAGCTCTTCATTAGAGAGTTTTTGACCTTCGGGATTAGTTGTCCTAATGTTTTATAGCATGTGAATTATTTCATATATTTCCACTGAACCCTTATTTTTTGTAAACTCACTTATTTAAAAAATAACAACAGCGTATCTGTATAATAACTTACTAAATGATAGAACAGCATAAACCTGCATCTTTGATAACTTTAATAGTATTCCTGTTTTACTATGTCAATCTGCAACTCTGGATTGACACATTATGAAATCATCAGCATGAGGTTTTTATTTTCTTTCCCAGCCAAAATGGATTTCTTTGTAAATGGTATGATTTCCCATGAAGCCATGAATTTTGAAACTACTGAGCACCATCAGCAGTTCCTTACTCTGAGGATTAATGGGAACATATTTGGAGTTTTCTAGCTCTGACTGAAGACTGGGTGAAATCAATTATTTAAGCACTATAAAGCAAGGGCTTGGATCTCAGACAACGATTACAAAGCAGACTCG
This sequence comes from Homo sapiens, assembly GCF_000001405.40. Lineage (NCBI taxonomy): Eukaryota > Metazoa > Chordata > Mammalia > Primates > Hominidae > Homo > Homo sapiens. The sequence continues at coordinate 156,686,354 of NC_000004.12, read as the reverse complement.
CTTTAACACGCAGAACAACCATCTGGATCTTGTTGACTCCTTTACCATGGCAAAAGGGTGAATGAAATATAATTCCTGTCTGCTGATGACATGGAGATTCCTTCAAGCTAAGGGCAGCTGGAGCTCTCATTTACACACACACACACACACACACACACACACATTCTCTTTAGTTGTACACATGTTAAGTATAAAGAATTTCTACAGCTTTTATTAAAGCAATAAGAAAAGCAATTGATTTTTCTACTGTATCTGCAGTGGTCTTCTGGATCTCAAACATTCAGTTTGTGCAAAGTAATAAATGTCAGTGCTTTAAAAAGGAAAGTATCATGCTTCTTACTGTGCTCTAGAAATAGTCAAATGCTATGGAAAAATTTATTGAAGACTTGTGACTTTCGTAGAAATTCTGACTTTTAAATGTTTAGAGGAGATGTGCTTTCTCATGCCTGCATGCTTAGCAGGTTACTACCCAGTCTTTCACGTTGTAGGTATGTGAATTGCTTCAAATAAATGGATGTCAGATTGCTAAAAACTTCTGAAACAAAGAAAATCAATGCATGCTATTTAGATGGTATTAGAGAAAATGGAAGGTGAGTAGGGAGGAAACTTTACAGGAAGAGGGAAGTTTTCATAAACAATCATGTTTAGATCTCTTATGTGGAAGATTAGCAAAAGCTTAGTGGCTTTGAAATCTAATAATCACATAAAGCTCCCCTCAAAGCAGTTGCAGCTTTTGGTGCCAGGTTTTCCTGTATAGATCAACTTAAAGTGATATATCAAGATCAAGGTACATTTCAAAGAGAAATTCTTTAAAAACAAATCATGGTCACTGCTGATTAATCATTCGAAATCATAAATCTTGTGTGGTGAGTTAACAGTGACCAGACGTAGTCACTGAACTAAAAATGTTTTTTCCTCCTCCTTGTACAGTAGGTAGTGATCACCATGAGGTTTTAAAATCAGCCCAGTCTCAGCGCAGCATCTTCTGTTGTCTATGGTTTAGACTAGAGCACTGAACTTCAAACTTTTATTCATTCACCCCTAAAGGAATTTCATAAAACTATGGATTACTTTACACATTTAGCTGATCATTTTAAAGGTAGAATGTAAATTTAAATATAGCAACTTAAAAAAAATTTCAGCATATTGTAAATGATTGCAACAAAATTAAAACTGTTAACTTCATCTTCTGAAATGTTGCTTAGAGAATTTAAATGCTATAGGAACTTGATATGCATCATCATCTATTTTAAAAATATATACATCCTGGCTAACATGGTGAAACCCCGTCTCTACTAAAAATATAAAAAATTAGCCGGGCGTGGTGGTGGGCACCTGTAGTCCCAGCTACTCGGGAGGCTGAGGCAGGAGAATGGTGTGAATCCGGGAGGCAGAGCTTGCAGTGAGCCGAGATTGCACCACTGCACTCCAGCCTGGGTGACAGAGCAAGACTCTATCTCAAACAAACAAACAAAAAAAGCATTTATTTTTGAATGTCTTCTATTGATAATCCTATCATACTTCTATGCAATAAGAAAGCATGTACGTGCATATGTATGATTGAAATGTAGTATTTTCAGGTTTCCTGTGATTACAAATCTGAATACTATTCTTCTCTGAACTGAGTTTTCGTTATAATTAATTGGTACACCTTTCATAAAAACTACCAAAATACATTAAAATTCTTAAAACTAAGGAAATGTAAAAATAAAAATTTTGGTAGTACATCTCTTAATGAGATGGATGTTGTTTAAAAAAACTAATTTATGTATCTAAGTATGACTTCTTGCTAGATTTAGACAGTGTTCAAATGATGTTCTAATTATGTTCTTTTTCTTCCCTTAGATGTACATATTCAGAAACTTTGATACATAATTAACTAGATAGGAATAGAAAAAGTTTTCTTATTAGAATTTGGCATAATTATTTGAAGTTTTTCCTATTTACTATTCCAAACTATGTGGATTATTAAAAATAATTTTGATAATCCATCACTACCAGTTAGGTTTTTTGATTTTGTGCAAAGCAAACAACTGGAAACTACCCGACTTACAAAAAGATTCTTTGCCTGTCATTATTTATTTCCTCTCTCAACACCAGCATAAACCTCTTTATACCACTTTTTGGCTTCTCAGAAACTTTTTTACCCTGCATTAATGTGTCAGTATCTTTGTGATGGGCACAGAACTATCTTGAAAGGGAAATGGAAATGAAGATCTTGTACCTCAATTGAAATTTTATTCTCAGCAGCATCAACTCAAGATAGTACATGTGGGAGTTTAAGAACATGGATGTTGAAAATCTGGAAGTTTGTTTTTATGTAGACTAGATGCATGGAAAGTCTTTACATAGACTAGGTTTATGCATACAACTCTTCTAAGACAGCTGATTTAGAGCATTTAACATACCATGAAGAATTTATCTTCTTTAATTTAGGTTAGGTAATTGTGTACTCATAATCAGAGTTTAGGTGGTTTTTATTTCTTTCTCCAGTACACATAACCTCTTCTCAAGGAGGTTAAGAGGAACTCAGAAAATATCAACTGCTCCTGTCAAGATATTATGGTACAATAAAACAGTACTACATCTCTAAAGAAATCTCATAGTTCCTGTCTACAATCTGTCTTTCAGGATAGCATTATATAAGAATTGTTAAAAAATAAATTTAATATTTAGAGAAAGAAATAATATTTATCGAAAGATTTGTTTATTCCAAGTATAAATGGAGGAAATACTGGAAAATATTTATCTTTAAATTTGCCAATAGCTTAAAATAAATTCTGTATGTGAAAAATCCAAGTAAATTAAACCCACTTATCTTTACTGTGGTGTTTATTTTGACCATATCTCTGGTCAATATTCATATTTCTAGATTAAATAACATTGTAAACCTTTATTCCCTCTCCGAAGTCTATTTATGTCTTTAAATTTTGGTTGCTAAACATTTTCCATCTCTTTGAAGTTTTTGCTGCTTGTTAACAAAAACTTCCTAGCATACTCACATATTTATAATGAGAAGCATGTTATTTTTGTGCTATGATTGGCTGTTTCCATTTCCATTTGAAATGTACTTTCTAGTGATGTTTAATGTTTTGTTTTCTTTTGTGTGTGTGTTTATTCTTTTGGCTGCCATGGCACATGAAAACATTTTCTTCTTAGAAACTGTGACAAGAGCTGTTTTATTTTTTAGTGTCATAATCAAAATCCATGATTTTATTACTAAAATTAATGAACAACTAACATACCTATGCATGTTATTCTCTCTATACATATAATATTATGTAGACTTCTTCTCATATCTGTATCAGGAAAATATAGAGAAGTTGCACATTTTGCTCAAGACTATACTTCTAGATGATGGTTGAGATAGGATTCAAATCCAACTGAAGTGAGACAATCAAGATTCTAGGCCAGGTGTGGTGGCGCACGCCTGTTATCCCAACATTTTGGGAGGCTGAGGCGGGTGGATCACTTGAAGTCAGCAGTTCAAGACCAGCCTGGCCAAAGTGGTGAAACTTCATCTCTACTTAAAAATACAAAAATTAGCCAGGCGTGGTGGCGGGGGCCTGTAATCCCAGCTATGTGGGAGGCTGAGGCAGGAGAATCGCCTGAACCCCAGAGGCAGAGGTTGCAGTGAGTCGAGATTGTACCACTGCACTCCAGACTGGGTGACAGAGCAAGACCTCATCTCAAAAAAGAAAAGAAAAGTTAACTCCAAAGATCTTCTCTTTTTTTTTTTTTTTCGAGATGGAGTCTTGCTCTGTCTCCCAGGCTGGAGTGCAGTGGCGCCATCTCGGCTCACTGCCATCTCCGCCTCCCGGGTTCACGCCATTCTCCTGCCTCAGCCTCCCGAGTAGCTGGGACTACAGGCGCCCACCACCACGCCCGGCTAATTTTTTTGTATTTTTAGTAGAAACGGGGTTTCACCGTGTTAGTCAGGATGGTCTCAATCTCCTGACCTCGTGATCCGCCTGCCTCGGCCTCCCAAAGTGCTGGGATTACAGGCGTGAGCCACCGCGCCCACCACCAAAGATCTTCTCTTAATCATAAAACTGGAGTTAGAATTCTTACAGCTTTGGAGCCATTCTTCCATGTTTCTTAATTTATCCATGCTATGTCACTAGCATTGTGACTTTATCTGCAGACTGATAGTATCAAATAGTAAGAATACAATTTTCAGGTACGTCTAAAGCCATATCTTCACTAAAATAAAAATTATATATTTATTAGTTACATATTCTGATAGACTGGTAACTGAAATGTTGTTTTGTTTCTTTTTTCCTGAGTCTTTAACTTCATACCTGATTAATAGTTGAATCTCTTTAAGATTATGAACTTCATTTTTTATTTTTTATTTCCCTCTCATGACTCAAGTCCTACCCCTGAACTCTTGCTGGATTAAAAAGACTTTACAATTTTCAGATGTTGGGTTTTTTTTTTTTTTTAACTTTTTTTGGCCAAATGGTATCTGCTTCTAGGTGATCATTACTGTATTTCGGGTACCATTGTAATATCCATTTCTTTACTTTTTCTTTATTATGACTCCCTGTGTATTCCTGGGATTGCATGTTCCAAGTGCCCAGCTTCCTATTAGCATTCATAGATTTCTCTTGCTTCTTAATATCTGCTTTACCCAGTTATCACATATTGTTTCTGCTTCTAGTAGTTAGGTAATATCTCAGAATTTGTGAAAAGAACAGGGAGTAAAATAAATGCACAAAAGCTTTCAGTGTAGAATTGGCAGAATATAGGATAGAGATGCTGAAAAGCGTATATAAAAAGTAGAAATTCAAAGGCAGATGGCATCTGGTCGGGTATTACAATGTCTGTAATTTAACTTTAAAATATTTTAGCATAGATAGTGTAATGCTGGATTTTTCTTATTTAGGTTAAGTTAGAACTCAGTTGCTGAACTCTGAATTCTAATATGAATGTAAACTCCAGGTGTTGTCAGCTAGTGCTCTAATGAGAAAGCCCATGTTCCAGCTACTACACATGCTCTTATCTCTAGCTTGATCAACACATCAGGCTTTTCTAATCATGGTAAATGTCAGAAAGGTTTTTCATTTGTGGCTACAGTAAATGACCACAATAAGTGTTAAAATGTTCTCTTAGTGGTGAAACTAAAGGTATTCAACATATGTGGATGAGCTTAATAATTTTCAACACATGTTCACTCTTTTGAGAACAGTACATAAGAATCCACTAGGCTTACAGCCTTTATCATTAGACGGGAAGACCTAGCTCAGTGGATTATAATCTGTGTGGTCTCAACCCATTTATGCTCTTAAAATTTATTAAAACCTCTAAAGAACTTATATTATGAAATTAAAAATAAGAAATCAATAAAATATTTATTAGGTAATTCTTAAATATTGATAAGAAGTTTATTACCTGTTAAACATAAACATTTATGAAAAATAATTTTATTTAAAACCAAAAATATGGTAAAAGTGGCATTGTTTTATATTTTTGAAAAATCTCTTTAGTATCTGGATTAATAAAAGACATCTGGATTCCCCTGTGTTTCTGCCTTTAGTCTGTTAAGATATGTTGTTTTGGTTGAAGCATATGAAGAAAATCTGACCTCATATCTCAACTGACTTATGTCACTGGAAGAAAATGTGCTTTACTATCTTTGCAGATAATTTGGATGTTTTTTCCATTGATATTATATCACAATATAACACGTGGTATTTTACTGAAGATTAGTTACAATGTGGAATCTAAAACTATATCCATGAACATTGTGTATTCTGTTCCATTAAAATCCACTTGTCTATCTTGCACTTTGAGTGGGTCTTGTATCCACGCGTGATTTTGTAGCATCATGCATTGGTAATTAGGAAATGTTGGTTGACTGACTATCCAGATATTACAAATGTTAACATATTTCATTATGAATATAAAGAAAATCACAGTCATTAATATTTCCACTAATCTCATCAAAAAAATTTAAATATTGGGATACTGTCAGTATGGTGAAGAAGACAAGATTTTCAAAATGCTAAATTTTTCTTGAAGGCTCAAATTTTATCACTGGCAGCAAATGCTGTCAGTTGCTATCTTTGAAGCAACAGGCTCACTTCATTTTTGAGACTATGTCTGCCAAGTACCCAAGACTGAATAATCATACTTTGCCTTTCAGTTCTTTCAATAAAATATTCCCTGATTAAAACATCCAGTTCAGCTTTAGCTCAAGTACACATGTGCTTTTCCTTGAGGCAACCATTGTACTTCAGTGTGAAGCATAAAGTCTTTCTACACACTTTCCATTTTTCATTTAGAATGTTAAAAGACATGTACTCAAGGGCCTAGATTTCATAAAACTAATCAATTTCATTGTTTTCTTAAGGAAGCCCTCAAGGAGCCCTCTTGCCTCCTCCACCCCATGAATGCTATGGAGTCAAGAACACAAGACTTTCCAGCACAGTTCAGTGCTGTCTTGATTTGTATTAAGGCTCCAACACTTTTACTCACTGCTGCTTTTGCATCATCAATGTAAATGTTGAAACACTGAAAGAAAGCAAATAGCATCTCAATATTATCACAGAATAGTTTTGACCTTGAAGATTCCCCAAGAAACCCACAGGGATCACATTCTAACAACTCCTATCCTAGCTATAATTTTAAAATCGCATTGTGTCTAGCCAGCACCAGAGAAAATTCAGATTTCCAGTTGTTGGTATTAAGGTAAACATAATCTTGCTTCTGGACTCTCACTTTGGTTAAAGTGAAGGTTTCCTGCTTGGTGGTGCCTGAACCTCTAAGAAGACAGAGAGCTAGGCTTCACTGAGCTTACAGAAGTGTGAACAGCTAAAAATTGTTGGTGGCTGGTCATTTCTACCAAAAACAGCCGAAAAGAATTTTGCCTGACAAATCTGAATAAAGTCGGTTTATAACATTTGTGAAATCACTCATGAAAAAGAAAGTGTTTCCCATCTGCACTCGTTTACTTGTAAGGTATAGATCCCAGGTTCTTATAGCAACACAACCTACCACCTAGGGTTATCAAGAGGAATAAGAGAACTATGTCTTTTTATTCTTTTAAGCATGTAGAAACTGGTTATTTCAATGCTTGGCACATAATGAGCCCTCCCTAAGGCTGGCCACTACTCATATCATTATTGCCATCATCACTATTATTACATGTCACTTGGAAGGAATTTGAATTGGTCAATAATATTTTTTGCCTAGCATGAGAGCTATACAGAGGAAGGAAGAGGAATATTTTAGGAAGTCAAAAATAATTCACTTAGCTTGCAACCCAGGAATGCCCAAAGGAGAATGGTAAGAAATGAAGGTGGAGAAGTTGGCTAAAGAGTCCTTTGCAAGTTGGGATGAGGCTTTAGACTCCAATTTTGCAGGTGTAGGTAATTGGGAGGCCATTAAAGGCTTTTGAATGGTATGATTGGGGTCTGCTTTATCAGATTAATCTGGTAGCAAAATGCATCTTGCATTTCGTAGAGGTAATTCAAGATAGATACAGCACCTGGACACATGGAATGTACCTTGCCATTTTGACACAATTGTCTATCAGATTTCAATGTTAAAAACATAGTGTGAGTCAAAGTTTAGAAAGAGTAAGCCTCAAATTAAGGAATGTTGCCACTGAAAGATTAATGTGATTGGAAATTCTTTGGGTTATAGTTAGTTTTGAGCCAAAAAAATAAAAATAAATGTAAGGCAAACGTTGTCAAATTGTTTAAGTTTAGTGCCTACACAAGCTTTTCTCAGTACTATTTTAATATCCTAGAAGAGCTATAATAGTTGGTCACAAAATTATTTTTTAGGCCAGATACATATGAGTTGGGCAAGGGATTCCTTTGTTTATCATGGTGTCCATATAGTTTTCTGATGTCTAAGAGAAAGGGTTGGATTACATAAAAACAGAATGTTAGATTTGATTTTCTTTTTCCCTTTACTTATAGATATTTAATTACTAGTAACTAACCCCATATTGCCTATACCCAAGGAACACAGTGATAGTGAAATTTCAATGCTTGGCGATGAAGATGTATTTAAGTCATGACATAAAAATAGCCACGTGGTTTTACTCACTCTTCCTGAGTGAAAAAAGAAAGCAAAACAAAAGAATACTCCCCAAACTCACTAATTCGCCATTGTGATCCCCTAGAATATCCCCTTTCTAGATAACAGGTCTCAGTGAGGAAGACTGAGGTGATGAGGTGGCACATTTATTTTTTTTTCTAGCCACAGGAGAATCAACCACATAATTATGTCAACCTATTTGTCTTTCTCTAATATTTGTATTTAAACATAAATTTGTGTTCATCATGTGTGGCTGAAAACACTGCTATTTTCCAGTTCAAATATGGCTAACGTGATTAGAGTCGTCATGGAGAAGAAAAAGTACTCTAAATGTGACTGACTAATTAAGTCTGGTTTTCTAGTGTGGAACAAGAATGTACTTCCCAGCGGGCTCCATGTATTGGCATCACCCAGCTGTTTGAAGAATTTTCTTGATGAAAGCAAAAACCGAAGGAGAACAAGGAAAAACAGGTGGTGTGTCAACAGCAAAGTTTCAGTGTGACATCTGCAGGTGGCTCTGTGGATCCAGGGTCAGGGAAATTGACTTCAAAAGAGTCTTCCTTGGGATGCCAAGTCTTCAGAAACTAAATGAGAGTGGAGAGAGTTAAAAGAGCCTTAAAAATAGTAAAAAGGGGAAATAAGGCATATCAAGGCATTCATAAACTTTAGAAAAGGATTTCATTCTGTTCAAATACGTCTATTTATCTCTCATCTATCCAATATACATATCACTCTTCTTTTTGGTATAATATTAAAACTGCAGAATACTGTATGTTTCGCTATGTCCATAATCACACACGCACACACACACACACACACACACACACACCTCAAAACACCTATGAAACCTTTTATTGTCTTTTATTGTCATCTCACACCAAACCAGTAGGGTGTGCTCGTAACTCAACATTTTACTCGCCACAGCCCCACCCTGACCCTGTGGTGTTTTTACTAACGGTAAACAAAAATAGCATATGTTGTAAGAGACAAAACGCCCAATCTGCATGTTGCTCTTGCATTTGGTGTCATGGCTTATTAAAATGACATATTATGATATACTTGCTTTGGTTTCTCTGCTGAAATGTTGATCAATGTGTTCCTCAATGAAATGAAATGTTCATCAATGTCTTCTGGTGAGTAATCCCCCAGTCACCAAAATTTCTGTCTTGTCTCCTGAGTCTTTCTTTTGGACAGCTGGCATTATTCAGAATTGGTTATAGGAATCCTTCTCATAAGTAAATACTTACACAGAATGATGAGAAACTAAATTACACTGCTAAATCATGTCTATATTTCATCGCGTAGTACTTAAATGAACAATGCAGAAGCCATCTAGTAACATATTCCACTGCTTTTTACTTTTAAGAAGCAGACCTCATTTTTCTTGCTGGAAAGTGAAAAAATATAGTTTGACAAAAACTGACCTGGAGTAGAACTAAGAGACAAAAATTAAGCATGAATACAAACAGTTCTTTCCAGGATAAAAATAGCAGAACATTGCACTGGCTTTCCCATTTGACTTTGTAATTTGTGGATGTAGAACACACTTAGTGGCCTTCATGGGCTGTACATGTAAAAAAGTTGGCTGAAGGATGCAGACAAAATGGATAATATGAGCTCATCTGTCTCCAAACACTGTTTGGTTAATGACTGTGTAGACTACAATTGTTTAATTGTACCTGGAAAAGCTAAAAAATGACTAAGCTTAAAAATGTCAAAGCGTATTCGCATTTGGATTGGCCAATAGTATATTTGCCCATATTTCTATGCAAGGTCAAAGTTAGGAGAGGATATATCTAGATATTCTATGACACCCCACAGGTCTCATAGATGTAATTCTTCATTGGGAATATTTAATATGCCTTTTTAACAAGGTGAAAACAAAAGCACACAAAAAGAGGTTATACCAAATATGAGGCTTTTTAATTATTAAAACCTTTATTTAAAAATGAATTTGCTGCAGTGTGAAAAATGCAAGTCATGATATGCTATCCATGCTTTTCCTTTCACCTCCTTCCTTGCAGTTGTCAGGTGAGAACCATGCTAGTGGTTCTGGCCAATGGACTGTTAGCAGAAATGACTTGTGTCAGGTCTGGGTTGGGATAGTTTAGAATTGGTGAGTCTCTTTTAATGCAACCAGTCTTAAAGGCACATGTTCCGAATGGCTGGATATTACTTACATTAGGGCCATCCAACACATATCAGTCTCTATGGAGTGAGAAATAAACCCTGTGTCTCTTAAGCTTTGAGATTTTGGGGTTTGTCTGGTAGCAAGCATCAAGAATCCTGATTAAAATATAATGTTACTAGTTTTTAAATAAGTATGTAAACTATATTTTTATATAATTGTTACAAATAAAAGTGTTTAATTCAATTATTGCTTATTTATTTACAAATAGATAATGTATTAATAGAGTTCATGATTTAAAAGTGGAATGGGCTATAGAGTGAAAAAGCCCTTTTCAATTTCTGAACCCCTGATCACCGATTTCCAATCCGTAGGGACAGACAATGGCAATAGTTACTTATATCTATTTCCAGAGATATTCCACATATATTGTATTCTTTTTTGCACAGATGAAAGCATACTATATACTATTCTTTATTTTTCTTTTGGTTTACAAGAAGTCTTCATATATTAGGAGTATTGGCCTTTTGTCTATGATATGTATTGCAAATGATTTTTCTCACAATTTCATCTGTCTTATGACAAATGCTTTTCTAATGAAAAATCATTTATTTTAGTTGAATTTATGTATCAAACTTGGAAGATTTCTGAGATGATATTTTAAAGTGCTTACCTGCTTTTGTCTCTATCTTTTGTTGTTTTATTTCCTCACAGTTAAAATCTTGATAAACCTGAGGAGAGTTTCTAATTATGCATCCAACTTTAATGTTTTCCTAATAGCTACATAGTTGTCTCAATTCTATTAAATACTTTGCTCACTGATTTGAAATGCAACTTTTATCACATCTACTTTTCCATAACTTCTTGAAGCTATTTCTAGATTCATTAGGTCATTATATTGATGTGTCTCCCTATTTGTGTGCCAGCATCAGTCTTCAATTCATGCTAATAACTTCTACACTCATTGCTTCAGTGAAATTTCTCTTGTCCAAAGAAGATGTTTAATACACTGTGGAAGTCCTGGCCATATGTGGCAGTTGAGGAAAATGGGATGAGAGCTATCAAACAAGTAGCAGGTGGTGTGGAAAGGGAAGGCCTCTCAGAATCACTGTATTTTTATTTGTTTTTTGAGACAGGGTCTCACTCTGTCACCCAGGGTGGAATGCAGTGGTGCAATCTTGGCTCACTGCAAGCTCTGCCTCCTGGGTCCAAGCAATTCTCCCATCTCAACCTCCCGAGTAGCTGGGATTACAGGCGCCCGCCACCATGCCCAGCTAATTTTTGTATTTTTAGTGGAGACAGGGTTTCACCACATTGGCCAGGCTGGTCTCAAACTCCTGGCCTCACGTGATCCACCCGCCTCGGCCTCCCAAAGTGCTGGGATTGCAGTCGTGAGCCACCGTGCCCGGCCAGAATCACTGTATTTTTAAATAGTAAGCCTGAATTATTATTTTTTCTTCTTTTTAATACTTTGGGCTATAGAAGTGAGGTTATATAGAGCACTGGGAAGGTAAGCTCATTGGTAGGTACCTACATCTTCCTATATCTTCCCATTGCTGGTAATTTGAATCTGCTGATATCGCCAACTCAAGTTAGGAGTGGAAAGTGTCTGGTTAACCTTTTTTTTTTTTGGCTCAGAATGACTCATTTTCCCCCCAAAAAATTAATAAGAAATATTTCAGAGAGATTATAGTAATACACATTTTTAGTTGTTCAAAGTTCTCCTTGGAAACTGACTGAATCAGGGTAAAAATATAGACTCATAGTTTATCTGGTATAGTTTACATCACTCATTCAATATTTTGGATATCTCAAGTATGAGAAAGACTTTGAGAAAAGTAGATAATTTTAAATAAGAGCCTAAACAGGCTAGAAAATATTTTTAAAATAAGACCTAACTCCTAAAAAGGAAACTCAAACAAAGAAATATTGTTTCTTTATGATTTTCTGTATGGTTTAGAAAATGTTAAGGAAATTGCACTCAAGAGCTTGACTATAAAATTTTAGGCTTTAAAAATGAAGTTATTCTGAATCAGCTGTAAGTAGAGCTAGTGATCTTATTTTCCTTGTAAACAGGCCACTTATCATCAGTCTCTTACCTTGGACTTTGTCCTTGTTTTTGGCTGTTTGCTTTAATCTGACTGAAATATGACAGAATAAATTATTAGTGTATAAATGTTCACATAATTTCTTCTTTCCTCAACCCATTGAAGAGAATAGCAATCATCCCTGTTTTGCTCCTCTTGAAGAATAAGCCTATCAGTTCCCTGTTGTATAACAAACCATCTCAAATCTCAGGAACTTACCATAATAAGAATTCATTTAGCTCATCAATCTACGGCCAGATATTTAGGCTAGGCTTGGTGGGGATATTCTCATCTTGAGTGGTTTGATGTACAGGTCTGGTGTACACTGGCTGCCAGCTAGGTCAGCAGCCATATCTGAACTGACAATCTCCCATCCTCCAGCAGGCTAGCCTGGATGTATTCTTATAGTGCTGTCATAGAGCAAGAATGAGAACAAACCCAGTCGGTCAAACTATTTCCCAACCCTCTGCTTATGTCCCACTTTCCAAAATTTCAGTGGCTAAAGCAAATAACATGGCCAAGCTTAGGGTGAGGGTAGCGGGGGCTATAAAATTTCGTGCCAAAGAACATATTCATAGAGAGGAGTGAGCAACTGGGGTTGTTCATACATCAATTGATCACATTGAAAAATAACAATGTATTGAAGGAAGAGATGTTAATTAATAAGTAATCATAATTAATAGTTGATGCAAAATGATATAAGGAGCGGGAAAGAGAAGAAATGAAAGCATCATGAACTGGGAGTAGAGTACGATTTTTTTTTCTTTTTGGGCGGGGAGGGAGCATGCACGAGAAAGAAACCTGCCAGGAAAGTGGAATGGAAACAAAGGGTACTTTAATGGGTGTTTCTAAAGACTTTTTATTTGCAGTCACTTTAATGTCATCCAAGAGGTCATAAGAAGAAATTCCTCTTTAATCACTTTTGGCTCTTGAGCTGTAATTTGTATGTGTCACAGCTCCATGACTAAACTGCATTGATCTCTAGATTCAGAAGTGGTTACTGCAGACACTGCAGCTTGCATGCCCACAGTCATACTCCTCTTTTACATTTTTAACAGATACATTATTTTGGTCCCAACTGCAGTGTCATCTGGGAAGTCGAATGCCTCTTTGAATGTGCCGATTGTTAAGTACTATAAGCTCCAGACCTATCCTCTGTTCTTTTCTTTATGATTGTTATGGCTGGAATTCTGCAAGCCATTCTTTTCCTTTGCCCGCTGACTCCCTGTTAGGTCCTGCCAATAGGGAGCATTAAAGGAAGTGAAGAAGAGACAAGCACCTTCCAGATTGCTTGCTCTAATAATTCGCTCTTCATCTCAGCATTTGGTTTGAGTAACAGCAGTTGCTACCAGTTTCCAATCTTTTCTGTATTTCAAGAACTAGCTTCATCATGCCAGCTCAGAGGTATCAGTGCCAGATGGCTCAAGTTCCCTCTACAGAAGTCTGAGTCCCAGCTCTGTAGGATGTTCCTTTGAACTGTTAAGGCACTAGCACCAGCAGCAAACTTCTGTTTTAGGCTTGAACTGGTATCTGACCGAAAGCAATTTAATTAACCTCAAGGGGCCTTAGTTAAAGAGGTTCTAAGGTTGCTATGATTTCTAGTATTGTCTCAATATATTTGTCTATGCGATGCACTCCCCCTTCACGCACAAAACTGATTGAGAAGTGAAAATTTTGAAGTGTTTAATTTAGGAATTATTTCCTTTGTTTATGTTATTCTAGACAACTGATCTGATAGACTTCTTAGATTCACTAAATTATCAGGTTGCTAAGAAGAGGAACTCTTTAATAAAAAGTAAATGTAAAAGGTAGAACAGAACACATTAATTTGGAGTGAAGAGAGCTTGCCTATGTAAGAGTATATTGGAAATTAAAGACAACACTTGTAATAGAAGAGAAATTTTGATGAACACTAAATTCACTTTTTCCTCACAACTGCAAATAAGCCTTTTCTGTTTCTGATTCAAAAAGCTTCCAAGAGTTTAATTTTAACTTTATAACTTTCTAGATTTGTATTTCCCTAGTTAACAGTAAATCCTTTCCAATTGTCTTCCTTTTTACATAATCCTCTAACAAAATGTACTTATAACTGCAAAAATTTGCAGTAATGTTTCATGGTGGTATACATCCTGAGTAAAGTGGCTACTGCTGAATTTATTATTTATATTAAACCATGAATTGTTTTCCCAGTGCTTATGGGTAGCCCCTTTCCCTAGCAATTAACATAAATTTTTGGTGAACAAAGAGCTTATGGAAATGGAAAAAGCAAAATTCATATTTGCTGGACTTTCTAGAATGGCATGGGGATGTGGAAGGAAAGGAATGTGACTTTGCCTTTCTTTTGACTTATTAATGATTCTGCATAGTCTGTGTGCCTGGAGACTTTAATAGCAGACACATTTTTATAAGCAAAATAGCATGCTTTATATTGGCAATGCTATCATGCATCTCATGGGCTTTCAGCTGTATTTTTCATTAGAGAATTTCCAATAGATTTTATTTAAAACTCAGGGATAAATTGTCATATCAGTTTTAAAATAGGGAAAATTATTTGGAAAAAAACCAGTATAATCATAATATAAACAGCAGTTTAGTACTAGAAAGCCTTACATATTAGTAGCTTTTTGTTTTTTTCTTTGTGTTTTGTGAAAGTAATATTTGAAGTAATATATTGAATCTCAAAATAGGTATAATTAAAATTCTAGAATTTGCTTGTAGGCAGCTAAGTATAGTGAGATCTATGAAATTTATATAAAATGTCCAAAATGTAAAAAATGATGTTGAATCATTAATAATCCTATATGACTTTTAATCATTAACTTTAGGAATGATAATACATTCATCGAAGCACTTACATTTAACAATCACAAAGAACTCCAAAAAATAATAAATACATTATAATACTCTTAGTCTGTTTCCCTTTCTGAGAAAATGTACCACCTCTCGATTCTTCTTCATATCAGTTAAGGGCTCCATCAATCACTCAGTTTCTTTGCCTTGATCTTGGTGTTATCCTTATGCTTTCTCTTGCTATAATGGTCCATACCCAATGTAACTTAAACTTTTAACTAAACTACTTCCAAATATATCACAAAACTGATGAGTTTTCCCTGTCTTCCCATCTATTACTTCATATGTCACTTTGGGTTTGTCTGATGTTTCCTCACAGTGACATTCAGGTTATGCATTTTAGGCAGAAATATCACAGAAGTGAGAAGTGATTCTGTGTTCTTCCAAATGAGGCATAAGGTAGTATGGTGATTTGTTTGCCTTGTTTATTTTATTACTGAAGATTTAACTAAAATCATTTGATTAAAGTGGTTTCTTTCAGGTTTCTCCTTTGTAAATTTACTAATTCTCACTTGTAATTAATGTATATATTGTGGGGAGGTACTTTGAGACCATGTAAATATTGATTTTCTCACTAAATTTTTACTTGCTGCTTTTAGTGTTCATTGATATACACTGGATGAATGAAGTATTCCTGTGATTATCGGCACGTGATTATCTGGTTTCATCATGACTTCTGTATTTATTAGTTGACATTCTCTTCTAATAGGAAGCTTTCTTATCTCACTCACTTAAAAATTAATTAATTATTTCATTGGTTCATTAGTTAATAAAGTATGGGCAAAATAATTTCTATTTTATTCATTGGGTTTTCTGTTATTTTGATGTTAAAATGGCATAAGGGTATTGGAGCAAAGGAATGTGACGTCTTTCTTTTGGCATATTAATAATATCAGTTGTCTATGCACTTGGAAACTTAATAGCAAACATATTTATAAGCTAAATAACTGATACATTTATTTAAAAAGGCTAGAGGATAAATAATTTCACAAGATGATTTGAATATATAAGATTCATATGGAAGTTTTGGATCTAAAACTTACAGTAACTAATATTAAAATTTAAATGAATTGTGTTAAAAGCATATTAGCCAAAAAAGTAGAAATAACTAGTTAATTAGAAAACATGTCCATGTTTTCTATGAAGAATAAGAAAAAGTAATAATTAAAGATGGTGTTTAAAAAGAAAATGCAGAAGAAGGGAAAAGTAATGAGCTGGAAGTTACCTTAAAAGAAAATATATAAACTTAAGCCCAAATAGACAGAAGGGCAATTCGGAAAATAGCATGAGAGAAATGTGGGTGGGATAAGATGAAAAGTTTGCCTGTCTGTATACCTATATAGACATATTAATATCTCTCTCTCCATGTGACTGGCATATAGGAGAGAGGAGAACGAGATAAGAGACAGAAGCAGCATTTAAAGAAACACTGGTCAGGAAATCTTCAACTTTGAAAGAAAACATCAACCTACAGATTCAAGATGTACTTCAGACCTAAGCACCGTAAGTACAAAGAACATCAGACCAAGGCCTAGTCAAGACAATGAAACCCAGAAACATACAGCGCCTGTTAAAATAATACAGAGGAAAAGACAATAGCGTCTTCAAAGGAGCAACAACACTGGCAGCTTACCTTTCAACAAAATGATAAAATATAGAAGACAGTCAAATGCTATATTTAATTGGCTGAAATGAGACAAAAATGCCACTTGCAGAATTTTGCTCTCAGCAAAATATTCTTCAAAATTAAAAGTGAATGTTATTTTCATACCATATACATAATGGAATATTATTCAGCCTTTAAAAAGAATGAGATCTTGTCATTTGCCACAACATGGATGGAACCGGAGGACATTATGTTAAGTGAAATAAGCCGGGCACAGAAAAACAAATGCTGCATATTTTCACTCATACGTGGTGGCTAAAACAAATTTAACTCGGAGAGGGTAGAATGGTAGTTACCAGAGGCTGGGAAGGGTAGTGATAAAGAGGGGATGTTTAATAGGTACAAATAAAAAGTTGGATAGAAATAATGTGGTGTAGGGTTTGGTAGCACAATGGGGTGACTATAGCTAATCTATTATATATTTCAAAATAACTAAAAGAGAGGAATTGGAATATTCTCAACACCAAGAAACAATAAGTGCTTGAGGTAATGAACACCCCAATTACCCTGATTTGATCATTACACATTATATGCTTGTCTCAAAATGTCGCATGTACTCTGGAAATATGTACAACTAATATGTATCCATAACAATTAAAAATTTTAAAAAGAAACTTAAGGAATCATATCTGCTAAATTTCAAAATAATACTAGGAGATCCTCCTCTATTCTAACCTTTTGTGTTACCCATCCAGGCCTCAAAAGAGGTAAAATTAACATTTTCAGTGATATGATACTTTTCTGCTAGCAGACATTCACTAAAAGAAATGCTAAAGAAAAATTTCAGGCAGAAAGAAAACAATTGTAAACAAAAATTTAGATGAATTGCAAAAATGAACGAAGAAAAGGATGAATATAAGGGAGTAACTATATATTGATATTCTTTATTAAAAATGAATACTAATGCTATATGACACTTAATATGTGCAGGATTAAAACACATGGCAAAGTAGCACAGGTTAGAGAGGGTAACTGCAGACAAAGTATTACAGAGCCTGTTATGGACTACATCACATCACCTTCTCTTCCCCTACAAATTCCTATGTTGAAGCCGTAAACCTAAATGTAGCAGAATTTGGAGACAGCTTTTTAAGGATGAGGCATGTAAGTGAGGTCATAAAGGTCTTACAGGAATGGTGCCCTTATAAGAAGAGGAAGATACACCAGAACTGTCTCTTTACAAGCACAGAAGAAAGGTCATCTGCAACCAAAGGAGAGAGGAATCAACAGACCCTGACTATACTGGCCCTTGATCTTGCCTTCCAGTGCCCCACACATGAGAAAATGCATTTCTGCCATTTAAGCCACTTCCTCAGTGGTATTCTTTTATGACAGCCCAAGCAGACTACAACAGAACCCTTGCATTATCTGGGAATGGGAAAAAGTACTAATTAAAGTAGATATTAATAGATTAATGGTATACAGTGTAGCAGGCTAAGAATGAAAATAAATAAATAAGAATGTAATAACAGGTAAATATTGGGTAAAAATTGAAATTAAAGCCTGATTATTCTCAAAGAAGACAAGGCAGTGTAAAAACAGATCAAAGAATAGATGAAGCAACTTGAAAGATACTGAGATAATGATTTAAACCCAAATATATCACAATTTACATTAAAAACAATTGAATATGTCAATTAAAGACAACGATTATTAATGACATTTTCTATGTTCTTAAGAAGGACATAGGAAAGTTAAAACTAATGTTATAGGAGAAGATACATCATAGAAACACTAACAGCAGTTAGAAAACTTTTTTTTGTAATGGCCCAGATTGTAAATATTTTCAGCTTTGTGGGACACATATGGTCTTTGTTGCATGTTATTTTTGTGTGTTTTGTTAATCCCTTTAAGAATGTAGGAAACATTCCTAGCTTACAGGATGTACAAAATCAGGCTGTGTACCAGTCCATCTGCTATGGACTCAATGTTTGTGTCCCCACAAAATTCATATGTGGAAATATAATCCTTATTATGATGGTATTCAAAAATAGTGCCTTTGCAAGGTAATTAGGTCATAAAGATGGGACCCTCATAAATGGGATTGGTGCTCTTATAAGAAGAAGCAAGAAAGCTAGCTTACAGTCTTTCTGCCATGTGAGAATACAGCAAGAAGCTGACAGCCTGCACTCAGAAGAGGACCCTTATCAGAATCTGACCATGAACTTGGACTTCCCAGATGCCAGAAATGTGAGAACAAAATTTTGTTGTTTATAAGCCACACTGGCTATGGTACTTTGTTACAGCAGTCTGAACTAAGACACCATGCATTACTGATTCCTGATCTATAGACAAATTAGTGTAGCTATGTTAATAAATGAACAATATAGGCCCTAAGACACAAAGTATTACTAAATGTAATGGGCAACATTTCATAACAATATAAGGTTAATTTAACAAGAAGATATAGCAGTCTTAAGAATGACTATATGTAACTATTAATATTGTCTCAAAATATATAAAGGAAAAATGGACCGAACTAAGGAAAAATGGAAAATTCTACATCTTAGACAAATCGTTGTAGTAGCTATTAGAACACAAAACAAAAATCAATAGAAATATAGAAGACATAAACGGAATGTCTAACACACTTGATCTAAAACACAATTATAAAACACTGATTCCAACAATTTTATTTCAAAAAGATTATGTCAATGGAATTATACAGTATATAACCTTTTGGGACTGAATTTTTTCATTCAGACTACTTCCCTAGATGTTCATCTGAATTTCTGCCTGTGTTAATAATTTGTTCCTTTTTAATATGTAATTTTCAGTTACTTATATGTTTATTTTTATTGTGATAAAGAACACATAACATGAAATCTACGCTCCTGGCAAATTTTTAAGTATATAGCACATATTAACTCTAAGTACGTTGCTGTACAGCAGCTCTCCAGAACTTTCTCAACTTGTGTGACTGAAACTCTATACCCATTGAACAACCACTCCTCATTTCACACTGAAAACCATTTTACTTCCCGCTTCTGACTTTGACCATTATAGACACCTCATCTAAGTAAAACCATGCAATATGTGTCCTTTTGTGACTGATTTATTTCACTTAGTCCTCAAGGTTTATCCATGTTGTCGCAATTGTATTTTCTTCTTTTATGGCTGAATAATCTTCCATTGTATACATATACCACATTTGCTTTATCCATTCACCAATCAATGGATATTTAGGTTGTTTCTACCGCTTGGCTACTGTAAATAGTGCTGGAAAGAACCTGGGTGTGAAACACTGAAACGCTAGACAGAGGCTCCTCTCCCTCCCGAGGGAGAGGCTGCCCAGCTATATGGACCTCTAGCTGCTGCACCTCCTGTCCTCTGGAACAGCAGCAAGCCACAAGCCACCCAGCTCTCTTGTGTTCTCAGTGCTCTCCAGAAACCTAGAGCAAGCTGATCCCCAGCAGTGCTCTGAGACAGAGAAGATATAAACCAGTCTCTTGGGCAGCCCCAGGAAAAGTCCAAACTTTGCATACATGTTTCAATCTTCTCTTTCCCTCCCAGGGAGAAACCAGGAACTAAGAGTTTTCTCCTGATCATGCCATGCTGAGCTGGGAGGAGGGTGGGTGGGGAGACAGTATGGAGAGTGAGTGCCGGGGGTTTTCCTACTGCCTTTCATGTGGCTGCTTTCATGCTCCCCTGGGGTGCAGCTACCTCTTAACTGTTCTCTGGATTTCTCAAAAAGGGAATTGGTCTATGTATTTGTAGTTGATTCAGTGCCTTCTTGGTGGCAGGAGACTCCCAGCCTTTCTTTCTGCCATCTTTCTGATATCAATCCCAATTTTACCCTACTTTTACCCTAAAATGTTAGTCTGCCATGATTTTAGGGATGCTGGCAAAAAAAACCCTGAGAATCCTAAAGCAGAGACAATGAACTTTATTACCCACATTAAAGCAAGCTGCACAAGCATCAGCTCCCCAAGCAGCAATTCCTATAGGATGTCTTGAAGAGGGCCAGGCAGTGCTTGTACATTGACTGAATTGTGTTACAAAAGAAGATGGATGAGCTTGGAAAACCGGAGTTGTTCATACTAGATATTAAGAATGCCTACTTGCTTTTCTAGATGGAAACAGTCTTCCAAGACTTTAAGAAAACTTGCCTTTTGTTCTGGAGGAAGACAGCGTCTCTATCTTCCAAAGCTGTTTGCTTCACAAACATCCTTGAGAATGTAGTCCGGAAATAAAAGGAGTCAATACTTCTGTTCTTAAGATGTGAAGAAACATGAGAGGCCCATGGAGAATCATCATCCAATAATATTAGCCGAAATTGCAAATTGTAACACAATACAAAGGTGTGAAAATATTCAGAGGGTGTTTTCTGGCCATAGAAGAAATAATCTAGAAATCAGTAACAAAAGTACACCTAGATAATCCTTAAAATGTTTGGAAACTAAAATGTACTTTTCTAAATTAGATGTACGTTAAAGAGAAATCACAATATTAATTAAAATAACTTATTTTCATTTAGTTAAAAATATTAAAAGTTGTGGAATGCAACTGCAGAAGTACTTAGAAGGAAATTATAGCATTACATGCACATATTAAAATAATAACTGCTAACAATTATCTCAGTTCTATTCTCCAGGTCCAGCAGAAACCATGGCATATTAACGCCAAAAACCCTAAGATAATAGAAATGATAAGAAACAGAAATCAATAAGAACCAGAAGCAAATAGCAAAACCCAATAAACCAAAATATTATTGTTTGAAAAGGTTAATAAAATCAAAGAACTCCCTAGTGATATAAATTATGAAAAAAGTAACTCAAGTTACCAACATAAAGAATGCAAAGGTGATATCATTATAGATCCACAGACTTTAAAAGATAATAAACAAATGTCTTTAAGTTTAAATGAAAAAAATCTTGGAAAATACAACTTTCAAAAATAGACACAAAATCAAACTGAAAACCTCAATGGTCCTTTATCTATTAAAGAAATGGAGTTCACAATTAAGACCTTTCTACAATGCAATACCACATAGCAACGAAAGAGAATAAACTACTGCTACACACAATAGGGATGAATCTCATAGACATAATGATGAGAAAGAAAACGAAGCTAAAAATGTAAGAGTACAAAATGCATAGCATCATTTATATGAAGTTCAAAAACATGCAACACTAATCTCTAGTGATAAAATTAAATATGGTGGTTACTTTTGTGTATGTGGTAATGATTACATGGGGGCCTAAGGAAGGCTTCTGGCGAGCAGACAACGTTCTGTAGTTTGGCCTTTATCTTGGGTATGTGTGTGATGATCGGGCAAAAATTAATCAAACCTACCTTTAGGATTTGCATTCTTTCCTGTATATATTCTATAGCTCAATAAGCATTAAAGTCAAAATACAAACTACCAAAAAAGTATAGAGAGGAAATGGCCTGATTTCTTGAAGTTAATGTCTAAGATTACCAAAACGTTGTTCTACCTTGCTCTGTCTGTACTTTTTATATCAACACTGCATTAATCTTTTGGGGAAGATTATAAAATAGATAATCATTATTAAACTCCATTTGTGAGATTGGATTATGTCAGTAAAGACTTAAAACCCTAGTTTATTTTTAGTATTTAGGCCATCTAAATTCACTAGCTGACTTCAAGGAAGGAAAAAAAAATCAGGGTTTATGAGGAGTCTCAGCAGGGAGTGTTTATATCCTACTTAGCACTGTAGGATGCTGTGAGTTGGAAAACATAGGCAGATCCAATTAACAGATTCTGCACTGTGGCAACTGAACGATATTATGCTTTGGACAGCTTTATGTGTGAATGTGAGAACATATTCTTAAGAAATGCTGTAACTTTATCCCATATAACTTCATAAGAATTTCTCTATAGGCTTGGGATTTGCAATAAAAATAGAGATATGTTGGCTTCTTGTTTGTGGAATTTTCTAATAAAATTTATTGAGAATCATTATTTAAGGGGATAACACTGATTTGTTCTTACCTGATTTTGAAGAATGAGAAAGAGCCCATCCGCCTGTGTAGGACAAAGGAATGGAATGTGTTCTTTCACTGCTACTGTCCCTATCCTAATCATTTGGACCCCCAAACAATTGAGGGGCTTGCACTTATATGTGTGACAAATCAACAGAGACTGCTGCATGTGGCCAGCTGCTTTTGGATGAACTGTTGGGCTACTCATCTGACTTTCCTAAGTAATCCATTGTGTTTGAAAGGACTCATTCATAATGGCAGACTATAGATTACTGCAGAAGTGTGAGTTTTCAAAAGGAAATATAATCTACTTATGAGTCCCAGAGTTAAAATTTAACCAATGTTCTCTTCAGAGATTTGTGGAATTTGGATCAGAAACATTACTTCTAGAAACTTATCCTGATATTTCTGACTTTCTTCTTTATACAACATGTTTAGGAACGATGACTCTTAAATTGATATTTGTAGGTCTCTAGAGATTCAGAGCAAATGCCAAAAAAGATTGCACAAGCCAGAGGTATGGAAACCTCAAAAACTGTGTGGTGGCACTCATATCCATTATCTGATCACAAAATCTCCTACCACTACATTTGCTAGTTTTTCTCATTGGCTAACACATATTCAACAATGTTTGCTAATGTTTATTTTAGGGATTGAAATATAGCTATCCCTGCTTTTTTGTTTTATATATCATTATCTTCTCCAAAGGTTGTTAGTGAGGAAATCAAGATGTGTGTGTGTTTGTGTGTGTGTACACACAAATATGCTTGTGTGTATATGTATATGTCTTCTACGTTTTGCCTTGTAAAGGGGTTGAGGATAAAATGAGGGTGCAAGTAGGAAAAAGATTAAAGAATAATTGGAAAATTTGCTGGAGAGTATGGTATACAAAATGGAAGAACAATTTTTCCAGAGTAGTCATCCTTAGTAAATATATCTTGTGAAATTCAAAATGTCAGAGCTTATGCAAATGAAAAAGAACTCTTAATTATTATTTCTGGATCAATCACATTTAGGGTAAAGTATTTCAATGGAAATTCTGTGTGTGTTGGGATAGTCATTTTTTAACTCATATAATTTTGCAGAAAAATAACCTGTATTTAAATTACAAATAAAAATACAACAAAAATTATGAATAAGGCATTTAAATAAGAACAAAAGGGGAAACAATTGCTAGAGGGTAGTTTCTGATGTTGAATTTGGGTATCAGCTTTCTAAAACATTTGCTTTGATGAGAGAAGCTAATGTTTCTAGTGAAAAGTAGTTTAAATTTTATTCTCCAGAACCGCTAGTGCTTTCTGTAGGAGGCATGATAGGGGATGAGTGATTAAGCAAAAGAAGAAGAAAAGTACAGTGAATATATGGATCTTTTTGCCTTCTAAAAAGGTAATTGTATAGTTGACAGGATTTTTCCACACTCAATTGAAACAGGTATCCGTTTTCAAATAATATTACTTTAGATTCTTTGTGATTTGTTTAATTTCAGAATCTTAAAAGTAGGTTGTATTACCTAAGGAATACTCATCTCTCAAAAAATGTTATTTTAAAAACTGTCAGTAATTCTTCCTCAAGTTTTTTTTATTTATTCCAGAACAGGGCTGTGAACCAATTAAAAGTTTAAAGAGCTATCAAAACTGCAATATCCCAAACAGCTCAGATTCAATCTGCAGAAAGTAATTTCTTTGAGGGGAAATAATTGGAAAAATATTTCATATGCTACTGCATGGTTTTCATTGGTTTACCATGTAAATTTCCATAGACATTTTGTAACACAGAGTGGTGTTTTTAATGTGAAAGCAGGAGGGCTTTGTTTGCCAGGTGAATATTTCAGAGCTTGCAAAGCTCTGATAGAAAACAGCTTTAGATTTGGATAGCAGTATGTGTGAAAAGTTATGATGCAATCAGAGAGAGGCTTTCTGTGATAGCACTGATTTATACATAATGTTAGAGATGATCATACAACCTGTTGTTAACAATTGATTCCACGGTTGTCAACTCAGTAATTTTTAAGGAGGTGGGATGATGACATATGATGAGCCTTCTGATTTTGAACAATAAATACTGCTAAATAACCTGGACAAGGGGATTTTTATTTTAATGAAAAAAAAAGTAGAACTGCAACAGTGCTTAAACTCTCTGAGGATGTCAACAAACCAAATTCTACATTGTAGTCTCACCCTGGCCACCCTACTTACGAGTCTCACCATCCACTTGTAGGCATCCTTCCTCTCCTCTACTTTTTCTTTGTGCTATTCACCCTCTAACATTTTCCAAAATTTAGTGAATTTCTCATAGTCACTGTGGTTTTTTTGCAGTCTTTCTTCACTAGAAAGGGCAGGGATCTCTGTTATGTTCACTAATGTATCTCATACTTAGGATGGTGTCCACAACACAGTTGATTCTCAGTAAATATTTTTTGAAATTAAAGTGATTTTTGTACATACGTTGGTAGAGATGAAAATAATAGATAACATTTATTGAGCCATTTCTATGGGCCCGGTACCATGTGCCTTAACAAGGTATAAGTTAAGTCTTTTCTTTTGTTCCATTTTCTCATTTAATCCTCACAAATAACCTTATGAATTGAATTTAAGATGGGGGCTGAGGCTCAGTGAAGTTAAGATCAAATGGCCAGTAGGAAGCAGAATCTGGGATTGAACTCATTTGTCCAACCCTAGAGCTTTTGCTCTTCACCACGAAGTGTACTTCTTTAGATCATATTTCATTCTTTCCAATGCTTGAATTTAAATACCTATGTGTCAATTCTACTTAGATGTCAAGGACTTCCAAATCATAATGAACAATTCTAGCAACAATTGACAAATTTGTCTATGGAAAATTGGCATTCCATGGTAATTGAATTGTACCACTGGCTTTGTTTGCTAGTTCTCAGAGTACAGAATTTTGGCAATTTTACTTGGTGAGCACACACAGAGCCAGAATGTTGTCACCAACTGTTTTGTCTTGGCCAGGAGTGACTCTTCCAAAGACAGAGCTTCAGAAAAATGCAGGCCTGTAATTGCTACTAGAGTCACAGTCCTCTTCTGGGGATATATGTAAGTCTTCTTGTTTGGATGACATAAAATTCTGTAAATTGGCGGAGTGGTCTTTTTTTTTTTTTTCATTTTCACAGTTATTTCGACTAGGTAGTAAAGCCACAAGATTAAAGAATTAGATTTGCTTGGGATCTAAAATAATCTCTGAGTGTAGTGCCAATGTTTGCTGATTTTATGTGATGGGCAATGTAGCATTAAGGGCAAGTAAAAAAGAGAAAATCATTGCTAGTTTCAATATCCATTCACCATCAACAGCTGTTGGCTCTAGATTTTGTTAATATTTACATTGAAAATTGAAACACGGATGTGTTAATTACTTATTAATTTGGTCAGTGTCAAGATCAAAAACCAAGTAATTGATATATCACAATCACTGTAAAACAGAGAATCCAAGTCAGATTCTGAATCAGCTGGTTTTTGATCTTGATCTTGAGTAACTCGAAGACATTACTTTCATTTCTGATGTGCACTCAGCTTTTTACTTTACCAATCTAATTTATTTAATTGACAATGTGTCTATTACACTGACATGTTTAAAAGACTGGCTGATGCATAATCGTAAAAATATGACATATATGCTAATTGGCCATGATTTGGTGTCATAAACTGTGGAATGATATATATTAGAGAATGCTTTGTCCTTTTTGATGAAAAGATACTGATACATTTATAACATCACAACATGTGAAATTAAATAAGCAAGAGGTCATTGGCCTAAGACTGTCTCCGTGCTTTGAGTCTCTAACAAACTGCAATCTAACTTAGTATGTAAACAGACTGAAACCTAACTAGGAGCATATTTTTATAAGAACTAGCTGATTGCAGCCAATCATAAACAGCTGAGCTACAGCCAATCACAACAACGAATTGATCAGACCATGCCCAGATAAGACAGATGCCTCATCATCCCATGCCCAAATAAACCAAATGCTTGGCTGTAGCCAATGAGGTGATTTCTCTGCTTTGCTTCCCTGTTCCACCTGTCAAGGATTGCTGCTCACACTGCTGGGCAGAGATCTTTGAACCACTTCTGGTTCTGAGTGCTGCCCTATTTGTCAATCATTCTTTGCTCGAATAAACTCTTGTTAAATTTAAATTGCCTAAAGTTCTTCTTTTAACAAATACAACTATTTTTCACAGGAATATTTTTGAATATACCATTAAGTTCTTACAAATGACTAATAACTCTCTTATTAAATGAACATAAATTTTTAAAAGTTCTTAATAACATGACTAGCAACTAAGACAAAATTGGTTCCTGTCTAAGAAAGGAATGTATGACAGTTATTTTTAAGAAAGGCTGTAAGTGGCATTATATTACATCTTAATTATTTCATTATGTAACATTTGGATATGTTTTAATAATGGGAGTATATTTATGTAGACTTTATTTACTGTAGTCTGTTATGCCATAATATAGTACCATCAAATGAATTATATTTTAACTTTCACTTATGGCTTTTTCTTTCTATGTATGTATGTGTGTGTGTTTGTGTGTGTTTTTGTGTGTGTGAGACAGAGTCTCGCAATTACTGCAACCTCCGCCTCCCAGGTTCAAGCAATTCTTCTGTCTTGCCTCAGCCTCCAGAGTATCTGGGATTACAGGCATGTGCCACCACACCCAGCTAATTTTCATATTTTCAGTAGAGACGGGGTTGCTCCATGTTGGCCAAGTGGGTCTTGAACTCCGGACCTCAAGTAATCCACACACCTCGGCCTCCCAAAATGCTAGGATTAGAGGTGTGAGCCACTGTGCCCGGCTAATCTGTGTATTCTCTGAAACATACAAATCTCTGGTTGATTTTTAAAATAATTTTTAAAGATTTTTAAATGTGATTGACCTTTTCACTTATAATTATTGATAGTTAAAATACTCAAACTTTTCTATAACAATGTCAATTTCATTCATGTTCAAATTTGCTTTTTTGAGTAGGAAAGATGTATAGTTTTAGATAAGTCATAGGAAATGGCCTAAAATCCTTAGAATGTCCAGGAAATTTGTCATTACTCATGAATGTTAAATAATAATCAGAAGCCATGATCTTACCTATGCAAAATTTGTGTAATTACTCCTTTTGACTGCCCTCTGGGATTTCTCATAGCCGTGTAACTTTCTGGTCAAACACATCGGATATTTTTCTAGAACGTTTTGAGTGTCTTCTGAATATGAAATGAGATGCCTATAAAGTGCCTAATCTAAACTAAAGCAAACTCAGAATTTTAGTACATGGCTGGCAGGTTTAGGGTAGTAGAAATGGCAAGGGCTTGGAAATTGGCAAGGTGTAGGTGTATACTCTAACTTAGCTACTTACTAGCCATGTGACTGAGGGGAAGTAACCTTACCCTCTGTCAGCCTCATTTTCCTTATTTGTAAAAATGAGAATTATAGCACTTATTGTCTTATGTTGTAAAGATGAAGATGAACTGTTGACTTCATTTATTCATTCGATACTATAATTGAGGGCCTACCTTGAGCCCAGCGATGTTCTAGGTTCTTGGGATGGATGTAGAAGGTAAGTTGCTGCCATAAAGCTTCAAGTTTAGTTTATTAAAGTACCTATTACATAAAATCCTAATTGAATATTTTATTCATTCACTGTCTTGTCGAGGCATTCTTTCTTTTCTTCCTGTTTCTTAGACATATGCTTCTTTTTAAGCAATAAGAAATCATCTGTACTGTTTTTTTCTCAACCTCCAGGGGTTGGGGATTCCAACACCTAAGACTCCCTGAAACTCATAGTTCTATTTTGTGGCTTCTTTTTGTACTGTTTTTATCAAAAATAGCCAAAGTAAGCATCTGCATTTGTGTTCTTCCAAAACATCTATTGTTACTAATCTCATTTTAAATTTTGTGTATACTTCCCATAGATACACTTCCCATAATATCTCATAGGTGACCATTAAATGCTAGACATGGTTAGTACTTTATGCCCTAAGAGAAATTGTTTTATTCACATCTGTGTGCCCAATGCTGCTATAGCTTCCCTCAGAATGCAATAAAAAAGTCATGTAAGAAAAGTAAACTTCAATAGGTACATAGGAGAGCCAAACCACTTATCTATTCCACAGGATAAAAAAAATAAAACAATCACACAGAAAACACTAGATCTGAATCTGGTATTCTGAATATGTCAGGAGAGTATATAAATTACATACTGTATAACATGGTTAATTGTTAAGAGATTAGAGAAGTTAAAAGAAGAGAGAAAACTGTAGTTAAATGTAGACTTTCGATATACTTAGATTAACCCTTCTCTTCTCTCTTCCCTTCCCAGCCTCCCCATCTCCCACAGGCTTCCTTGACAAGAACTTTTACTTTTTGTTCTTACTCAATTCATGGCTGTTATGGTAGCCTGAAATTAGTTGAAATAATAATTTTGAACTAACTCTGATAAACATATTTACTTATAAGCCCTATTACACTCAAATCATAACCATATGTTATTGCAAAATCTGACTGACTTGTTACATTGGCAGCAAGAGTGGAATAATATATATCTGAAGCCTGGAGCCATCACAAAAGATTTAGAGCGCCACCCTCACTAAAAAAGTGAGATGCCAAATGATATGAAATTCCAAAGAGAAATTTCACAGAAAGGGTGAGATATGGAGGTTTTGGAAGAACATAAATGCAGACGCTCACTTTG
Source organism: Homo sapiens (assembly GCF_000001405.40). Taxonomy (NCBI): domain Eukaryota; kingdom Metazoa; phylum Chordata; class Mammalia; order Primates; family Hominidae; genus Homo; species Homo sapiens. The sequence goes on along the minus strand of NC_000004.12, from coordinate 156,656,922 downwards.
GCTGTTTTCCATAAAACAATACAAACAATAGCCACAAAATCAAGGTGTGAGTTTCAGGGATACTTAGACGCTGGAACCCCCAACCCCTGGAGTTTGAAGAAAAAAAGACTACAGATGATTTCTCATTACTTGAAAAAGTAACGTATGTCTAAGAAACAGGAAGAAAAGAAAGAATTCCAGGACAAGTCAGTGAATGAATACAATATTGAACTACCTTCTTCAGTGTTTATTTTTTCTTTAAGCTATGGTATTTGAACTAATAGGGATGATATTAATTGAGGGTAAAAATGAGGGAACAAGCAAACTGAATAGATCTAAAATATAATGAGTATTATTTAAAGTTTTGCTTACTGTTATACATATATATATATGGGTTTTTTTCTCTCTTTTACTCACGTGCATGCCTGTACATGTCTGTAGGAGAACCAAGCAATTTTGATTAAAAGAGACTCCAGTAATCACCACTGGCAAAGTTCTTATGGTGGGGAAGGGATGGTCAATGAACTGAATTCATTTGCTCAAGGCCACCCAGCAGAAAATGACAGGGCAGGACTGTGAAATTCTGGACATGCACTCTTGTGCTCTGCTGGCAAAATCATTTTATTTCACATTGTTTACCCTGAGATTCAACCCCCAGACAACTCAAACATCTGATAATTTATCTTTTCTTAGGAAAACATACATTTTATTAAGAATTTTAAAGAAATTAGCATAGAATTGCACCTAACTTTTTAACATTAATCTATCGTTAATGATCTCATTTAAAATTTTGCGTATGCTTCCCATAGTTTTTTTGAGTTGTTTGGCCCCAAGGCTTGTAATATATTCTAATATCCTCAAATTCATTTTATCTTTCTTCACCTTATTTTCTTTTGTCTACTTTAGCCTTTTTCTTAATATTTATTTCATTTATTTTTATCTTTTTTTTTTTTAAGATGAAGAAAGCATTTCAGGGGATTCATTTGCCGCTGACTACAACTTTGATCATCTCCTATACGTTGAAATAAGCATGTTTTCATTGTTACTTTCTAAATAATGTACATTTGGAGTTTTGTTTGCTTCTGATTCAATTCTTCCACAGGACTGAATTGAAGAGAAACAAAAGCAGTTAATGGTTAGAAATATGGGCTATATAATTTATGCTTTATGTAATTTTTTGAGATGTTCTTTATGGACCAATATTTATTCAGGTACTTGTATTTATAAAGACATTTTGAAAAGTTGAAATTACTTACAAAATGTGCATCTTTATAAATGTATTATTTTATTGTTAATATTACTTTGCATTTTTCAACATTATAATATTCTGCGTTTAAAGCTCACTAAATCATGTTTTAAAAGAAATTAACCTGCTTTAATCAATTTACTGCATTTTATACTGTAGCTCTTAGTTTTATAATAATTTTGTCCTCTCCTGCTTTCTTTTCAGTAGTATTTATGTAATAAATAATTTACCACCATTTAATTAATTAATTAGTTAATTATTTGAGACAGAGTCTCACTCTGCTGCCCAGGCTGGAGTGCAGTGGTGCCATGTTGGCTCACCACAACCTCCGCCTCGAAGGTTCAAGTGACTCTCCCGCCTCAGCCTCCCGAGTAGGTGGGACTACAGACACTCGCCACCTTGCCTGGCTAATTTTTGTATTTTTACTAGAGACGGGGTTTCACTTTTTTGGCCAGGCTGGTCTGCAACTCCTGACCCAGTGATCCACCCGCCTCGGCCTCCCAAAGTGCTGAGGTTACAGGCGTGAGCTACCGCGCCTGGTCCATCATTTTATTTTTAACACTTTAGTGTCCTTTTGAATTATGCAACCAGCAGACATCTGCAAAGCAGGACATTGCTATCTAGCAATGCTTTACTTCATCTTATCCAATAATTTAAAAGTTCAAAATTTTGCTATTATATTTTCCCCAAACTCTTATAACCTATGTATTTCTAATTTTCCAATCCAATCTTTTAGAACCCATTTATACCTAGAAAGAAAGCATTTCTATCCCCAAAACCTCCTACTTACAATTTTTTAGTTTTTTGTAATGCTAACGCATTTTAATTTTTTTTTCTTTGAGTGGCGAGGTTAAAACCTGATTAGTAATGGCTCAAATCTCAAACAAATGTTTTGCTTGGCACCCTCCAGTGCTTTTGTTACTAGTTGAATTATCTCTGTATATTTAAAAATTGCAATGTTGTAAACGAATATGTAGATTTCTGGCTTTTCTTGAAATTTGTTGATCTGGCCCACATTGCAAGGTAATGAAGTGTTGGAGTCCAGTAGCTTCCGCCCTCCTTGAATAGTATATTCAGTCATGCGTCACTAAACTGTGGGTATACATCCTGCGGAAAGTGTGGTTAGGCAATTCCACTGTTGTGCAAACATCACAGAGTGTACTTATGCAAACCAACATGGAATAGCCTACACACACTCAGGTTGTATGGTATAGCCTATTCCTCCTAGTCTAAAAACCTGTACAGTCTGTTACTATACTGAATACCATAGGCAATTGTAACACGACAGTAAGTATTTGTATATTTAAACACAGCAGGCCGGGCCTGGTGGCTCACACCTGTAATCCTAGCATTTTGGGAGGCCGAGGCGGGCGGATCACGAGGTCGGGAGATCCAGAGCATCCTGGCTAACACGGTGAAACCCCGTCTCTACTAAAAATACAAAAAATTAGCCAGGCGTGGTGGCGGGCACCTGTAGTCCCAGCTACTCAGGAGGCTGAGGTAGGAGAATGGCGTGAACCTGGGAGGCGGAGATTGCAGTGAGCCCAGATTGCGCCACAGCACTCCAGGCTGGCGACAGAGTGAGATTCCGTCTCAAAAAAAAAAAAAAAAGCAAAGATACAGTAAAAATATGGAATCTTACATGTCCATATCTTACGGGTCCACTGTCACACGTGGTCCATCATTGACCTAAAGGTTGTTACGCTGTGCGTAACTGAATTTGCTCTCTAGTACAGAGTCCTCCCCACCACTCCCTATTCATTAAGCCTGGCCCTCTTTATATATCTGCCTTATTTCTCAGGCCCTGTGATCACTTGAAATTGTGATCATTAATCTAGAGACTTTCACCTATATTATTATTATTTATATGATATATGTTATTTTTAGATAAAGTTTCATGATTTCCTACATATTTACACATGTCATTGAACTAATTTAACATTTACTGTAAGTCTTATTACATGATGAACTATCTTTTAAAAATTATGTTTGATCAATTTTTAGCTGTTAAAATGGTTTTCTATTAATTTTTGTAAGCAACATACGTTAGCGTAATCTCTTTTGAGCTCTTGCGTATTTGTAAATATCTTCTTTTTCTTGTGGGCTGTACACATAACAACCACTTGGTAGGATATCCAAGTTGTGGGGTTTTTTTGTTTGTTTTACCATTTGAAAGAAGTGTTACCTGATTTTTATTAAATTTAAAAATGTTTGGGTGACTTTAGTATATTTTCTTTATCATTCTAACTTCATTTTTTCTTTTGGGTATGCTAAGATATAAGTCTCTATAATTTTTATGCTCAAAGATTATTGAGCGTTTTTGATCTATAGGTTGGTCATTTATTTAGGGTAGGAACTTTTTCTTTCATAAATCTTTCATTATTCCTTCTGTTTTAGACATTGTGGTTTCTTTCACAGTAACCTCTACTATTGTCTGGTTGTATTCTTATTGCATGTCTTTCAAAATTATATATTCTTATGTAATGTTTTCCTTTCTTTACACCAATTTTCCTCTGCGTTATTAGGAAATTTATCTAGCTGGTTCTCTAAATTAGGATTTTATTTTTATTCTTTGTCAATTTTAATTTTTATCACCTCTAATATATATTTTATTATTGCTACTATGATTTTTCTTCACTAACTCATCTTATTTTAAAAATTATTTTCTTCAGCCTAAAAAAGGTGGTATAATCAATATACCAAAAATTGTACCTCATTAAGGTATACAATGGACATACCTGTAACACAAGTAACTATCACCACAAAGTAATACACATATCTATCACCTTCAAAAGTTTCCTTGCATTCTCTTTTTTGCAGTAAAAACACTTAACATGAGATCTACAGTCTTAACAAAATTTTAAGTGAGCTATACCTTACTGTTAACTGTGGGCGCTATGTTGTAACAGCAGATCTTTGAGACTCATTCATCTTGTAGAATGGTAACTTTATTCCTCTTGAACAACCATTCCTCATCGCCACCTCTCTCATGCCCTGGTAATCACCATTCTGTTGTCTACTTCTATATAGCAATATTTTCAATGTCACATATAAGAGGAAACAAGCAGTATGTGTTCTTCTGTGGCTGACATTGCACTTAGCATTGTGTCTTCCAGGTTCATTCGTGTTGTCACCAATGGTAGGATTTTCTTCTCTTTTTTAGGGCTGAATAATATTCCATTGAATGTACTTACCACTTTTAAAAAAACTACTCATATGTCTTTGGACATTTGGGTTGTTTGACATCTTGGCTATTATGAATACCTGCTGCCATGGACATGAGAGTGCTGCTATGTCTTCAGGTTCCTAAGTTCAATTATTTCAGATATATACCAAGAAGTGGAATTGTTGGATCATATGGTAATTCTATGTTTAAATTTTTAAGGAACCTCCATACTCTTTTCTATGGTGGCTGCATCATTTCAGATTCTCACTAACAGTGTACAAGAATTTCCTTTTCTCCACATCATCATCAACACTTGTTATTTGTGTCTGTATTTATGTGGGTATGTGTGTTTTGATGGTGTCCATCCTAATAGGTGAAAGGTAATATCTCATTGTGGTTTCAATTTGCATTTCCCTGGTGATTAGTAATGTTAAACATTTTATTTTTGTTTTAAATTGTTTAAAATTTTACTTTAAGTTCCGGAATATGTGTGCAGAATGTGCAGATTTGTTACATAGGAATACGTGTGTCATGGTGGTTTGCTGCACCTATTAACCCTTCCTCTAGGCTCTCTCCCCTTGTCCCCCACCCCACAACAGGTGATGGTGTGTGTTGTTCCCCTACCTGTGTCCATGTGTTCTCATTGTTCAACTCCCATTTATGAGCGAGAACTTGTGGTGTTTGGTTTTCTCTTCCTAGGTTACTTTGCTGAAGATAAGAGCTTTCAGCTTCATCCATGTCGCTACAAAGGACATAATCTCATTCCTTTTTATGGCTGCATAGTATTCCGTGGTGTATATGTGCCACATTTTCTTTATCCAGTCTATCATTTATAGGCATTTGGGTTGGTTCCATGTCTTTGCTATTGTAAATAGTGCTGCAATAAACATACGAGTGCATATGTCTTTATAGTAGAATGATTTATATTCCTTTGGGCATATACCCAATAATGGGATTTCTGGGTCAAACGGTATTTCTGGTTCTAGGTCCCTGAGGAATCGCCACACTGTCTTCCACAATGGTTGAAGTAATTTACATTCCCACCAACAGTGTAACAGGGTTCCTATTTCTTCACAGCCTCGCAAGCATCTATTATTTCTTGACTTTTTAATAATCACCACTCTGAATGGCGTGATGTGCAGTTTCTACATAGTGTCATTGGTCTTTATATTGTGGTGTGTTTTTACAGTGGCTGGTACTGGTTTTTTTTTTCCATATTTAGTGCTTCCTTCAAGAGCTCTTTTAAGGCAGGCCAGGTGGAGATAAAATCCCTCAGCCTTTGCTTGTCTGGGAAGGATTTTATTTTTCCTTCCCTTATGAAGCTTAGTTTTGCTGGATATGAAAAATTCTTTTCTATAAGAATGTTAAATATTGGCACCCACTCTCGTCTGACTTGTAGGGTTTCTGCTGAGAGGTCCGTTATTATTCTGATGGGCTTCCCTTTGTAGGTGACCTGGCCTTTCTCTCTGGCTGCCCTTAACATATTTTCCTTCATTTCAACCTTGGAGAATCTGATGATTATGTATCTTGGGGTTGATCTTCTCATGGAAAATCTTAGTGATGTTCTCTGTATTTCCTGAATTTTAATGTTGGCCTGCCTTGCTAGGTTGGGGAACTTGTGGATAATATCCTGAAGTGTGTTTTCCAGCTTTTCTCCATTCTCCTCTTCTCCTTCGGGTACTCTCATCAATCGTAGGTTTGATCTTTTTATGCAGTCCCATATTTCTCAGAGGCTTTGTTTGTTGCTTTTCATTATTTTTTTCTCTAATCTTGTCTGCATGCCTTATTTCAGCTAGGTGGTCTTTAAACTCTGATATCCTTTCTTCCTCTTGGTTGATTCCACTATTGCTACTTGTGTATGCTTCACAAAGTTCTCATGCTGTGTTTTCCAGCTCCTTCAGGTCATTTATGTTTCTCTCTAAACTGGCTATTCTAGTTATGCGCTCCTCTAACATTTTATCAAGGTTCTTAGCTTATTTGCATTGGATCAGAACATGCTCCTTTAGCTCAGACAGTTTGTTATTAACCATCTTTGGAAGCTTACTTCTGTCAATTCGTCCATTTCATCCTCATCCAGATCTGCACCCTTGCTGGAGGGGCATTGCATTCGTTTTGAGAAGAGGCACTCTGGCCCTTGGGGTTTTCAGCATTTTTTTGTTGATTCTTTCTCATCTTTATGAGTTGTCTAGTTTAGATCTTTGAGGCTGCTGATACTTGGATGGGGTTTTTGTGGGGACTTTGTTGTTAGTGCTGTGAACATCTCTTCATTTTCTTGACCATTTGTATGTTTTCATTGCAGAAGTATATATTTAAGTGTCTTTCCCATTTTTAATAGGGTGATTTCATTTTCTTTTGCTTTCGAGTTGTGGGAGTTCATGATATCTTTTGGATATTAATCCCTTACTAGATATATGGTTTCCAAATATTATCTCCCATTCTGGAAGTTGCATTTTCACTCTGTTGATTGTTTTCTTTGCTGTGCAGAAGGTATTTATTTTGATATAGTCTCATTTGTCTATTTTTTATTTTGTTGTCTGTGCTTTTGATGTCTATCCAAGAAGTAATTTCCAAGACCATCTCATAAAGCTACACTCCCACATGTTCTCTTCTAGGATTTTTACTATTTCAAATTTTATGTTTAAATCTTTAATACATGTTAACTTGGTTCCTGTGTGTGGTGTGAAATAAGGATTCACTTCTGTTCTTTGATGTGTATACACAGCTTTCTGAAAGCTTCTTATAGAAGAGGCTATCTTTTCCCCATTGTGTATTCTTGCCACCCTTGTGAGCAATCAGTTGATCACACATGCATAGGTTTATTTCTAGACTTTATTCTGTTCCATTAGTCCATATATCTATTTTATATCAGTACCATACTGGTTTCATTACTGTAGGTTTGTAATATGTTTTTAAATCAGAAAGTGTAATGCCTCTAGCCAATCTATCTCACTTTTAAAAACTTTGGACCTTTTAAAATATGAATCTTTTAAAGGCTTTTGCACTTGTTTTACATGAAATTCTTCTCAGTCTTTTTGAGTTTTTCTGCAAATGCCATACTTTTTGAACAATTATTCTGGCTGCTTGGTGACTTGCACAAGTATTTAGCCTACAGAATGAGCTTTCCTTTTCCCTGTTCTGCAATGTTTTCTAAGACCCTTTAGTTTTCTTTCTTTTTTTTTTAATTCTTATTTGAAATAGTAGAGATGTCTGCAGGTCTGGTGTTTCTTATAAACACGCCATGTTGACTGCCCCATCCTTAATTCACTGATATCATATAGATTTTTCTAGCACAACTAAATCAACTAAGTCATTGTACTATCTGATATTAGTATGCACAACTCCTAGCCCAATTCTGAATAAAATCTTATCTTTAGAATAAATATTAGATTGCAAAGCAATGGGATATATAAAAATTACATCCACTTCTTAAAAATTTATTGAGAATTTTCATACCATCTACAAATCTTAGCTTGGAGGGTTACATTTTCTAAAATGTCATAAAATCACTCCAATCTTTTTTTTAAACACATTGTATTCTCTTCCTGTTTACTTTCTTTCTTTAGGCTTTATTTTCCAAAAGAATGAAAGAAGTATGAGTGTGTGTGTGTTGAGGTGTTGGGGTGGAAGGTAGGATTAGATTTAGATTAAGAAAGAGGGTGCTTTGGATCAATTGAATGCACCATCTGTTAAGTAGTGGGGTAACTGGTTTTCTTGTTGGTATGTATCTTGCGCAGCTGACCCAGTGGACAGAGATGAAAAGGAAGTTACCAGGTCTTTCCATTTTTCTTTCAGTGGGCAGGTTCTCCACACTTAGACCATCAATTGTACTTTTTGATTTAATCCAATCTGCTTTGTTGTATATAGAATCTCTTCTGAATTGACTTTCCTAGTTTTCAGTTTGGGTTTTATCATTTTTCTGGCTTTCTTAGGCAGTGTGTAGGAAAGTTGTGTGAAATGGCCTTAGGGATAGCTATCCTGATATTTTCTAATTTGATGTTTTGTTTTATTATTTTAATTTGGAAAAGACACTTTTAACAAGCTTGACAACTTTGTTAATCATCCAAACTAGTAACAGGAAGGCCAATGAAAGGAGGTGTAGGGAGTTTGGCCGGGAGCAGACAGAGTGACAGTAATGAAAATTTTGATGTTACAGCAAGATAAATAATTATAAGTAGCAGTAGAAAATGTAAAAGCACATTGAAAATTATATCCAGAGATCTAAATAGGTTTTATAATCAATCTATCATTAACAATATTTTAAACTCTATTAAAAATTATTTCAAATGTGATAATGTGACTAACAGTTTGGTTATAGAAAGATAAACATTTGAAAATTCCTTTTTTAAGAAAATTAATTTTTAAAAAATGTTGTAGATACACAGTAGGTGTATCTATTTAAGGGGTACCTGAGATGTTTTGATACAGGCATGCAATGTGAAATAAGCACATCATGAAGAATGGGGTATCCATCCCCTTAAACATTTATCTTTTGAGTTACAAACAATCCAATTACATTCTTTAAGTTATTTCAAAATTTAATACTTCATGGGGCTTCATTTTATCATCTAAAATATTCACAAAAGAATATCCAATTCCTGTATATTTTTTACTGTATTAGATATTATCATGTATATGTGTATATACATGCACTATCCATGCACACACACACACACACACACACACATATATTTACATATATATATATACACATATTTGCCTTTGACTATTTCTTGTTGCACTTTAATTTAGAAGTGAATATGACTGGTATTAAGATCCATGAGTATAGGTAAAAACATGACACCCCACAACAAAATGGGGAAACATATGATAGGGTTTGTATTTGATATTTTCCTCTACCATCTGGAAAGTATGCTGAAATTTTTCTTTTTGGGATTTCCAGACAGTCTGACTAGTCTGACATCTTTGTTCAAAAAAGATAAAAAGTTCCCTTAAAGCTATGTGGAGCTGTCTCGGCAGTTGCTGTAGTTTCCATCCACCTACTTTTTTGCTTCGTTGTTTAAGGCTATGTCCCAGTGACTCTGAAAGTTATAACCTGCCTTATTTCAACTTGCTTAACAAAAGCTTTCAGGGCATCTTGCTTTCATCTACACCATGCACATGGTCACATTTTTTAATGGAAATTCCAGGGCTGAACACTGCCATGGCATTCTTTTACCTCAGTACTTGGACGGCAATGCAGAGAATGGAATACCAAGGTTACAACATAATTGTGGAAAGCTTCATACAGAGTTTTGAACCGATGTCTATGAACCAATGTGATATCAACATCCAGATCAAAGTCTGTCTTAAGTCTCACATGGTCTGAAGAGATTTTCCACCAAGTACAATGAAAATCCATAATGGGAAGAATATATTTTTGTATTTGCAAGTTGTGTGTGTGTGTGAGAGAGAGACTTCATATATATGCATCTGTGTGTATGTTTGAAGTGAGAGAGGAAGGGAAAGGGAGACAGAGATAGAGAGAGATGTGTGCCTGGATGGACTGAGAAGTGTCACCACAGCTTTGAAATAATAATTGGACAATTTAACAGTACACAGAATTTGCAAAGCACTGAGAAGTTTTGGCATTTGATATTAATTGAAGTTACAAATATGATCATCTGTTCTGTTGAAATGTTTTAGCTATGTTGTCTCATAGTAAATTCTTAATACTGCATTCCAATGCTATGTAATGGTGGAACATCATTCTCAGCATCATTTGATGATGCTCCAGCTTTAAACTATTAATACTTTAGCCCGCAGCATCCTTGAATCCAAGCTCAACATATGTGCTTAACATACAAATTTATTGATGGGTAGTATTTATTTAAAAATTACAATCTAAGATCCTAAATATTTCATGCCAGATTTTATAGTTATTTAGAAAAAAATGGGCAAGATTTTACCTGATGTCAAATATCTAAAAGCTCTGACTCTTTGTCAGGAATTCATTATCTTTAGAGAAGAGGTAGGCTCCAAATGAATAAATATAGTCTAAACTATGTCAGGTTCAAAGAGGCTGTCAGAGTAGTTTTGTGTGAGGTAATTCCAAGATTCTGCCTAATTTATAACATAATAAGTAAAGATAATCTTTCACCAGGGGTATGAGATGGAAGTTGAAGAACTGTATTTTGGAAAAATAATATGTACCCTCCATATTTCTTTTCCTTTTTCCTTGATTTACTTCAACAATAATGATATGATGTATTTACTGAGAATGATTTTTTTATAGCAATGCTTTAGAAATGAACTGGAAACCAACTTCTCAGAAAATTTGTCCCTATGACTACAATGCAGATGAGAAGTATGTGTGTATTTTGGTTCTTTGACTCTTGATTCGTTTCTCAAGTGTTCTTTGAAAAGCGATAAATTCACTTATATTTTCAGAGAGCAGCAAACCTTGGAATTAAATCATCATGGAAATAAAATAAAAAGCAAAAGAAGATGAGCCATCCTTAAGGGGATTCTGGAAGGGTCCTTTGGTAAAATGATTTTTTCAATATCCCAGTGACATTACCAGCAATCTCACTCAATGGAAAATAATTGTAGTATCAAATTTTCTCAAGGAATGAAAACATCTCTAATATAGTGAACAGGTCATTCAGTCCACAGAGGTGGCATCGGAAAATGGCCCTTCTTTTCCTTTTGTGAGCTTCCCCTTTCCTAAATGGTAGTTTCTCAATCACAACACCTAGTTGCTTGCCACAGAAATGGAAATTGATCTCTGCTAACTAATCACTGATCCCATCTCACTGGCTTTGGTGATTGTCCAGTTTTGCCATATAATCCAGGCAGAGCCAATCAAGGCATTTTTGGGGGAAATTATATGTATACCAGGGGAGAAAGGATCTCCATTCCTCTGAGATTGCAAATACTAAGTATCACGTAAAGCTACAGCATTCCAGAGCTATTTTGATTGTTCATGGATGGAACGTGGCTAAAAATAAATGATTTGAGTGAAAAACAGAGGAGTGAGAGATTCTTAATGACATTCTTCACAATTCTGGATCTAGTTGTGACTAAAGGTTATACAATTACTTTGATTTCCTAATTAAAGCAGCCAATAAATTATCCTTTTGCTTAAAAAGAAAACACTGGTTTTTCCACTTAAAAAGAAACCACTGTTTACCAATATAGATATTTTATTCCAAATTTCTAGCTACATGCTGGCTCAGATTCAAAGAGTATAGATTATTGGAAAGATAAAAAGAATCAGAGGGAGTTTATTTTGGAGCATACATTATTGTCAGGGAGCATATTTCTAAGAGGTCATTGAATTGGGAAGATTTAAAGAGACCAGGGTAAGGCCGGGCGGGGTGGCTCATGCCTGTAATCCTAGCACTTTGGGAGGCCGAGGTGGGCAGATCACGAGGTCAGGAGATTGAGACCATCCTGGCTGAAATGGTGAAACCCCCTCTCTACTAAAAATACAAAAAAAAAAAAAGAAAAAATTTAGCCAGGCGTGGTGGCGGGCGCCTGTAGTCCCAGCTACTCTGGAGGCTGAGACAGGAGAACGGTGGGAACCCCGGAGGCGGAGCTTGCAGTGAGCCTAGATCGCGCCACTGCACTCCAGCCTAGGCGACAGAGCGAGACTCCGTCTCAAAAAATAATAATAATAATAAAATAAAAAAAGAGACCAGGGTAGAATGTAGAGACACTTATTGGATTTGGGGTGCGAGAAGGCAGAGGAGATGTGAAGAAAGAGTGAACGGCATGAAAATCAATCATTGCTATTACTAATATGTTGCTAGTAAGAGCTCCAAGGAAATTCTGTTCAGCTTTCACTACATTTTAGATACTTCTCAAATAGTAAATAATGAGTCTTCAGAGCTTGTTCACTTACATTTCTAAACTTTGGATTTTGGCAATAGAAAAATCAGGAGTTAAAGGAATCTGGGCTATAACACTGTACTCCAGAATTTTTGTTGTTTTATCTTCTCTTTCAAACTTAAACCGTGTTGACAAAGTAATTGGGTAAACTCCATTGGCTTTCCTGTTTAATAAAACGAAGGCTGTAGTGTTGCAATCAAGCCATACTAATAGGTTTCTTACATTTGAAGGTATATTTAAATGATAAAAATCCTTTAACAGAAGGTATTGTCTGTACTTTCTACATACTTTACATATAACCTAATCTTAGCAATGAGGGGATTTAATGTTACATTCATACAAATAGTCGCCTTTATCATATAATAAATATTCTGAAGTCAATTTTAAATTGGTGGCATCAGCTAAAGATAAACTACTTAGTTTCTTCTGCCCAAAATAATTTGGAGAAAATTATAATAGTTTTTTCTGTAATTATAATAAATTCAAATTAAAGGTTGTAGTTGTCCAAAATTGACCCTTTGTCACTATGCTCTATGTGTGGTGTCTCTAACTGGCTAGATGTTGAGCAGAATACAGAACTTAGAGTACTGACAAATGGTCTAACCAAAGTAAGGGCTGAGATTCCATAGGGAGTATTAACATTTATGGGAAAACTGACTGTGAGGGAGTGGAAGATAATTAAACCAGGGCTAATAGCAACAGACTTGAATTTCAGAGGGCCACCTGGATATCTTGTTCTCAGTCACTTTCTCTCATGTTTCATTTTCCTCATTTGAACAGGTCAACAGTCATTAAAATTTTTCATAACATCTGAAGCAAATCATTGCATTCATTTCTTTGTAAGGTTTAAAAATCCACATATTTTATTGTTAGCATTCAAAACATTTACTTTTCACCTTTTTTTTCTTTTTCTTGATTTTTTATAAAGTTGAAATAGTCTGGGAATCATTAAGTGCCAAATGCTTTCATCAGGCCCATAAACAATGGAAGATTCCATAGAAAATGCAGTTACTTCTTGGGAAGTTTCAACAAAACACATTTTCACTCATTTAAAGCTCAGGAAAATAAATCTTGAGGTCCTTTATGAAAGGTACACTTTAGACCCTAACGAAGCTGACACAGTACTGGATTTCACAGAAAAGGATTACAAAAGCTGTGTTACAGGCTCAGTAAATTCTGGAGGTTGTTGGAAGAGTTGACATGCATCTCAGTATTTGAGCAATTCCTTTTTGTCTCACTATCTTTGACCTAGGAGGTTAGATAAAATATGAGAACAGAAAATAAGCTTTTAAGAAACTATCTAGTTTTAATCAAACAGAAGAACCATTGAGGTCAGGTTATTAACCAAGATAAAGGCCAAACTGTTATGCCCTCGTTTCTCAATATCTTACAACTGTAGACTTATTTTTCTTTCCCTAAAACATATTTCTATCATATATTTATATTTGTGACATTTTCTATAATGCGATAATTCCTTGGGTTTTAATATGCAAACTAATACTCTTTAAAAAATTACCTGATATGTATAACTTAATTATTGGTACAATTAAGCAGTAACTGTAAAATTAGTGAGTAAATACCATTAAACCAGTTATTACAAGTATATATGCTAATATGACAGACAGCAGAGAACTGTACCCTGAAAATGGACTCTCCTCAACATTCCCTTCTAGCTACTTGAAAAAGGAAGGTCTACTGAATCCCTACTAGTAGACTCCATTGATCTCCATTGATTCACAAGAATAATAGTGTGAAACTAATGAAAACATGATGGCATGCAGCACAGACGGAAGGCTAGTAATTTTCACAGTATTATAGTCCAAATCCACCTGTCTCAAAACAACTCGTTAAAGTGTTAGCTCTCTTGTCATCATTTCAAACCACTCAATTTGATGTCTCTAGTAGTGTGTGCCAGGAATCTGCACTTAACAAGTTGCCTCATATCATTCTGATCACTTTTAAGGCTTAAAAGCTACTGCTATGTGTTGGGATGGGTGATCAAGTTTGGCTGGAACTTGCCATGTCTTTAAGCTGAGGAGCGAGTGGATCAGAGAGCAGCTGACCTCACAGAGCCATGGTTCAGTGACTCATTCAGACATGTCCTTGAGTAGTTGTTCTGGATTTCCTCGATGGTAGCAAGGTGAACTCATGAGGTGCTGGTCCAGAAAAGAACACGAGTGACTATGCCCATTGTCACTGCTCAGAAGTGTTCTGGAATCTTGTTTCCCGCCCTGAAATAAGTTGATGGCAGTTATGGCATGGGCTGATCTACCCAGTCAGCAAGGCCAGATTGCAGAGAAACTCAGAGTCTAGGAAAATGAATGTCTAGGAACATTCCTCAAATAGTCCTACCAGAAGACACAAAGATGATGCATCCGGATGAAGAATATATCACTGAGATTAATGGCCCTGGGTTGCAGCCAAAAGCATCTCAGAGGTTAGTTGAGGACAAAAAGAAGTGTGTCTTTCAATCCATCTCCAGCAGACTAGACACTTGAAGCAAGAAGTGTTCACAGAAGTGATAGGGCATTGAACTAATGCTTGAATTTAATTTAGCCTGTAGCTATTTATTAAATATGTCTAGCCTTTCTCAGGCAAAGAATTGGTGTCAAGGGCAATGAAAGTTAAAGTCAAATTAATCAAAACGCAAGTGAAGAAATTTCACGAAATATATATGGCATTGTGTGTTGGGTGGGGAGCAGAGGGGCAGAGGTCTCAGGGGAATTTGGGCTTGTAGAGGGAGTAGAGGTTGGCAAAAGGGTCCCTACCTTGTAAGATAGGTCTCTTCTAATAATTTGCCAGAACTTGAAACTGTGTATTGGAATAACTTTCATACTTGAGAATCTACTGCAGGTAAACTGGTCATTGCTTGACTTTATTATTACTAATTTTTATGGTATATATCTACTTCACTGGTTGATGATTCCATTCTTGGCTATAGAGAGATTTGGTTCTGCTTTTCTAATGTGTCAACTGCAGATGAAGTGCTTGCCAAATATTTAATAATGGGTTATAAAGTCATTTATGTTGGAGATTATTACTGCCACAGTCTAGGAAATGGAAATTCAATGAAATACAAATGACTCTACTGTCTCAATACAATGCCAGACTTGAATGAGATAATTTATGAACAAGAAAATGGCTATATTAAAAAGCATTATTAGATGAGAATGATGTCCACACAGTAGCTGACACATACTCTGCAATATCAATAAGAAGGAATTTTTCCACTAAACGGGATTTGTAACTGGACCTGCGTCTGGAGTTTGTTGTATTAAGTAAAGACAATAAATATTTCCTGCCTCCTTCCTTCCATCCTTCCCCTTCCTTCCTTCCCATCTTTTTTTCCTAACCCCCTTCCTTTCTTTCTTCTTGAGTCCTAGTTTTCTTGTAGATGACTCTGTTTTATGGTTCTAAATGTGGTGGGAGATAAGAAAGCATTGCAACAGGAGTCCAGGGACCAGGCGTCTTTTGGCTAAAAATCACCTGTATGATGGGATTGAGTAATCTAATCTCTTCAGGCTTGAGTCGATTTACTCATAAGAGGAGCAAGATTTGAATGACTATTCCATGAAATTAAACAAGAACTTGCTGAGTAGTGGGATGAAAAATGGAAAAGGCAGAGGGCTTATTTCAAGGAAGCTTCTGTTTGTTAGAAGAGGTGAAACTAAAAATAAATGTAGCTCACATGTCTCTTGAGGCCATCCTATCTTTTGGAAATGAAATTAAATGGATTCGATGGCCTTATATATTATCCCATGAAAAATATCTTGCCTTGCATATTTTTGAAAATTCCTGGAAGTTATATGTCAACATTGTCAGTTTTGGCTTAGGCGTTGGGTGTTTCTATTCCCACTGAACACTTGATTTAACTTAAATATAATTTTCTGTGTCTATTATCTTTCATCTGTACTAGGCCTAGACATAGAACTCAACCCGCTTCTTCTGAGAGAGGCAGCAGGGCATAGAGGTTGTTTGATGACAGTCTTTGTGCTTAGGATTGAATTCTCACTCTGACAGTACCTGTATAAGCTGGGCAAGCAGTCTATCCTCAGTTTACTCCCTTGTAAAATGGGCTAAAAATTTTTCTTATTCATACAGTGTTTTGTGAAAGCAAATGTGATCATTTAGACAAATACCTTCCATAAAGTGTGGTATAACGTAAATATTCAATACACTGTTATCATTCTTTAAAGTCACATATACTGGTACTTGTGCATATAGCATATGCCGTAGAGGCCTAAGAGTGCTGAGGACAGTTTATTGCATTGCAGCAACATAAACCATTGACCATTAGATAGAATTGTTTGCTAAGAGCACATCTGTTGATTTTTTTAACCATACCACAGAAGTAAATTGCAATACATGGCAATAGATGCAGTACTACAAGGCTCAAAAACCAGGGGGTTAGGGATTCACTTTGTCTTGGGAAAAGGGGCAATGGAAGGCTTCAGGAGAAGGTGATAATTGGCAGATGAATAGGGGTTTATCAAGTCAGTAAATTACAGAGGGCATTACAAGTTGAGATAAAGAAATGCACAAACCCTCTAATTTGGCATTCAAGGCATCATTTCACAGAATGTTTATTAGACATCTAACATGAAAAATATTGCTTTGGGAGCTGGAGTTACAGGAGAAGATAAAACTGTCAAAAAGACTGTAAGGATGCAACGTGTTATGAGAATAGATGTCAGGTCCTTTGGGTGTATATAGCAGGAAGCCTTAACCTGGTCTGAAATTGGGTTTCCTTGAGTATGTCATATTGAAGTTAACACAGCCAATGCCTCAGTCAATGCTATCAGTCCTACTTTTTGACAGAAATCTGCAGAATCCTGCACTGTCTTATCACCATCACTACCATCACATTGCTCCAAGAGACCATTGTCTTTTACATAGTCTACTGCACAGACTCGTAACTGCTCTCTCTGCTTCTCCCCTCCCCTCTTACAATCCATTCTCAACACGGGCACTCCAGTGATCCTGGTGAAACCTAGTGTTAGTCTATGCACTTCTTAGCTCAAAACCCTCTGATGACTCCTATTTTGCTCAGGGTAGAGTGGGAGCCCCCCCATAGACCATCTGATCCTGTTACTTATCAGTAGCCCCTGACCCTTTCTCCCTTGCTTATTGGCCCTAGCCATGCTAGCGTCCTGCTAATCCTCAAACACATCAAGCATGCTCCTTCCTCAGAATCTTTGTGATTGCTGTTCTCTCAGCCTAGAATGCTTTTCCCCCAGATATGAGTATGACTCACCCTATAATTTCCTTCAGATTCTTTCTCTAATGCCACTTTCAAAAACTACACAGCAACTACACAGTAAAAAAAAAAACCATCTCTGCCATCTCAGTATCCCATTTCCCCTCACCTTGAATTAGTGCTGCCCATGGTACTTATTCCATCTGACATACTTCATACTATTTGTTTATTTATTCGTTGCCTCTCTTCCCTTCCTAGAATGTGAGCCCAATGAGCTCGCTGATGTAACACCTGTGTCTAGAATAGTGTTGGGTACATAGCAGGTTCTTTGTAAGTGGTTGCTGAGGGAATGAATGAACATATGAGATGTGTTTGATAAAGAGGCTTGTGACAAGTGAGGTGGAGGGCTGGTTGGGGCAGGCTTCCAGCAGAGGGAACAGCAAATTCATTGGCTTTGAGCCGGAAAATGCAGCAAGTTGGAATGCATACAAGACATGCAATGTGGATGGAGTACAGAAAGCAGAGGAAACTGGAACTAGAAAATTTTTTCCCCTCTATAATCCTACTGTGATGATTAAAAATAAGATTCATTTATTATATTTTAGACTTTGTGGTGGAAAGTGGAAGGTACCTCAGGAATATAAAATGACTAGATTATAGCTGTACAATAAAATATTTTGTCTGTCAAGAATGTTTGCCTTACTGTTCTGAAGTTGTAGATTTGATAAGCTTTCTGGAATTATTTGATGTTTTCATTTGATTAAAAAAACTTGGGGACAAATCTATTCGGATGCTAAAAAAGAAAATATGGTTTTTCTTAATCTGCATTTTTTCTGTCCAATTTTAGAGACTGCCCTTTCTTTTCATTTTGCATTAAATATTCAGCAAGGCATTTTTGAAATGCTTTAAATTTTTGTCCTCTCTTTCCTTGGCTGTGACGTTCTTGCCTTGGCTGTGAGGTTCTTTCCTTGGCTGTTTTTTTTTAAGCAATCCGACAAGTTTTCTTCTGACTGATAGCCCTGGTGGCTGAGTGATGAGTGCATCTCATCTGGTTTGGGGACCAGTATACAAAGCCGTGCCTGAGGATCATGGAACATGGGCTGGCTGCTGCCATCCACAATATGAAATGAAAAGTTCACTTTAGAAAAATACACGTGGTGAAAGAAAATGTTCTTTTTACTTCAACATGGGAATAAAACATAAAATAAAATACATTCCCCCAAATGAGAACTCTGCTGAAATGGCTGATGTAGGGGAAAAAGAAATGCATAAATTTGCTTCTGAAGCTTGAGAGTGTTGCTAGAAGAATGTTGAAAACTTTGGAGTTCCATCGTATTATTTCTTGTAAAAAT
Organism: Homo sapiens; assembly: GCF_000001405.40. Classification (NCBI taxonomy): domain Eukaryota; kingdom Metazoa; phylum Chordata; class Mammalia; order Primates; family Hominidae; genus Homo; species Homo sapiens. Next base: position 156,638,152 of record NC_000004.12, on the reverse strand, counting down.
GTTTATTGATTTTCTTACTGAAGCTTAGATCATGTCTACATGAAGCAGAAAATTTACTTTGACTTGGAGTTTCTTACAGTCTAGCCAAGAAGAGTTGGAAGACACAAAAAATTGAACATTAAGTCCTAATTTGTGTAATTGTATCACTGAAGCCTGCTGGGGCCTTACTAGCATGGCTGCTGCTGTAGCGGCTGCTGGTGGGGAGGTATCAGTAAAAGAGAATGTGGCTGGAGGAACAAGGGTGGGGTAAGTCACCTGTCATTTGGCTTTAGAGAGGGGGTTGAATTTTTGCTTAATGTGCCTTAACTCAAGGATGTGGGAGAACCTGATCTTTCATCTGACAGATTTGCCATGATAAGAGATCAAGAATTGCATATGGGATGCCTTATCAGATTTTATCGGATTTGTAGACTATTAGGTCGAGTTTGCAGCTGTGAAATTCATTTATTTGGTGAATAATGCCTGTCCACAGTACTGAGGGCATAGTTCTGGATAAGTCAGCCAGGGCTTGGGATGAGCTCTAAGACTAGCAGGGAATAGTATTGTAAAGCAGGAAAATCAATTTGGTGCTGAGCACCAGGGTGGAGGTGGTTTATATAAACTGCAAGATTATGGGAGTATGAAAAACTAATATTTGAGAAAATGGGCCATCATTGAATGTGAATGTCATAATCAGATCTCTGTTTTGTTTATTTTTCTTTCAAGCAATTCAAGTACAGGTAACTCAGACAGTACAGAGAGGTACAGAATGAAAAGCAAATGTCATATAAATTTGTTCCACTCTTTAGAAGTAATGATTTCACATTTCTCTTCTTCCATAACAAAGGTTTAAGAAACACCTTCTAAAGCTGCTTAATATAGAGACTTAAGTGTTGCATATAAAGTTTAAAAATAGCCAAGAGAAAAATCGTAATATCATGATATTAGCAACAAAATGTAGCTGGCTGTGGGAGAAAAGTGTCTGTTACCTTTCACAGCAGTAAGTCAGTAGAAAAAATTTGGAGTTCACTGACTAATATTTAGAGATAAAATGGAACTGTGTGGGAAGATCAAAGTCACAAACTAAAACACTACAAGTAAAAATGTTTTCAGATGGCTAATGTGTTTGGAAATCAGGGTGGAGAATGGATTGTGGAAAGGAAAAGGAATCCCAAAACAGGGAGTTAATTTTGAGGCAGTACCACCAAGGCAAGTTGAAAATGGAGAGACCCTGGCCTGGGTAGTGTAATGTGGACCCAGAGGTGGAGAAAGGCAATGGCGAAATCATGGAAGTAAAATTTCATGGAAGTATTGGAAGCAGAAAAACCACAGCATTGAGATGGTCATTCATACAAATGATGATATTCCTCAAGCTGTTAGGGAAACGTAGTGTAGGGAAAAGAAAAACAATTAAACCCCATTCCAAATATGTAAAGGAATATAAAGAACTGACCTATAATCTAAAGGATTCAAAAGGATGTCCTCGGAGAATTCAAGCTAGCGTCACAGTGCTAAAAACAGTCGCTGGAGACTAAAGAAAGTGCTGACAGTTTTCCTTACGTTTCAGGTAGAACACTGTTGCAGATGGTGATGTTACCATTTGAAAGTAAGAAGAAAACTAGTATCTCTTTACACCAAGAGTAAAAATAGAGAAGATGCTTACAAACTGCAACACATAGAGTTTCTTGAAATCACAGTTTGGGAGTGGAGGAAAAGGCTGCTTAAGTGTTTGGAAAGGGAGAGTAAGGATGAAATAGAGTGGGGTAAGCCTGAATTAATCTGTAGTGAGAGCCGAACATAGAATATATGTATTAATAATATGTATAAATTAGGAAATAACTTGACCTGTAATTCAAGTATAATCTTAGTGTATTTTTAAAAAAATTTTACACATAAATACAGCACATACTTAAATTGTTCATGAAATATTTATTTAGTAATTTATTGAGTTGTAATTTCCTAATGTTTACCTTCAGTATTAAGAGGGAGTAGACCACATGCAGGTATGCACTGTCACCACCCTAAGGCATAAATTGTGTGACCTTTTGTACAGGTAGATAGACATGTATTGCTAGGTGTGCTCAAACCACTTTCCTTTGATTTCTATAAATTAATGAATAAAAGCACTTAGAAGATTTTCACTGAGTTTAGCTACATTTTCTTTCCTCAATGGGTTTCTAATCTTTCCAAGTTGAAAGTTTATAGCTTTGGCTCTGTTTGATTTATATGAGCAAAAAGAAAAATCTTAACCGTATTTTTTTTTATAACTGGAGAAGCATATTTCTTCTATTTTCATATAACACACAAATAGCTAGACAGATCTTGCTTAAGCCTTCAAAAGAAATTCCATTTTAGACTAGACATTAATGTGGAAAATTTGAGGCCAAATGATTTAACTTTTTAAAATCTTGTAACTAGGAGAGAGAGACAGAGAGTGAGAGAGAGACAGAGAGAGAAAAAAAGGCAAGAGTAAGAGAAGAGGCAGAAAGAAACACACACAGAGAGAGAAGTAAAGTAATTTATAAATTAATTGGAATATTTGTCTGCATCATTAAACTTTATATGCACATTTTACAATTTCATTTCTAGTTCTCTATAGTGCTTGTTAATTTGCATAATGTATGTTTTAAGTTTCAGTTGAACAGTTATTTTTGTTTCTGGAAAGCATGCAGGTTAATATTTTCTCTGAATTGTATAATTTAAACATAATTTTTTATACTACGATGAAGAAAAGCAGAAGATGCAGCAGGAATATATGTTAGTTAAGCACTAAACAGTTACAAAATATTGGGAGAAAGCAAAAAAGTAAAGACCTGATTCACCAGACACAATTTCTTCTGTGTGGAGAACACCCATGGACTTCAAAGGGTTTACTACACAAAAACCAGACTCACAAGATGGGGGAGGGAATGAAAATCTGCCAACAATTGGTAGTTGTAGACTCTCCGCCAAGTTTTAAAAACTTAGAAGTTGTCCCTTTTGATTTTTATCAGTGAAAAATGTCTGGAATGACCAGAGTCACTTCTAAAGTTTTTCATGTCTTTGTATTTGTACAGACTAAAATAAGTTAAAAAAAACTTTCTATTTTCAATAAACATTTACCAATTATAATGAATAGACATGAAGTGTTAATACTTATATTTCCTTCAGAGGCAATAAAATGTTTTTTTATTTTTATATATTTATTAGCATGTTTTGGGCTTGGGAAGACTTTGGCAATTATAGTGTAATTTCTTTTATTAACATAATTTAAGATGTATTTTTACTTGAGTGTTTCACATGTTGTGCCTTCTTCTGCCTAGGGTATGATGCATTTCCTGACTGTGGTCGGCTTTCCATGGGTGAAACAGAAAAGTCTTCAAATATCCTCACCAACTGCTTTCCTAGATTTTTCAGCCAGTTACTTGACCATATTAGGAAAAGAAAGGTGAGCTTGGGCTTCAGGACATAGAAAACAACATTAGTTATGCTGGAAAGTATCACCAAAGAAGTGCAGCTCAGACAAGCTGTATTCTATTTTGTTCTTTTGAACATAAACACCTATAAAGGGACCAAAAGAAATCTAAATGATCAACGGGAGCAATCCTGAATAGGCAACAACAATCATTATTGCCAAGTGATTGTCTTATCATTTGTCATCAGTTTTTTTTTCAGAGTAATTACATTTAAATGTAAATGTGTCTTATTGTCTTCTATTTACAGTGTTGCTGCATGAGTGTTTGCAGGTGTGTGTTTGTGTGCAAGGTTTAGGATAACTTAGATGCAGATCAGAGGTGATGGCTTTTACAGAAGCAGTTGATCTCTCATTCCTTTGAACCTAGAGCCTAGTATCATGTAAAGCCAGTTGGCAGAAATGGGGAGGAGATATTCATCTTTTTTTATGATGGGAAATCAATTATTTGGAACACAACAATGAACTATTCATTGGTTTAGTCCACACATTGTAAAACGACCAATTTATTTCATTTATGTACCTTGAATTTAGGATTTCTTTTTCTAATCTGTGTACAACGCAAAAATACTTTTGGTTTCTCGTAGACATAGCTTTGGTAGAATTCTGCTGCTCTTTCTATTATAGTTTGACAGCTGCAGTAAGCACACACATCTGCCATATTGAGGTCAAGTGGTACACTGTCATCTATCGTAACAGCTGTTGTTGGGGGATCGTTTCAAGTATCCAAAGGATGAATGGAATATAAATGATCACTGCATAAAGTATATAAATTTGGGTTTATTGGTTTTGAAACTGATTTGTTATCCACATACTCTGTAGTTTTTTTTTTTCCTAGTACTCCCATGAGGCTCAGCATGAGGTTACAAAGAAAAAAGAAGTCCTCATCTAATTATCTAAATATTTAAGAATGCTGAAATCTTGCTGGCGTAACAAATCAGTGCCAGAAAAAAGTCTCGTTAAATGAACAGTTTCATGTATGGTTCCTACTTAAAATATATCACAATCTGAACTTAAAATGCACATATAAAACTATAATATATAGTACATCATATATGTAATACAATATATGAAATACATAAAACAGTATATTAATAGGTCAAATTTTAACGTTATATGATAGGCCTAATATTGCTTTAATATCATTTGTAAAGTCTGTCTAGATCTATGTTTTTCTCTCTCTATCTCTATCTCTAGATTTGGATCTCTGTCTCTAGGATAGACTAATATTACCACTTCTAAACATCTATCCTGGAATATCAGGTCATCTACATCTATGTACTATGTGTGTGTTGTCACCATTTTGTTTCTACAAAAACAATGCTTTTGATCAAAGTAAACAGAAAGTTTAAGGAGTTCATATTTAAATGGAAATGTATAAACACACATACACAGTCCGGTAGAGCTTGTAAGTGGGTTTGTCCAATGTGATTAGAAATAAAGAACATATTTTAAGTGAAAGGAAATTATTGGTTATGTGGAAGAGTTACAAAGATACAGAGATGTTTTGGGGGCAGCTATCAGTAAAGGAAGGATTATTGTAGGTAATCATATGGTTTGGCATTGTATAATTTTTTCACCATTTACCATTCTTTGCTTGTCTGACATCATCACAATCATTAATTTGTGAAGAAAGTTTCCACGAATAGAAGTCCTCAACACTTAGAATTTTTGTAACCTGCATTTTAGTCACATGTAGGGAGAAGAGAACTTTTATGACAGGATGATGCCATGTTTGATTCGCTTTATGCTAATTCTAAAAGAATGGATCATTTGAATCTATATCATATTTGTGGAGCTCTTGGGAATATGCAGATTAATAAAGGCCATGCTACTGAAAGTTACCTTTTGTTTCTGTTGTCTATCCTCACTCTTCAGTGATCTTATCCAGTTCTCTACCTTAAAAGACTACCTATACACTGATGACACAAATGTATATCACTGGCCCAGACTTTCCCTTAAACTCCAGGCTTCTTCATCCAACTGCCGTGAGACATTTCCTCGGTCATCTAAATGTAGAGAATCAAGCTATTGATTTCTTTACCTGTCTCCCTGTTTTCACGGTCTTTCCTATCTCAAAAATGAATAGATAAATAAATAAATAAAATCATTTGTTAAGTTCTAGCATTTTTAATGGGCCTCACATTACTATAATGTTATTGTAAAGTCTTAGTGAGGACTAAATTTATTCAAAAGAGTGTTATTAGAACAAGAAAAAATGAATAGCTTTACTGTCTTCTCTTTTACAGTAGAGCAGATGTTAACTTTTTTCTTGTTACGATGGTGGTATTAATTCAATATCAACACTTTTCCTGTTGGTAAAGAAAAGCTTTCTGTGCAGACAGACTAGGCAATATGACTTCTAAACAAATTCTCCCTGCTCCTTTGCAGGCAAAAAGGAAATTATCAAAAAACTACATTTTTGAATATGCACAACTGAATTAAAATCTCCAATGGGTAATTGAGATAAAATGTTCTAAAATACTGAGGAGTGTCAATATATATTTCTACATGACCTTGGGTTATTTTCTATTAATATAAGGTGACTTATAATTGCTTTACCAAATTCATTATTTTAAATTAGGATTATGAAGACACATCTTTATATAAAGAATGTGAAAAAGGAATAAACATGCCAGATTAGTATAGAGCCAAGATAACAGTATTTTATAGCCAAGAACATATAGATTATTTTTCTTATTTCCCTGCCCTGGGCAATTTCTGAGAAAAATCCAGAAATAGAAGAACGCTGAAGTGTGAGGTTATGATAACCTGATTTATTGAAGAAGGTAAGCAGTCCAACAGAAGACATTTTTTGGAAGATACAAATCTTGTTTTTCAGACCAAAAAGACAATTTCGCTTGCAGACACCTTCATATGCACACTGTGAGATGTTTTGGATTTTGTTTTGCAGACTGATGAACCATTGTGGGGCAAGTTACTCATGACTTCATCCCTATTACAAATGACAGTTAAGAGATTTACTATGCATATGTAATGATTTGCCACATATGCATAGAATTAAATATCCCAGGCTTCTCTAATGTTTCATGTAAGATCTGCTGTTTTGCTTGGTATATGATTGTAAACGTGGCAGAGTTAAGAGATTTTAAGAACACGTGAAAACAACCTTAGTGATTATGAGTATGTGAAGACTTATTCTCAAGAAGTGATTGATAGATGTGGGAAAGAGCACTATTCTAGGAATCAGGAGACCTGAGTTCCTGGACTCAGCTCCAGTTCATCCAAATGACATGCCTGGGTGGCCTCCCTCTGGGCCCAAGATTGTCTCTTTTTTGAAATGAGGAGAATAATCATTGTCTTGCTGAAGTGCAGGTTGTTGTAAATAATAAAAGGCATAATAAAACAGTTGATAAAAGGCTAAGGAGAGTTCATACATTTTTCCATGGATAAAATGACAGTTCACTCCAGACAGTAGAGCAGATTCAAGGAGAAAAAAGCCAAAACACCAAGTTCAATTATAAAGTCAACACACAACTGATAAAATTAGACACGTGCAAAAGGTAACATAAACATGAAATATTTCTGTTGCTGGAATCAAGACAAGCCTGGCCAAAATAGCATGCTTAAAGCTAATCAAGAATGGTTAGTTTTAGAATGTTTAAAGAGAAATTGTGTTCTGTTGAAGAGAGGTGGTGTCTTGGGGTGAGTTTCTTAAAAGTAGACCCTGAGATGAGGCTCCATGCACTTTACCTATTAGGAAAAGTTCCCCGAGAAATGTAAAGTTTTGAGTAGAGAAGCAAGAAGTAAGGGAAAGAGGTCAAACAAAGGTGTGTTATCAAATTGAGACCTGCAAAAGGTAAATCTGGTTCAGTCCCACAGGGGAGATCTTGAGATCCTGTTGGTCATGTCTAGAACTTAAAAGGAAAACAGTATAAGAGAAAATAGTTGTAACTGTGAATTAGGGATACACCCTGAGGGAACACACTGACATATAAATCTGATAAATTGAATTCACCCATATTTTCTGTATGGTTCTAGAGATGAATGGATGTTTTTGAATATTCATTCATGTAGTCATCCATGCATTCTATGGATTATATACAGACATCTACTATGTGGCGCATGCTGAGTGTGGCAGTAAGGTGTACCCTCAGAAGGTTACCATATACTGGGGAAGACAGAATCAGAGGAGAATTTGTAATAAACAAGTGTTATGGTACCCTCAGGGCTTTACCCAGTTTTTGTCACATATTAGTAAAGAGGCAGGAAAGCCGAATGAACACTCATCACTGTGTGATCCTGAAAATTACCCAACACTTTCTCAGCATGCTATGGATCTGTGCTGTGGAGGTAACATTTGTGCTATGGAGATAACAACTCTACATAAATGATAGTTTGTTTTTGTAAAGACTAAATGAGACAATGCTGTTAGGAATTTTATATCTCTTTCTAGTGAATATTGAACTCATACAAGTAATCTCAATTTTTCTGATTCTACTTTTACCAAAAACTCTGAATATACTTTAGATCTGCATAGAGATGGAAAAGTACTGGTAAAGAATATGAATGGCTTAGTCTTCTGGAAGTCACATTTCACACTGTAAATTGAACTTTAGCTTTATAGACACATAGTACAGTAACCGTAAAAAGTTGTTTAACATCTTCATTGGAATTTAAGGCAGGGTGGATTCTGGTGGCTGCAGGAATCTTTTGTTGTTATTCTCCCAGAATATTCTCCACCGTAGAGGCTTTTCTCACTCCTGAAATGGTACACTGATGGAATGAAGATTTGGAAGTCGGAGAAAGGAGACTGCTAATTTGCTTAGAAATGCTGGAAGTCAGAATACTTGAGGCAGATGGACTGATGGGATGGTACTTTAATCACCTTTTACATTCCCATCTTAGAGTTATGGGGATAGCCCAACAAACAACATCTGTTAGTGGGCAGATGAAACTGGTGGCAATTTACGAGTCGTATATACTCACAGCCCAGGGAGAAGGGTATAGCATGATGTGCAGGGTCACATGAGGGTTGCACTTGGACAACCAGAAGTTGTGGGAGACAGGCATTGTGGTATTGTAGTATCCAGAGGTTGGAGTACCCACTGGTTCCAGGAGGATGTGACTAGCTTGTTTGAATAATTTCGCTGGCAGGGAACTGAAACCTGCTACTGAGGGATAAGTAGGGAGTGCACCTGGTCCTTTTGATAGGGAGGGTTTTTTGGCTAGTGGACCTTATCCATAGAGTTGGGAGGGGAACGTGTATTTAGGCCCTTGGAAGGCCTTTCAATAGATGTCAAGATGGCACATATCTGAGCCTTAATTTTGGGCTTTATGCCACAGAAGGCCAGAGGGGAGGAGTCAAAGAGAAGAGGAGCCTCCTTGAGCAGTCATGATGAAGAGAAATTTTATGGAAATTACATGTTTTCAAGATGCTTTGCTCAAATTATTGTAGGTGCGCAAAGTAAAACCTCTTTCTCCATCTCTTCTCTAACATATCCAATAGCATCAACTTCAATAATACAGGATTTCGTGCAAGTAGAGCTTCAATGAGAAAGCAAAGAAGTGCTGAGTCTAGCTCTAAATTTGGCATGGGGTTAGAGCAGAGACTGCCTTTGGGGACAGTAGTCATGAGTCATATTGATCACTATTTTATGAGCTTGGTTTTCTGAGTCTATTAGCTGCTTTCCAATTTTGTTAGCACCCTGAAGGTCAGATCCTGGCTGGCAGTCATTTGACAAAGCAAATGCCAACTAGTGGGCCTTCTCAGCTGATACCTTCTACCGGGCCATGTACTTTCTATGTCTGACATATGACCATTCTAAATTAAGTTTGCTAATACTGAAGTATGCCAGCTCCCTTTCTTCTCTGGTACATTTTTCAGTTTCGGGTTTTTGGTGTTTTTTTGTTTTGTTTTGTTTCTTTTTTGGTAACCTCTTTAAAGATTGCACAGCAGAAAACAAATATTTTAGAAAATAAACTATCTGACTTTTTCATTAAATATTTTCACAGAATTTACTTTAAGCAAAGTTTTATCCTTTAGCAACAGATTTTTATCTTTCAAATGTCTATCTTTAAACTTGTGCTGGAAAATTCACTTAAAATAACATGACTAACATTTCCAAGAAATGCATCCATGATTGCATTGAAGTAAACAAAGAAAGAAAATGAAAGGAGGAATATTATTGTTATTCTTATTCTCATTAAAAATATTCAGAGATAGGTGAGACAGAGGGTACATAGATTTAAGATAAGGTTAATGATGTAATACATATGATATGGTTTGGCTGTGTCCCCAACTAAATCTCATCTTGATTTCGATTCCCACAATTCCCACATGTTGTGGGAGGTACCCAGCCTGAGATAATTGAATCATGGGGGTAGGACTTTCCCATGCTGTTCTTGTGACAATAAATGAGTCTCAAGAGATCTGATGGTTTTAAAAATGGGCGTTCCCCTGCACAAGGTCTCTCTTTGTCTCCTGCCATCCATGTAAGATGTGACTTGCTCCTCCTTGCCTTCTGCCATGATTGTGAGGCCTCCCCAGACATATGGAATTGTAAATCTGTTAAGCCTTTCTTTTGTAAATTGCCCAGTCTCCAGTATGTCTTTATAGGCAGCATGAAAACAGCATGATATGTAAATACAATATATTTACATAATTATTTAAAAAGTCCTCTTGGAAAGTCTGCTGGTATTTCTAGGCTGTGGATAGTGCCTTCAAAACATAATGAGTAGTAGATAAAGGAGCATGAAGAGATGGAAAAAAAAGTAGAAGTAGAAATTCTATATATTTTTTTGAAACAGGGTCCAGCTCTATTGCCCAGGCTGGAATACAGTGGCGCAATCTCAGCTCACTGCAGCCTTGATCTCCAATGCTCAAGCCATCCTTCCACTTCAGCCTCCTGAGCAGCTGGGACTACAGGCATGTACTACCATGCCAGGATAATTTTGTTTACTTCTTGGAGAGACAAAGTCTCACCATGTTGCCCAGGCTGGTCTCTAACTTGGGCTCATGCAATCCTCCCACCTTGACCTTCCAAAGTGCTGGATTACAGGCGTGAGACTCTGCACCCAGTGTGAAGTAGAAATTTTAAAGCGCAGATGTTAGAGGAAGTTCAGGGCAGGGTCTCAGAAAACTGTGGGTTTCCTAGTTGCCTCTTTCTATTACCTTTACCTTTCTGCCAAACTGTCAAAGATAATTTTTTTACATTTATTTGACTCATCAACAGTTTTTTAATCTCTCCTCAATTCAATATATTTTAAACTCTGTGGTATACAGTAAACCCATAGTGTAATTTTAAAACTTGTTTAACTTTGATCTACTTTGACCTTTCCTCCAATTCTTGTCTGAGGATGTGGTAGACATTTGTTGTTTTCAGATTGCAACCTCTCCTCCATCTTTCTATGGCAACAGTATCTCATCTGCCTAGAATGAATGTTTCCTCACCATGTTCTTTCCATGTGCTGCACCCTCCCTACACTTCAGGAACTCCTAGGAATGATCAGGATAGCCAGTCCCACTGGCCACAGTTACTAGTTCAGGAATGAGCTCATGACCCAAGTCAACCATTGCAGTCAACTAAATACAGTTCTAGGCCTTTAGTTTGAGCTAGTAGGTTCTTTCTTTCTGCTAGATTCAGTCTTCTGGTCTGGCTGTAAACCTGCAGCTTATGGGGACTGCTACATGGACTCAAATAATTGAGCCAACTCAGAGAAAGAGGGCAGAAAAATGAGCCTTGGAAGATTATCTGAGACCTTTAAGGAATATGAGCCAATATATAACTTTTTTTCATTATTTTACTTGAGAACCTAGTTTTAATTTTAAAATGGAGACTTCTAATAATGTTATGAGTCATTTACTTTCACCTAATCCCCCTGATTTTTTATTTTTGTTGCATTAAACTAGTTTGTAAATTATACCCTACAGGTAAACTAACACTTTCTTTCCCCCCAGTAGTGAATTCTAGCATTAAGCAGCTGAGAGGAAGGTGTTAAAGTCGATGGCCTGAGATCTTTTCACTCCCTTTATGGTAGAATGGTGGATGGTAGAAACAGTACTGGAGGAAAGAAAAGAAGATAGGTGACTCCTTAAAATCTCCCTGTCAACTTAACTGCTGAGTAAAAAACTAACGTTATTTGCTAGTAAGAAACACATTAACTCTTAACTGCTTTTACTAGGATGCCCCAAGCTAGGGATTGCCTAGGAAAATAGAACCTGGGATTTATCAGGTATGGCTTCTAGGGGATGGGAAGGTCATGTCATGAAAGCTGTGCCATTCCCTCAAATTGTTTAATATTTTAAAAGTTCTGAATTTATTAATCTGAACCAGAATCTGGGAGCTGCCATTGATGATCCAGATAGGTCTTTGCGTTTTCTGAGCCTTTTCCTTGACTACATCCTTGAAATTATTTAGTAAAGTTTGATAGGTAAAAGCTCTGATTCCTGAGAGTCTGATTTGACAATCAGGTCCTGTAAATTAGCTCAATGACCTAAGTGGATAAATAGAAGTTTTACTGCATTAGTAAAGCTACTAGCTAAGCTTGGCCTGTAAGGGAGTTCAGTGAGGGTCTCTCTAAGTGTCTTGCACAAGCATTAAAATATATTTAATTTGTGTCACACAAGAGCCTGGGTGATTAATATGCATGGCTTCTGCATCTACCTTTTGAATAATGTTAGAGAGAATTTGTTGAAACGGGAATTTTGTGGCCTCATTGTTAAACGAGTCCTAAAGATCACCAACAAAATCATCATGGCAAATATGACCACATTCCAGCAGGATAGGCCTCATCATCAGTGCAAGACTTGAAAAAGAGGTGAAGAAAACAGATTTGGAAACTTTGACCTTTCATTGATTTCTAGAGTACAACAGTTGGAGTTGAAAGGGCCAAGGATATCAAGAATTAAGTCTTTCTTTGAAGAATATGAATCTTTGGTGTGCTATAAATTCCTATAAAAAAGGAAGAATGTCCTTTTCACCTGAAGCCTTGTGGGAATGGCTTCACAAAGGCTGGTCAGAATTTGGGAATTGATGGAACAGATACATTCCTCCTTATTAACTAAACTGCTCCCCATTGCATCCGCCTCTCACTCCCTCTATCAATAACAGGGGACAAGAAGCCACAAACAGCCTGGGATTGGGTAGTGGGAGAGAAGCCAGTCGAGTGAAAAAATAAAGCCCACCAAGCAGGCTGATAATCTGAAGGAGATAAAATCCTGGAAAAGAAGAAGTTCAACCCTAAACTAAATTATGCGTTCTTTAAAAAAATGCTTGGATCTTAATACATTGATCAGCAAAAAAAATCGATCTGTAACAGTGGCCATAAGTGATCAGAGGACATTTTAGTTTTGTGAGGGAGAGAGAATAGTTATGAAGATTATCCATGTTTTCATCCATGGTTGAAGGAAGAGCCAGCTTTTAGGGGGGATTTGATGGATCAGTGGGGGTGGGAGGATGGGGAGTTAGGGGGCAGAATAAGATACTTTTCTGACTTGAATACTTTTTTTTCTTAATATTACCAAAAAACATACTTGTTATGTTCCTCTTTCTATAATTTTTGGTGATATAACTGTGATAAAAGACAAATCTCAAATGTAAGTATATAAATTGGGCTAGGAGATGTAGATGTATTTAAATAACTCCTTCTGTTGGAAGGGCCCAAGATCATGGGCCCTTCCCAGGGTGATCTATGCCCAGTGACTGGTAGACATGGGATATAAACACTTAGGCCTCTTTCTCCAGCTAGGAGAATCTGGAGGTTCATCTCAGCCTTAGAGCTCTGCATAGGGATGGCCGAGGCCAATGTTGAGACTGTATCACAGCCATCATTTTTTTTTGTCCATTTCTCCTTCCTTCCCTTCCCTTTCCTTCACTGGTGCTGATTCTAAGATTTCTCATAAATCTTTAGCATACTACACCCATCTCAGAGCTGGCCTCTTGAGGTAGCCACACCGCCACAGGAACCATTGTAATCTCTGCATCAAGTTCAAGTTCACAAATAAGCAAAGAGGTGTGTACTACTATTTGACACTTAGGTGTATTGGAGCACAATTTGACATGAGTAAGGTTATTAAGGTTTACATTTATTTTCTTAATTGTGTTCAAATGTAATTCCTTTAAGTTCCTGGAAGAAACACTTTTTATTTATATTGGTATAAACTATGTGGAAGTTTTTAGAGGAAATTTAATACTGTGTAAAGTGAAATAAAATCATTTTTACCTTCACTGCCTTAAAAGAGACATAAAAAATATAAATCTAATTTAGAAGTTTCAATAGTTTATTAGTTTTACCTATTTAAGCTAAATTCCTTAAATGTAGTTTTTCTTTTGGGAGGAAACATTGTTTTGTGTGTGATGAACACTTAGATAACTTTCAAGAAGGATATAAAACTGATATATATCTTCACTCGCTTGCCAGATAAAATAAGAAATTTCTATTCATGTTCATTGACTCATTTATTTTTTTGGTTAAATTCTGTTTACTTATGTCATTTGTTTTAAGTTTTTATTAAGGTGACAACAAATTTCAAACTGACAGCATTTAAAATAAATATTCACCATTGCCAACATAGCTTTTTAAGAGTCTGCAAATAGAAAGAAAGGTAATTTTTTTCTGTATTTTCCAGACTTGTGACAAAGAGCTAGGTGAAAACAGGGGAAAAAGGAGGAAAATAAAGAAGCACCAGACTAAACCTGAAGAAAGGGGACATTTAAAAATTCTTCCTTTTGTGTTCAGAGCTCACAACATAGAAAAAGATATGGTTAAAAAAAAGTCGTGATGCTCATAAAAAGCAACATTTTATTTTCAAGCCAATTACATTAATTATACAATTACCTTGTAGCCAGTAAGAATCACATATATATGAAAGCAAAATATTGTTTAATTGAATAAAACAATCTGATACATATGCCCAAAAAACAATAGAGTAAATAAGAGTTTTCCCAACAGTGGCAAAGAGAATAATTTTCATGTTGAGTTTTATTGATCTCCGGAACAGTAGCTCCCCTGAGCAGAGAACCATAACAGAATTAAGGAAAGATATTTCCATTCCAGAGACCAGACATTTGGAGGACAGTGAGTATAAATCATGAACCTAGCCAATTATTTTATTTCTTATTGGATTCTTGACTGTTTCTTACTTTCATCATTTCGTGAGTCATGACTAACAGTGCTTGTGCTCATCTACAGTAATTGATTCTGAGAGAAATTTCTCCAAGGATTCCTGCAGTTCTCCTTTGAACATACGAAGAGGGAACATTCTTTCAGTCCTAGAAGTTGCTGAAGCAGAGATGGAGAACCCCAGACTGGAGGGCTTTGATTTCACCCTGCACATCTAAGGGCATAAATTGGTTCCAGGTCAGGATCATATGAGCATAAGTCTGAGTTGGGTGTCTCTGATCATTCCAGAATTCCATTGGAAGGCAGACTTATATTCCTGAGAAGCAGGAATGAGAAGCACAGTGGAATTTTGCAAAGGAAACAGAACTTGAACTCAGCAGTCGTAGGTGCCAGTCCTTGACTAGCTATAATATTGGGCAAGTCATATAAATTCTCCAGGCACAGTGTCCCTTTTGGCAAACAACAGACAGAATATAAATATGTGTTGCCAGGTCAGTGGACATTTCAAGGACAGTTTGATTTTAATGTGAAGTCATCTAATTTTAAATGCTCTATTAAATTTTATTTTTTTTAGTTGTATAAGCTTAAGAACAGGTATCAGACAAGACTTCTTCAGGACAGACAAAGCACTATTTCATTTTTTTTTCCTCTGGCCTTCCCAGCTCAGATTCTCAAAAAATAAAAGAAATTAAAAAAAAAATTCTGCTTTCAATCCCTGCTTTTTTCTATTTTTTAATTATCACACCATACACTTCAGTTGGTCTTCTGCTCCACCACCTCATGAAAAGGATCTCTATTAAAAACTCTCAAGACTTCACGTCACTAACGAAGATGGACATTGTTTTTTCCCCTATTTTACCTGACCTGTAAGTAGCATTTGAACATCTCAAGTAACCTTTCCTTCTTGAAATCATCATTTTATTTGGCTTCATTGACACATAATCTGCTTTCCTCTGATCTTTCTGGATGCTCTTTCTCAATAGCCTTTTGAAAAGGTTTCTTCCTCCTCCCTCTGTCCTTTAAATATTGTATTTTCAAAACTTGCTCTAGCCGTTTTCTTTTTTCAAACCATATTATCCATGCGAATGTCTTTGAGTACCCTTTATACAACAAAAGAATCCCAAATGTGTACCTCTATGGACTATTAGAATCAACTGCTTTCAAAACATCTAATTTTTAGGCCATTCAAACTCAACATGCCCAAAACTCAACTAGTGATCTTTTCCTTAAAAGTTGGTTCTCCTTCAGGATTTTATATCTCCACACTTGTCATTCATATCTATCTGTTGGTCAAGTTAGAACTCTAGGACTCAACTGCCATTGCGATTGCTCTTGTACCTAGAATTTCTAATCCATTTGCTTCTACATTTATTACACATTCTACTTCTCTCCATCTGCACTGCTGTCACCTTGGTCCAAGCAACAATCTTTGCTCTTGAAGTCACCTCCACTCTTTCTTTTTATTTATTTATTTATTTATTTTATTTTATTTTATTTTAGACAGAGTCTTGCTTTGTCTGCAGGCTGGAGTACAGTGTTGCGATCTCAGCTCACTGCAACCTCCACCTCCCAGGTTCAAGCAATTCTCCTTCCTTAGCCTCCTGAGTAGCTGAGACTACAGGCGTGTGCCACCATGCCCAGCTAATTTTTGTATTTTTAGTAGAGACCATGTTGGCCAGATGGTCTCTATCTCTTGACCTCTTGATCCACCCACCTTGGCCTCCCAAAGTGTTGGGATTGCAGGCGTGAGTCACCATGCCGGGCCCACTCTTTCCTTTTTAATGCATTCAATAGAAATAGTGATCTGTTAAACAAGAAACTGATTATGTCTTTTTCCTGCTCAAAATCATTTATGGTTTGCTAGCTATTTTGGAGCAAAATATTTTTTCAATTTCATGGTTATAGAGCCTGTCTGATGTGGCTTCCCTTTTTCTCACTAGCTTTACCTTGAATTGTTTTTCACCTTGCATACTGCCCTGTGGCTTTTCTATCAGCTCCCAGATTTAACTAGGGTTCTTTCTGCCTCAGGTCTTTGACTTGGACTACACATTCTTTTCTTGACACCCTTCCACATTTTTACTCACTTGTACTCATCATTATCTCCACCGCAAAGACTTTACTGACCCTCCAGACATGGTCAGGTCTCCCTTGTTTGCACTCTTGTAGCCTTGTATATCTCTCCTCTTGGCACTTAACCACAGCATATAATCCAATCTGTGTCCTAGTTTGGTTACTGTGCATTCCCAACTGGTCTGTAAGCTCCATAAGAAATGGTACTACAATTTCTGTTTATCATTATATTCCACATGTCTAGCATAGTTCCTGGTATTTAGAAAAGGTGCAGTCAATACTAATTGAATGAAAGAATGATTTTGAATAAGTTTTCCTTTCAGATTTTAATATTTTTACATAATTAGAAATTACAAAAGTATGTTTTGTGATTCATAATAATAACAACCTGTTCTTTCTCCCATCCAGGTCTTGGAATGTGGCATCATGAATTCTATTCTGCTGTCTATAGGAGACACATGCCTGGATAGATGTTTATTTTAATATCACTCTTCAGGAAGTTAGAGAAACATTTATTTCTTTTTCCTTAAGGCATTGACTTTGGAACAAGTGTTTAGATCTGTAATTTTAGTGCCTGGCATCTTGCCCCTGCTTAGGGGAATGACTGGGAATGGGGTTGGGGAGGCTACATACTTCCATCATCTGTTTATCTAATAAGCTACTTTCATTCCAATGTCAGCTGTAATCTGAACTACCTTTCTTCCCTCTTTTCTATTCCCCCATTGTTACCTGTCCTCCAAATGCTTTTCACTCAATCCTCTTCAACGGCTCTACTGATGAAGAACTTTCACTTACACACACAAAATTTTGCATAGAAACTTCTGGGCTCTTGAAAACCCCTTGTGATGTAGCAACCATCTCAGATCACTTTCTTGTAAACCCAGCATAGATTCCTGGTTCATTACTTAGAAGACCCTGTGACCACCACTTCCAAGTTCTTTGCTTCCTTATCTTTATGCCATATTCTCAGTGAAGCCCCATGTCTTTTTTCCTATCATTATCTTGGAGTATATAGCAAGACCCCTGAAAGCATCTTCAGACTCACAGACATGAGCCTTAGCTGGGATTTCAGTGGCGCTAGAAACTGTGAGAGCATAGCTCTGGTTAGTGTCCTTCTGAATGCCCCCTGGAGTATCTTTGTAAAACTTCCTGTCACTCCTTGGAGACTTTTACTCACTCCATTGCTGTCCCCCAGAAATCTGAGAGGGTCACTTTGTCCTCTTCTTCACAAGGAAACTGACATATAAACTTGGTTATGTTTCTCCCATTTGAAAAACAATTAGGCAACACTTCCTGGGATCTCCGTCCATCTCGAAACATTTTTCTTTATAATTACTTTACCCCTTAGTAGGAAAGTGTGAAATATTTGACTAGACTTATTCATTTCACATTCTTTTCCCAACCAGCTGAATCTGTCTGTCCTTATGACTTCACTTTATGGTGGAGGTTGTCTATACTCCCTTAACTGCTGACTCCTAAAGATGGTTGGAGATATAGATATAGATATAGATATAGATATAGATATAGATATAGTTATAGATATAGATATAGTTATAGATATAGATATAGATATTATTTTCTCCTTTGACTTCTGAGCTATTGTTAATGCCCCTTGCAAATGTCTTTTTGAATTTCTTCCTTCACTTGAGATCTTTGACACTCATTCTTTCCCAGCTGTTTTTTCTATTCTCTTCCCCCTCTTAGTCTGCTTTAATAGGGTCTCTTCTCCCACATTTTAAAATATGGGATTGCTAATGACTCATTGTCAGTTGTTTTCTTTGTTTTACACAGCATCCTAGCAACTTTATCTGCACTCCTGTGTTCGATTACTATCTACACACTTTGGCTGTCTCCTGTGGTGGTGAATAGCTTGAGCTCAGGGAGCAAAGAACTTAATTGGAATTGTGATGTTGCTGCTTCTTTCCTGAATGCTCATGAACAAGTCACTTCACATCTTGTAACTTGGTTATTTTATTTGCTCCTCCCCAATACCATTGAACCGCTTGAATTTGTTCCACAGAGTAAAAACCAGAAAACAACTTTTCTAATATTCTTTTTTTATAACTGAGACTGAAAGATACACCCAAGACTCTGTCAATCTGACTACTTGTGTAAGCTCGGGATTTTGGAACTAGAGACACAGACAAGCAGGAGCATCTGGTTTGAGTGGGGTTAGGGACATCCAGTTTCAGATGCTTCAGTGGCAGAAGTTCTAGTAGTAGCATCTGTGGTCTGGCTTTGGGGAGGAGACTTTGGGTGCTTGGACATCAGTGTGCAGTGGTGGCAATAGGGCCATCTCAAGGGGAGCAGGGCCTCCAGTGAATTTGCAGCCTTTGTACCTTGTGGTTTGCTGTGTAGATTCTAAGACCTCCTGTGACAGCAACAAGCTGACTAACTACCCTTAATAGATTTCTTTTCTGCTAAAATAACCAACACGGTTTTTCCACAAGAAGATGTCATTTCTTCCCTGTCTAATGAGAATGTTTCCCTAGAATGGCTTTGCCAGGTGCAAATACCTTGTAAGGGTAAAGAGGATTCTCCTGATGACATCACATCATGGCATCTCATAATTGTCAATCAGTAATGGCTAGATCTTGTTAGTGACCCATTTTTTGTTTTGTTTTGTTTTGTTTTATGGTTCACGAGCTAAGGTTGGCTTTTATGTTTTTAAGTGGTATCAATTTAAATGGTTTTCATAAGTGCCCACATTATATCTTAGATTTGGTCTCATCTTAAAATATTTACTGTTTTGCTGTTTAAGAAAAACTTCGCTGGTCCTTGATCTAGGCTCTGAAGATAGAAGTCTTAAATTCCTGGAGGTAGAAACGATGGATTGGCTTTGTTCTTTACTACCTAATTACTTTTGGCTAAACTTGTCCCACAAAAGGGACTTCTTTCATGCACTATTAATGTGGCTGCTATTCAAAATGCAGGGAGGGGGTAGTATGTTTGGAACACAGGCACCCCATGAGATTGTCATGTCCAATGATAAAAATTTGTGAAAGATTATAAGCCAGTCATTAAAGGGGTGTGCAAACATGTAAAAATAAAAAAGATTGTTGCATTAAAAGTAGACCCTCTGGTTTCAGATCTCTGAGGAATACGTTTGGGTTACGTCAACGGGTAAAGAACCTTAACCAAATGAGCAGATGGCTGAGGGCAAAACAAACAAACAAACAAAACAAAAACATGTTTACATGAAGGAGGAGAAATGTTATAAATTCTAAATGCACCCTTGTGACTACTTGCAGTATTTACACGTTTTTTTTTCTTTCATGTGTCATGTATGCATTTGACTATTCTAGCATATCTCCCCCTTTTGCTTTTTCTCTTTTATATAGGATATCTTCATGGTGGGAAACTTTATCTCTTAACTCATAGTTTACAGAATATCCAGCAACAAGAGACACTTACGACAAAACTAGATTAGTAATGATCTTGGATAGAATGATCTTGGAATAATGATTATTCAGAAGTCCTGGATTTGGCTATTTTGATGGAAGGCTGTAATATCTCCCTCTGAGGAGGGCATAAAGAAATTTTTATTAGTGGAGTGATAATTGAATTATATTTGGAAGAATATATTTGCTCTTGCCATTTGCACATTTAAGTACTAAAGTAGGGTGTAAATATAAAGAAGTACTCTTTAATGGACATTTACAAATTATCGTTTGCCACCTGCTACCTATAAACACTCTTTCTATTCCTAGAGTATTTCTTACTTTGTAAGCTCATTATTTCATAGAATTAAAGTCACAAATCCACTCCCTCAATACCTTGCTTCACTACTGGAGGGTTATCATGCCAACCAGCTGGAGACTTTAATTTAGAAGCCAGTCTTGCAAATAAGGAGGTGACATATGGGATTTATCATGAGGGGGACAGCAGTTACACTGTGTGTCCAGAAGTTGCAGGGGTTCTATCAAGAGGATCCAGTGCTCAGTGACCGAGGTGAGAGAGGCAATTTTGCGTGGCTGGACCCTGTGGTGGAGGCAGTGGTGTAGCCAGGAAAAGATTTCTGCTGGTCATTTGGACTTTGTTTCTGGCTGCATGCACTCCACATCTAATCATCTGGCCCTCCTGGAGGGTCTACAAACTGTCTAATATCATTTCATTTAATAGGATCGTTTCTTATTAAACTAGCTAAAGTCAGTTACATATAGATTTTCATTCAAGAACCCTGACTAATACACTCTTCTGTAGCATCACAACCATGTTAGCTTTTGTACTGTAACCAACCAAATCCAAGACTTATTGTCTTCAGAAAATAATAATTTCTTAGCTAATTATTCTGTGAATCACATTTGTTGTTGTTGTTGTTGTTGTTGTTTTTGTTGCCGCCAGTTTTACTTAGGCTCATTGGTGTGGGTGCAGTCACCTGGCTGATCTATCGGGAACTGGGTGGTCTCTGCTGGCCTCACTCCCATGAGTAGTGGTTGGTGTTGGCTATCAGCAAATGTGAAGGTGGTGGCTTAAGCATATGCTCCCTGCAGGCTTTCCTAAGCTTATTCCTGTGTGAAAAGTGCAAGCATTTTTGAAACTTCTGCTTGTACCACATTTGATAATGCTTGTGCCTCATTGAACAAAACAAATCACATAGCCAAGCCCAGATTTAATAAGTAAAGGAATAGAATCTGTCCTTTGCAAAGTTACATCACAAACAGGTGTGCAAATGTGTGGCCTGTTTTGCAGTCTTTTTACCAAAATAGAGTTTTGTATGTTTGTTTCATTTGATTCTTGGATTCTTTAATGTACTGTCTTTGAAGCTTCTACACCTTTGAACATGCTATTCTCTCTTCTAGGTTACTACAGATTGAGCATCCCTAATCTGAAAATCTAACATCCAAAATGCCCTCAAAACTAAAAATTTTTGAACACAGACTTGATGCCATAAGCAGAAAATTCCACACCTGATCTTGTTACTGGCTGCAGTCAAAATGCATTCAAAACTTTGTTTAATGCCCCAAATTATTAAAAATATTGTATAAAATTATTTTCAGGCTATGTGTATAAGATACCTCATTATGCATATGCAAATATTCCAAAATCTGAAAAAAAATCTGAAATCTGAAACATTTTTCTTCCCAAGCACTTCAGATGAGGAATAATCAACCTGCATTTACCCTTAGTTTTTCTGGGTAAATCACTGGATTTACCCAGTGATCCCTTCCTGGGATTTACTTGAATCCATAGTTCAAGACTCTATTTCTTCCAGATATTGTGAATTGTGAATTGTTTCTTATCTCAATTCCACAAAATGTGGATGTATCACTTATGGTACTTATCACATTGCACTTAATCATTAAAGGTGCATTGAACAATTTCCCAAAGGATGGGGATTCCCCAGGTTCTAGCATAATGTTCAGCAAATGGGAGCTGCTGGAAAAACTGCTACTGAATAAGGTTTACATTCACATTACTGTGTTACTTTTTCTTCTGGGGCTCATTAGCAATGACTTGTGTCCTGGCACTACCTTTCCACAGGGCTGAGGGATTTCCAGGTTTCTAAGACATCTTTATAAGAAGAATTTACCGTACCTATGTGAGGCCTAGACCTTTATTGTGCTGATCACAATGTTAATCCATGGGTGAGCTGTGGCTGAACACATGATTAGGGACTTTGACTCTCGAACATTTCTGTAGAATGTTCTGATGACCATAATCCCTGTCTCTCCTTTTAAATAAACTAGAACAGACTATGAAAGGCAATCCTGATGGCATAACTCTATTCTGGATTATTTGGATAGTCATGACTTACATTTAGTCTGTTTTTTGCCTCAATGGGTTTCAATGATATGTGGTTTCCTCTTAGTTTTAGAAAAGTGGGAGATAGTCATCCATTTCATCCAGCTCATTTCTTCTAATAAGCAGGACAGCACTCTCATCAGCCATATATTTACCCTTTAACCTTTCAGTGAACTTGGTGAAGTTTGGGAAATACAATTCTTTCCAAAGAATGAGACTAAAAATAAGATTGCATACATTCTGGCAGCTCTCTTACTCCCAAAGATGAGAAAGCTTTTAGAACTCAGAGGACTATTTAGGGACTTTCCCATTATCCTAAACTGGCCAAAATATTTTGTTATTTTCCCTTTCCCCTTCCCCCAACTTTCCTCCAAATCTAAGCCAAATCAGATAGTCCTGGAGAGGGAGGATCTCCTTTCATCACCCTCTTTTTTGTAGGATAATGGAAAATGCTCTGTTGGTCAGATCTGGGCTCCTGGCAGCTGCTGTGTTGGCAACAATTAGGGAAGATTTTGAACTAAATGTCTGGCTGCTGAAAGTTTTTGGATTTGGGGTTTGATGTTATCGAAAAAATTCATCTGGTCAGATGCAGAAACATATTGTTTAATCTAGCAGGAATGCAAGCAGGTTGTCCTTCACAGTGCATTTCAGAGCACTCTGTCTTTTTTGTGGTGAAGTCTACAGAAGTTGCTCTGTGTAATTCAAGACGGGTATGTCTGGGGTTGGAGTACTCCACCACATTTCAGTTTAGTCTGTTTCAACCCTTAGGCATTCTGAAGAGATTTCTCAAATGAATGAAACAGTGGTTAAATTTCCTGGTCTCTATTGCAAAGTTTAAATTGTTATACTGATCTTAAGCTAATTCTCTCTCCATGTTAAGATTTCAGATATTTAGTATAGGCATCATTTTTATACACACACACAAAATGACCTTAATATGAGGATCTATTGCTATTACTCATTCACAGTACTTTAATTGCCTGACAAAATGTTATTTCTAATAATAAACTATTTTGACCCAAATTAACCAATCTATTTATGTCTGTTTTGTTATTTGTGCTATTTTAATTGTTGATAAATATATAATATGCAAGTCATCAAATTAATGCACACTTTACTTTTTAAAATATAAAGATTGTAGTGAGTTGGACACATGTCTCTTCTAAAACACAGAAACACAGCTTAATTTTAGAATCCTTGTTAAGGAGGAAAACATGGGTAACCTTGTCTACATGCTGTCTTCATCAGTTCAGGCTGCTATAAGAGAATATACAATTGCCTGGGTGGCTTAAACAATAACAATTTATTTCTCACAGTTCTGGAGGCTGGAAAGTTCAAGATCAAGGTGCTGGCAGATTTGGTGTCTGCTGAGGACCCGCCTCCTGCTTCACACACAGCAATCTTACTGTGTCCTCACATGATGGAAAAACAAGAGAGCTCTTTTCACATCTTTTATAACGGCACTAATCTTGCTCATGAAGACTCCACACTCATGACCTGATCATCTCTCAAAGGCCCCACCTC
Organism: Homo sapiens; assembly: GCF_000001405.40. Classification (NCBI taxonomy): domain Eukaryota; kingdom Metazoa; phylum Chordata; class Mammalia; order Primates; family Hominidae; genus Homo; species Homo sapiens. The sequence continues at coordinate 156,614,298 of NC_000004.12, read as the reverse complement.
CTAAGACCATCACTTTGGGTGTTTGAATTTTCATTAATGAATTTCCGTGAACACAAACATTCGGTCCATAGGAGATGTCTTTGTACATGACATGTGATTGTAAGGCCACTAGACAACTGATTATAATGTGAGAGAATGTCTACAGAAGAGAAATATATTTATTAATTTTCTGAACATAGATGGTATATCTACTTTCTCTGCTACCTATTTTACTTTGTTTACTATTTATGTCATAATGTCACTGGGAAAATGGTTTTTTATAATTTCTATGAACAAGTCATTTTGTTGGACAACATTAGCCTTCATAAGTTTGCAAATGGTTTCTTTTAGAGGTTAGGACAAGACTAGACAACATCTTAAAGCTTTTTGAGGCCATTTAATGATGGCTCAATAATTGGATTTGCCTAATTCAAAAAGTTATTCAAGAAAAACTTTTTCCTACATATATTTAACTCTATTATTCTCTCTAACTATTTCTATAATTATCTGAAATTTGATAGTTTTATTTGGTTTGTTTCTTTATTATACTTTAAGTTCTAGGGTACATGTGCACAACATACATGTTTGTTACATATGTATACATGTGCCATGTTGGTGTGCTGTACCCATTAACTCATCATTTACATTAGGTATATCTCCTAATGCTATCCCTCCCCCCTCCCCCCACCCCACGACAGGCCTCAATGTGTGATGATTTCATTCATACATGGAATTTTTCAAAGTGGATATCATAGAGGTAGAAAAAGAATTTTTCAAAGTGGATATCATAGAAGTGGGTATCATAGAATAGAAAAATGGTTACCAGAGGCTGTGTTGTGGGGGTAGTGGAAGAGTTTGGTTAATGGGTACAAAGTTGCAATTAGACAGAAGGAATGAGTTCTGTTGTTCTATTGCAAAATAGAGTGACTGTAGTTAACAATAATGTATTGTATACTTCAAAATTCCTGAAAGAGAGGATTTTGAATGCTCTTACCCCAAAGAAATAATAAATATTTGAGGTGATAGATATGCTAATTATCCTGATTTGATCATTATACAATGTTATCATTTATTGAAACATCACACTGTACCCCATAAATATCTACAATTATTGTGTGCCAATAAAAACAAAATAAAACTTTTAAAAAAGAAAAGTGGGAATGAGGGCAGGAACTAGAACTTATTTATGTTTGTAGGCTTAGTGATAAAATAGTGCTTGGAAGATAGTACTAATCAATATTTTTTCAATTCTTTCTCTTTAAGAGTAAAAAAGGAGATGAGGAGGAAGAGAAGAATCAGGAGAATAGTTAACATGTATCTACTATTTTTATGTGCCAACCACTGTGCTACATGATTTTCCTTTATAATGTGGATACTATTAATTTCCCCTTTTAACAAAGGAGATGATAAGATTTGGGGAGATTACCTACTTGTTAGCCAGTTCCCAGGCAGCAGGCTTGAGATTGACCCTATCAGGTTTCTTACTGCCAGGAATCCTCCTCTTAACCACCACTTATTAAATGCTTCTAGAGACAAGATAGGATGTAAAGCTAGTGCTTTACATATGTTTCATGCAAAGCTTTAGGTAAGACTAAGAGTGGAGAACACAGGGAACAAGTAGACCTTATTAATTGTAGCAAAGACCTCTCTAGAAGAGTAAAAGGTAAAGTTGAGGAGGTGACTTGAGATTACAAATAACGAAATAACTTTATTGGCAGTGGAGAAGCATTATGAAATATTCATTCAAAAAGTCATATCTTGTATCTGTAATGTTTAAGGTGTTATGATAAGCGTTATGAAAAGAGGGCAGATTAAAATATACAGAAACCTTAACAACTAAGAGCTTATAAGGAAGATAAAACTTAATCACAAATATTTATAATAGAAGATAAAATATCATGGTAAAAATAAAGTTTATGGAACTTCAGAAAAAAAGTTTTAAAGATGACAGTAAGACACTTTACGAAGGGTGACATTTTCTAGACATTAAAAAATAAAGTAGATCCCAGATTAGAAGGAAGCTCATTCCAGGAGAAAAAAATAGCCAAGCAAAAAGTGCTGAGATGAAAAAGTTGGAAAAAAATAAGAGTTTTGAGTAGAGTTTCCAGTCTACATGGGGAGCAGTGAAAGGTATACACTAAAAGATAAGTTCAGACCCTCATCTCCTTTGCATAAGCACTGTATACATCAGATGTTGGGATACACTAAATGTTCATTAGCTGAAAAATTACATTATTATAACTGTAGTTGAAAAGACTGATCTGAGAGTGCTGTGTGGTGTGAAATCGAAACCTAATGACTTGGTAAAAGGTGTTCATGTATAAATTACAATTGATGGAGCTTAACAACTAACTGGATTTGTCAAGAAAGAGGGGAATGAAAAAATCAAAAGTTACTCCAACTTTCCAGCAGATTAGCCTAATGAAAGAATGTCTTAGGAAGCTTAAACCCAAGAAAGGGTCCAAACGAAATGATCATAAAGAGGATAAGAATGGAGACAGCAAAATGAATTAATGGAAAAATGCTAATGAATGACTTGGTAAGGGTTGGGTGGCAGTAGGAGGAGAAGTAAGCACCTAAAATATATATCAAAATATGAATTATCAAGAATTAATGTTATATTGATTACAAGGCACAGAAGATTAAAATAAATCAAAGTCAGCTCTGAAGTTTTAAGCTTCAGGAATTTGTAGTCCACTGAGAGTAGCTACGAATTTAAGAGGAAAATTTCATCTTAAAATGGGAGTTCTCTTTAAAACAGGTTGAAATTTGGGCATGTTAAGTTGCATAGTGGAGCTATAATTAAGAATCTCAATCAAGCATTTCTGAAGTCACTTTTCCACTCACGAACTTGCTTTTTTAAGATTGTTCTATATAAGACACATAGAACCTTCTATTTCAGACTTTCAGTTTCTGGAACCCTTTCTAACATTTGATAGTTCTAAATATTGTGAACAACCACTGGCTTATGTTTTTAGGCTTGCTGCATAAAAACTATAGCAGCACTGCTAGAGACACCAAATAATAGCATTAGTCTAATTTTTCTATGCTTTAACTCTAAAGTATATAGGAACCAGAAAGTATATTATTATAACTATAACTATAATAATATAATGTATAAATTATATGCAGCTGAAATTGATCCTCAAGTCATTCCACAATGCTCCATTTGGCTATTGGTATGAAGACCCAGCAATAACAAATCTAAAAATATATATGTATATATAAGTGTCAATGGCAGAATGAAAGCTGCTGATGAGCAGAGAAAATGAAATTAACTAGAAATTAGGTAGGAGGAGTGTTAAAATGAAGGAGATATTTAAGTTCAAGGAGAGATGTACAGCATCGCAAATAGCAAAGAAGCACCAGTAGGCTCTTCTGGGAAAGTTATCAGTTCTAGGATCAATTTCAGGTCTTGCCTAGTAGGATATTCAATTATGAAGGGGAAAGATGATAAAAAAATTATTTTGAGTATTTTGTCAGATATACTTGGTACTGAAATTTGCTAATAGAGAATAGTAAAATGACCTTTCAGAGATATGTGGGGTTTTAAAAGATAACTACCAGAGTTAATTGGATATTCTTATCCAAGACAGTAAGAAATAAACTAGATGTTCTCTTGAGTCCATTAGCAATTATAGGATCTTATTGTGAATAAATATATGAAGAAACGATTTATAATTCATATTACTGTCTCTATGTTATCCAGAGAGTATTTGCCATCTTCCTTTTATTTTTCTGAGGTAATCCCATTAAAAAACTGGATGAGTTATACAGATGACCTGCCCTTTTAAAATGGTAGCAGCTTGTTCTCTAAAATATGCCATTCCTCATAACTCCTTTTGAAAGTACAAATTAATTTACCTCCTTCCTTTGGCTACTAAAATGCTCCTGATTACATTGTCATGACCAATGCATGCACTTTATTTTTCAAAGGATACCTTTGATTTATTTTTCTTTCCCACTTGAACTTACTAGGCATCTTGTTTATTTAATCATCTCTCACTAATGAAAGGGAGGTTCTTAGTTTATTTTAACCTGAGTTCAGTAGTTGTGAGCTGCTCTAAGCAGGTCTTAGTATCTCACTTTCTCTCTAAGTCAAATTTAACTCCAAATGTTTTAAAGAAGAATGTACAGTTTACTAAATGTTTCACAGAGAGGAAAAGAGATATTTCACACTGCCTACTGGACTATCTTTCCCTCAAATCACCTATAAGCATTTCTTCTCTTGCCCCAAAGTTTCTTTTCCAATGGCAAGTACCTCGCCCCAGAGGCTCCTCCTCCCCATGAGTTTCTTCTACCATTTCAGCCACACTACACCATGGCAGTATTCAGAGTTCCTCAAACTGACTCAACATTCAGTAAAAGCAAAGCCAAACAAAGCCTTCTTATTTTTCATTAAGCATGCTACTGAAGGCCTTCATTAATGCAAACAACAACAACAAAAAAAAAAAAAAAAAAAAAAAACAACTCTCAATAGATAATCTTTTCATTTAGTATTGGTTATCTGTTACCAAACCACAAATCAAACCCAAATGTGGTGGCTTAAAACATTTCTTAGCTCACAGTGTCTGTGGGTCAGGAATCTGGCTGTGGCTTAGGCTGGTGCCTGTGGCTCATGGTCTCATAAGGCTGAAACAAAGGTGTTGATAGGGGCTGCAGTTATCTCAAAGCTCCACTGGGAAAGGATCCACCTCCAACCTTGCTCATGGGTTTACTGACAGGATTCAATTCTTTCTCAACTGTTGGACTGAAAGTTTCAGTTCCTCGCTGGCTGTTGGCCAGGAGCCACCCTTGGTTCTTTGCTAAGTGAGCCTACCCATTTGGCAGCTCACAATATGGCACTTTGTTTCATTAAAGCAAGCAAAGGAAAAGAGACAGAGAGAGTATAAGTAAGACAGAAGTCACAGACTTTTATAACCTAATCTCAGACGTGTAGTTCATCACTTTTGCTGTATTCCATTTCTTAGAAGCAAGTCATTGGATCCAGCCACACACAAATGGAAGGAATTATAGGTGGGTATATGTACTAAGAGGCAGGGGTCTTTGGGGTTATTTTGGAACACTCCAAATTCAGATATTTTCCCCTAGATATCTTGGTAATATGTGGCTGTTTACAATGAATCTGTAGCATTCATATACCTAATACAGGTTTAATTGCCATCATTCTTTGGTCATTATGTCTCAGGTTGTAATATCCAAGATCAAACTAATAATGGCTGTTAGCTCACTGTGTACAGCTTTCATCAAAACTTTGTCATTCTATTAAAGGAGGAAGATGATGATTTCGCCTCTTGTCACTGTAAATACAGGCACTGAAAAACATAGGCATTGGAAAGACAGATGCTTACATACTTAATCAAAATAAAGCTCAGCTAAGGGGGAATGAAAATCCTGGGGGATGACGTATCGGTTAATGTCCTTAGTTCCAAACAATAGAATCTATTCTGAATAATCTAAGTAAAAAAAAGTTCTTATCAGAGGTTATTATCAGCACGAACAGAGTCAGGTTTCAGAGATACACCAATAGGTTCAGCACTCAGTCACAATACAGAGGCTTCTCTAATGAAAACACTACTGGTACATCTGTTAGAATTTTGTCTGGGCACCAGAAGAACTTCCCCTGCAGAGCCGGAAGAACTACGTATCTCCAAAAACACTTGTGGAAGATCCCTATATACAGTTTCACTCTTAAATCTCTATATATTATAGGTTGGCACAAAAGCAATTGCAGTTTTTGCCATTACCTTTCATGGCAAAAAACCACAATTATTTTTGCACCAATTTAAGATTATCTGGGCAAGTGTGATTGGTAGAATCTAGGCCATGTGCTGCCAAGGAGTCTGAGGACGCATGTGTTCTGTGTTTTCCTTGGGAAGGTGGGATTCATAATGTGCAAAATATCCACTATATAAGAATATTATATTAAAAGATGTTGGACAGCCTCAAATGAAGAATGTAATTCCTATCAGGTGAAACAGGAAGTAGTAAAATTGCTTCACATCTGCCTCTCACCATGTTAACACACGTGCATGTGTAAATGTCATTACTTTGGTGTTCTGCAATCTTAAGGAAGTCTATCTTCTCCTATTGCTAGTGCTAACTTTCTTCATTGAAGGTAGCTTTATACCATAGAAACTCTTTCTTGGTTCCTTTATTCTCTAACTGGAGCTGTCCTCCATTTGTATATGTTTGATTTAAAATCTGATGAGATTTTTGGGGGGAAGCAGTTCTGCTAAAATGAGATAAAACAAAAAAGAGTACAGCATGCTTTGGACGACTGAAAGGGTTCTTGGTCTCTTAATATTTTAAGTAGTCAAAGTGCTTCCAGGAAGCACACGAATAAAGGAAAATATGTGTGAAGTGAAGTGGAACATTTCTACCCTGGCTATGAAAAAAGATTAGTGAAATTCAGGCTCTATTGTATTCCTTTTAGATTCCTACACTTAGAACCCAGTTCTTGGTACTTCCATAAGCGGATGGATTTAGGAGCAGCAGTCTACAAAGATGCTATCTCTCATAGCTTAGCTACTGTAGGGGAAAGGAACCCAGGGGCCTCTTTGTAGGACTTTCAAGCATCACATCACAGAACAAATGCATGCTTCCCTCCAGTTTTTCCTTCCCTTTTCCTTTGCAGAGGTAGGTGAGGGCCTGTTAAACATCAGTCAGTATGTCTTGAGCTTTACAGAATTTCCACTGGGATGTTAAATTCTTCATCCAAGCACATTTTTTCTTGAATTTTTTCCCCCTTTCACTTTCATGATGAGCTAGGGAAAAGCCTGCTAATCATCTCTCACAGCCCCTAAATTTTCCAAAGTAGTATATCAAATATATCATTTTCTAAGCAGACAGTTTTCTAAGAAAGGAATGATTTAACCATAGAATAATTGTATTACACGAAAGATTTTACTATGTTCTTAATACAAGAAAAATGACTCTGCCACGACTACGGAGTCCAAATATGGACAGGAATGCTGGGAAGAGAAACAGTAATTCACTGAGATATCACATTATCAGGTGTTCTCTTTCCAGTAGAATTTTCCAAGGTGGACTTAGCTGAATCTTCCATGACTCATAAAGGGGCAAGAGAAGTAATTACAGTTGAGGGCAAGCAGTTCAGGCATAGAGACTGAAGAGAAAAAAGATAAACTGTAGAGAGAATTTAAGGAGCAGAAGAAATAATTTATCATTCCAGGCAGACTCTCTGCCCTACAACATTAACTATTTTGTCTGCGGCAGACTTAACTGCTTCCTCTGCACCCTTTCAAGTCCATTCAGGATTTGTGTCTTTGAGTTTCCAACACAGCTGAGATTGGAGACAGTTTTGGATCTCTCCTGGAAAGAAAATAGATGTGGCCTGCTATTGTGTGACTCAGTTTAATTTGCTGGAATTGTGGAAGGATCACCAAATAAAGAAATGAAAATAAATGGTTCTGAAGTGCTGATATTTCAAATGCTGTAGCAGATGAGTGGGTAGGTTATCTTGACACAGTGGCTCTCTTTTGACACGTACTCTCAATCACAGAGTAGAATGGCTTGCTCTGTACGATGGGTAGAGATAGCAATATTTCATTTGAATGGTTCAAAGAATAATGTGGCCAGAAATAGGTTAGGAAACCAGAAGAAATGGTTGAGTCTAAGACATTTAGTCACTTGATGGAATGCTGTTGATGCCGCTATCAGTGGGAGAGTTGTTTACTGCTGACTAGCTTGATCAGCTGATACTTTGACAATGAATATTTGTGACATCATCCCATAGCTTCTGTTATATATATTTTTTTCCAGTGGTAGTTTAATGTAGCTATTTCTTAATAGGAAAAAAAAAAAAGCTTTCTGAGTTGAAAAACTAAAATAGCCTACTTTCATGAGCAATATGAATGTATGAATTTAAATATTCCATTATTTCACAAATTCATTAAAAAAATTTTTTTGGAGGCCCATGAACAGCCAAGGGTGAGGTATTAGGTTGGTGCAAAAGTAATTGAGATGTTTGCCATTAAAAGTAATTGCAAAAACCACAATAACTTTTGTACCAGTGTAATAGTTTGGCTGTAGTAGGATGAATGTTTACATTTTAATAACATAGTGATACAACTTGGTCTCTAAAGTGTCATCCTACAGTGTTTCTGTTTTGCCACATGTTTTCACCATTTAGACCAGTTGGGGAAACCCAAACTCCGAAGAGATGAGTGAGCACTATTGGGAAATGTACTCATCTTTCTGGAAGGAGCTTCTTGTGAATATTCTCAAGTTATGATAAGATAAAAAAAGTAAAATAGTAAATTTCATGCGCGTCCCTGTGAAGAGACCACCAAACAGGCTTTGTGTGAGCAACATGGCTGTTTATTTCACCTGGGTGCAGGCGGGCTGAGTCTGAAAAGAGAGTCAGCTAAGGGAGTTAAGGGTGGGGCCGTTTTATAGGATTTGGGTAGGTAAAGGAAAATTACAGTCAAAGGGGGTTTGTTCTCTGGCGGGCAGGAGTGGGGGTCGCAAGGTGCTCAGTGGGGGAGCTTTTTGAGCCAGGATGAGCCAGGAAAAGGACTTTCACAAGGTAATGTCATCACTTAAGGCAGGGACCGGCCATTTACACTTCTTTTGTGGTGGAATGTCATCAGTTAAGGCGGGGCAGGGCACATTCACTTCTTTTGTGATTCTTCAGTTACTTCAGGCCATCTGGGCATATACGTGCAAGTCACAGGGGATGCGATGGCTTGGCTTGGGCTCAGAGGCCTGACATTCCTGCCTTCTTATATTAATAAGAAAAATAAAACAAAATGGTGTTGAAGTGTTGGGGCGGCGAAAATTTTTGGGGGGTGGTATGGAGAGAGAATGGCGATGTTTCTCAGGGCTGCTTTAAGCGGGATTAGGGGCGGCGTGGGAACCTAGAGTGGGAGACATTAAGCTGAAGGGAGGTCTCGTGGTAAGGGGTGACATTGTGGGGATGTTAGAAGAAACATTTGTCGTATAGAATGATTGGTGATGGCCTGGATACGGTTTTGGATGAATTGAGAAACTAAATGGAATAACAGAAGGAGAAAAACAGGTATAAAAGGTCTAAGAATTGGGATGACTCAGGATATCTGATTAGAGAGTGCCTAAGGAGATTCAGCATAGTCCTGCCAGCAAAGATTATTTATTTACTTCAAGAGTTAAGAGTGGCAGTTTGGGGATAGCACCAGGAGATATCAGCTGTGATGGCTTGGAAAAACAGTGTAAACCGGCAGTGTAAACAAGAGCAGGGCATGTATGAGTAGTTGAGAACGGTAAATAGGAGTATGACTAGATGGAAGATAGTAGGGATGACAAGTTTTTTTGGGGGTACAGTCTAAGTTGGTCTGGTGTCTGGAATGAGACTAGGGCCTAATAAAAAGGAGCATCTCTACAGGAGCTCAAATGGGCTGTACCCTGTAGCATTCCGAGGATAAGCCTGAATTCTGAGAAGGGAAAGTGGTAAAAGTATTGTCCAGTCCTTTTTAAGTTGGTGGCTGAGCTTGGTGAGGTGTGTTTTTAAAAGACCTTTAGTCCATTCTACTTTTCTTGAAGATGGAGGACCGTAAGGGATATAAATGTTTCACTGAATACTAAGAGCCTGAAAAACTGCTTGGCTGATTTGACTAATAAAGGCTTGTCTGTTATCAGACTGTATTGAGGTGGGAAGGCTAAACTGAGGAATTATGTCTGACAGAAGGGAAGAAATGACTGCGGTGGCCTTCTCAGACCCTGTAGGAAAGGCCTCTAATTATCCAGTGAAAGTATCTACCTAGACTAAGAGGTATTTTAGTTATCTGACTCAGGGCATGTTGAGTAAAGCTAATTTGCCAGTCCTGGGTGGGGCAAATCCTCGAGCTTGATGTGTAGGGAAGGGAGGGGGCCTGAATAATCCCTGAGGAGTAGTAGAATAGCAGATGGAACACTGAGAAGTTATTTCCTTGAGGATAGATTTCCATGATGGAAAGGAAATGAGAGGTTCCAAGAGGCAGGCTACTGGCTTGTACTATAGCATAACCTGCCTTTGCTGGTGGGTGGCAATTAGGCCTGGTGGAACCGCCATCAATAAATCAAGCGTGATCAGGGTGAGGAACAGGAAAGAAGGAAATTTGGAGAAATGGGGTGAATGTCAGGTGGATCAGAGAGATACAATCATGGGGGTCAGGTGTGGTATCAGGAACAATGTGGGAGGCCGGAATGAAGTCTGGGCCAGGAAAAACGGTAATTGTGGGAGACTCAACAAAGAGTGAGTATAGCTGAAGGAGCCGGGAAGCAGAAAGTATATGCGTCAGGTATGAGGAAGAAAATAGATTTTGGAAGTTATGAGAACTGTAGAGAGTGAGTTGAGCATAGTTTGTGATTTTGAGGGCCTCTAAAAGTATTAAGGCAGTGGCAGCCGCTGCACGCAGACATGAGGGCTAGGCTAAAACAGTAAGATCAAGTTGTTTGGACAGAAAGGCTACAGGGTGTGGTCCTGGCTCTCGTGTAAGAATTCTGACCACGCTAACCATGCCTAGGAAGGAAAGGAGTTGTTGTTTTGTAGAAGGTGCTGGGGTTTGAGAGATCAGTCGGACACGATTGGCAGGGAGAGCATGTGTGTTTTTATGAGAATTATGCCGAGATAGGTAACAGATGAGGAAGAAATTTGGGCTTGATTGAAGTAATGGGGGCTGTCTGTGAAGCTTTGCAGTAGTACAGCCTAGGTAATTTGCTGAGCTTGATGGGTGTCAGGGTCAGTCCAAGTGAAAGTGAAGAGAGGCTGGGACTAAGGGTGCAAAGGAATAGTAAAGAAAGCATGTTTGAGATCTAGAACAGAATAATGGGTTGTAGAGGCAGGTATTGAGGATAGGAGAGTATATGGGTTTGGCACCACGGGGTGTATAGGCAAAACAATTTGGTTGATAAGGAGCAGATCCTGAACTAACTTGTAAGGCTTGTCTGGTTTTAGGACAGGTAAAATGGGGGAATTGTAAGGAGAGTTTATAGGCTTTAAAAGGCCATGCTGTAGCAGGCGAGTGATAACAGGCTTTAATCTTTTTAAAGCGTGTTGCGGGATGGGATATTGGCATTGAGTGGGGTAAGGGTGATTAGGTTTTAACGAGATGGTAAGGGGTGCATGATCGGTTGCCAAGGAGGGAGTAGAGGTATCTTATACTTGTGGGTTAAGGTGGAGGGATACAAGAGGAGGACGCAAAGGAGGCTTTGGATTGGGAAGAAGGGCGGCAATGAGATGTAGCTGTAGTCCAGGAATAGTCAGGGAAGCAGATAATTTAGTTAAAGTGTCTCAGCCTAATAAGGGAACTGGGCAGGTGGGGATAACTGAAAGGAGTGCTTAAAAGAGTATTGTCTAAGTTGGCACCAGAGTTGGGGAGTTTTAAGAGGTTTAGAAGCCTGGCTGTCAATACCCACAACAGTTATGGAGGCAAGGGAAACAGGCCCTTGAAAAGAAGGTAACGTGGAGTGGGTAGCCTCCGTATTGATTAAGAAGGGGATGGGCTTACCTTCCACTGTGAGAGTTACCGGAAGCTCAGCGTTTGTGATGGTCTGGGGGCTTCTGAGGCGATCGGGCAGTGTCAGTCTTCAGCCGCTAAGCCGAGAAGATCTGGGAAGGAGTCAGTCAGAGAGCCTTGGGCCAGAGTTCCAGGGTCTCTGGGAGTGGCTGCCAGGTGAGTTGAACAATCTGATTTTCAGTGGGGTCCCACACAGATGGGACATGGCTTAGGAGGAATCCTGGGCTGCGGCCATTCCTTGGCCCAGTGGCCAGATTTCCGGCACGTGTAGCAAGCTCCTGTGGGAGGAGGTTCTGGAGGAATGCCTGGCCGCTGCGGTTCAGGCCTTTGGAAGTTCTTGTGTGCTGGAGATGTGGCTGGGGTTTGTCTCACAGTGGAGGCAAGGAATTGCAACTTTTTTATATTATTGTACACCTTGAAGGCAAGGTTAATTAAATCCTTTTGTGGGGTTTGAGCGCCGGAATTTAATTTTTGGAGTTTTATTTAATGTCGGGAGCAGATTGGGTAATAAAATGTATTTTGAGAATAAGACGGCCTTTTGACCTTTTAGGGTCTAGGGCTGTAAAGTGTCTCAGGGTTGCTGCCAAACGAGTCATGAACTGGGCTGGATTTTTATATTTGATGAAAAAGAGCCTAAACGCCATCTGATTTGGGATAAAGAAAAAGGAACATTAACCTTGACTATGCCTTTGGCTCCAGCCACCTTTTTAAGAGTAAATTGCTGGGCAGGTGGGGGAGGGCTAGTCACAGAACAAAACTGTAAGCCCGACCAGGTATGAGGAGGGGAGGTGATAAAAAGATTATAGGGTGGAGGGCGGAGGCTGAGGAAGAATTGGGACCTAGCTCGGCCTGGCGAGGAGGGGAGAGGTCAGATGGGTCTGTAGAAAAGGAAGATTACAAAGACTCAGTGACACTTGGCGTTGGGACTGAGGGGACAGGTGGGAGGGAAAGTAGGAAGATTTGGGATGAGTTGCACTGGGTACAGAGACTAGGAAGGGACTGATGTGTAAAAGAATGCCTGGACGTCAGGCACCTCAGACCGTTTGCCTGTTTTATGACAAGAATTATTTAGATCTTGCAGGATGGAAAAATTCAAAGTGCCACTTTCTGGCTATTTGGAACTACTGTCGAGTTTGTATTGGGGTCAAGCGGCATTGCAGAAGAAAATAAGGCATTTAGGTTTTAGGTCAGGTGTGACTTGAAGAGGTTTTAAGTTTTTGAGAACACAGGCCAAGGGAGTAGAAGGAGGAATGGAGGGTGGAAGGTTGCCTATAGTAAAGGAAGCAAGCCTAGAGAAAAGAGAGAGTAGAGAAACGGAGGGAAGGGGTTCAGGGGTTCTTACCTTCCAGAAAAGTGGGAAAAGGGGTTGGGGCACAGAGATAAGAGGTTGGGGTGCAGAAATAAGGGATGGGGTGCAGAAATAAGGGGTCAGGGCATGGAAATAAGGGGTCGGGGCATGGAAATAAGGGATTGGGGCACAGAGATACGAGGTTGGGGTGTGGAAATAAGGGATTGGGGTTCTTGCCCCCTAGAAAAGCGGGACTTGCCGCTAAGGGTGAAAGAGAAGGGGTTGAGGGGTACTTGCCCCTGCCCCAGAAAAGTGGGACTTGCCGCTAAGGGTGAAAGAGAAGGGGTTGAGGGGTACTTGACCCTTCCCCAGGAAAGCAGAGAAGGGGTAGAGACAAGGAGAGAAGGGGTTGGGGTACTTGCCCCTTCCCCAGAAAAGCGGGACTTGCCGCTAAGGGTGAAGGACCAAGGCAGGCGTCCCTGCGTGGTCTGACACCTTTGAAACGTGGGTGAATAATCAGAGAGGCATCCCTGCAATGATTGAACACCAAGGGAAGGCTGCCTTCCCAGTCCGTGACCGGCGCCAGAGTTTTGGGTCCACAGATAAAACGTGTCTCCTTTGTCTCTCCCAGAAAATGAAAGGAATTGAAATTAAGAGAAGGGAGAGATTGAAGAGTGGAAAGAAGAAAGTGGTTGAGGGACAGAGAGAGGTTGGAGAAGAGAGTAAGAAGAGGCCGCTTACCTGATTTAAAATTGGTGAGATGTTCCTTGGGCTGGTGGGTCTGAGGACCTGAGGTCGTAGGTGGATCTTTCTTATGGAGCAAAGAACAGGAGGATGGGATTGATCTCCCAAGGGAGGTCCCCTGATCCGAGTCACGGCACCAAATTTCCTGCGCGTCCTTGTGAAGAGACCACCAAACAGGCTTTGTGTGAGCAACATGGCTGTTTATTTCACCTGGGTGCAGGCGGGCTGAGTCTGAAAAGAGAGTCAGCTAAGGGAGATAAGGGTGGGGCCGTTTTATAGGATTTGGGTAGGTAAAGGGAAATTATAGTCAAAGGGGGTTTGTTCTCTGGCGGGCAGGAGTGGGGGTCGCAAGGTGCTCAGTGGGGGTGCTTTTTGTGCCAGGATGAGCCAGGAAAAGGACTTCCAGAAGGTAATGTCATCACTTAAGTCAGGGACCAGCCATTTACACTTCTTTTGTGGTGGAATGTCATCAGTTAAGGCGGGGCAGGGCACATTCACTTCTTTTGTGATTCTTCAGTTACTTCAGGCCATCTGGGCATATACGTGCAAGTCACAGGGGATACGATGGCTTAGCTTGGGCTCTGAGGCCTGACAGTAAATACTTAAATATTTGACATTTTAAGAGAAAATTATTTGTTGGTGAAATATCTTTGCATAGTTAAATGCAGATAATTAAATGATTAAATTAGGCTGTATTTGGTAGCTGAAGAATAGATTTATTATATAATATCAGCTAGCATTTGAACAACCCTGTGTTATGTGAACCAACTTCAACACATGGCAATGAGGTGAGGGAATCCTACGCACTGTTTTGGCATATCAACTTGCCCTGTATACTTCTCCTATCACAGGGTGCATCAGCTCTACTTCTAGAATGTTGATATCCTTCCTTCCTTCCTTCCTTCCTTCCTTCCTTCCTTCTTTCCTTTGTTCTTTCCTTCGTTCCCTTCTTTCCTTCTTTCCTTCTCTCTTTCTCTCTCTTGAATACTGCTTATGACCAAACTTCAAAGGATGTAGTTATTACATGTGTAACATTTGACAACATCTGTGTTTTCCAGTTGGGACAATCTATGAAATTGCTAATACCCCCTGATTCCTGGCTGGCATATTCAACTGCAAAATAGAAACAACCTTTCCTGCTTCATTTTGGTAGTTTCTTTTCTGGTCACAAGTTGAGACAGGAAGTGCTGGAGCCCATGGAAAATTGAGAAAAAATCCAGACAAAACAAACAATGATGCTTTTGAATTTTAGAAACTTTGCAAATATTTAGTTTATGTCAAGTTTTGGTTACTGAGAAGACTGTTCATATGGACCCAACTTTCTTAAAAATAAGACAAAAATTGGAAGCCATCAATATCTTTAACTTATATTTAATCTTAGATCAATTAAAATATCAATTATTGGTACATAATGTTCATATGAGGAATTTTGCTTGAAAATTCAAGATAATAGTTTAAACGTGCACCAAATAGTTTGTAGAAATAACCAGTTTAAAATGTAAGAACAAGTAATGATAATGGTACCTAAACATTTGGGTATTTATAACCTTTCTTCTTAAGTTCATCTGCTTCTTTTTTTGTTTTATTTGGTTTTGTTTTAATCTGGCATTACATTGTAGACATTCAGAAGAAAAAGATTAATATATTTCTTCCAGTTTCCCCCTTCTGCCTAATAGTCTCAATTGAACTGATCCCTTGCTTCATTGTCAGAAGATGATTCTTGGTCCCTGTATTTATTATAAAAGCTCAACAGTAAAATGGAAAACTTTAGACATAATTGCAGAAGCTACCAGAAATATTAGTGGATATTCAGTTTCACATGTCACATTTATTTTCAACTTGGGTCATTTCTTAAATACAATATGAATAACACAGATGAGTTTTCTATTCTCTTTAGGAATAAAAGTTTTCCCTTTGAAGCTTTACTATAGCTTGTCTGATCTGGAAAATTATCTGTCTATATCTAAGGCTAAGACATTGCCTAGTTCAAATTAGCTTTAAAACACTACACAAAACAGTATGACAGAGTGGCCTGAAGCAGAGGATAATTTTTCAGTTGAAAAATGGAACTAAGCAGCTTCCTAAGTGGAATCAGAGAGCGACAGAGAGGTCAAGGCAAGCACAAGTGCTCTTGAAACAAGGAGTGACCCTTTGAGGGTGGCTTGGGCACTTGTTGAGACTCCAGACACACTGCAAGCAGAAAACAACATTAGCCCAGACAGGATGTATGAGTCAAGGATATCTAAAGAAGATGCAAAACGTAGCATCCAGGCATTTGCAACTTTCCAATTGCCGGGCTCCACTTGCGGTCCGCGCTGCTGGTTGGAGCATACTGTAAAGGAAATATAAACAGTTTAAATTAAGTACCAGAGCTAAATCTCTCACATGACTTTCTGAAAAGATGAGGAATGAAATTATCAGCACAATTAGAAGTCTTGAGTCTGCTGGGTCAGGGGACAGGAGAGGAATTCTTGGCACAAAAGAACAGGAAGCACAGCAACTCGGCCATATATGGAGGAGGGGTGAGCCTTTCAAGCAAAATTACTATGACCTCAAAGCTTCTGCTACTCAGACAGCTGTATTGAATTCTGTTCAATGCCAAAGTAGTACCTTAAGCCAGTTTATCTGGTTTGGCTTTGAAGTGGCAATAAAAACCAGGAGCCTCCTGACCTGGGTCATTTCTAAAAGGAGTTGTTTTCTTTCAGCTTTTCCAATTTTAAGAGCAGTTACACTTACAGGTGTGTGTGTGAAAGAGTGTGGTAAAGGGAACATTTGCTAACACGGAAAATGTGAAAGAAGTCTAGGAATCTTCCAAATGTATTGTAGATTTGGACTTTAAGCAATCTCAATATGAACAGTGAATACAATGAAATAAAGCAAACATAATTTGCAATCAGATGCAATAGACAAACATGTTTAGACCAACCTCGCTGATTTTATTCTTTAGTGACTTGTTGCATCCAAATGGACTTCTTGGATTGGAAACTCCATTCACATGGAAAGAGAGTAAACAGCGCATGCAAAGTCCCATTTTGCAAGCAGAAGTCTTTCAATGTTTTGGCAAGTAACTTTGCTATTTGGATGCATTCTACTCCAGCTAGTCCTTCTGGGAAACCTAAGGCATCATTCTTACCTACTGTTGAAAAGAAGGAAAGGCACCATTTCTGAGATGGTCCAAAATCGACTTTGCAAAGAGTTATTCAACAGTAGTAGTTTTTGGAAAATGTAATAGCCATCATTTGTCCTTGTAGGGAACAATGTTCCACTCCATATATTTTATAGGTTTTTTTTCAGCTCATTTTATTGCTGCTAAAAGTATACTGGCCAGTCCATTATGCATTATAGTGGGCAAAATAATAGGTGACAATAACATCAGGTTAGTTTCTAGGATTTTTTAAAATTAGCTTTATGAAAATATAACAAAGTAAGAGGTTAAATTAATTAGCTAAAATAAATTCTTTGTATTTAACTGAGAAATTCAATGTCTAAGGAGTTCCAGAGCATTCTTCCATATGGTCCACTTTACCTGGACAAGAAGATCCTATGCAGATGCAAACCAGACTGTCTTATCACTAATCCCATTTCTTTAAGACCCTTTATAAAAATAATGTACGCTTGCGGCTTAAAGTCAAATTCCTTTAACTGAAGACAAGCTTGGATTGGGAGCATTTCCTGTGCCCTGCCAGTTGGTGTAGTATGTTTTATTGGATAGCAGAACTCTGTAATGCATTTCAACTCACTCGATAAAGTCTATCCTGTTCTCTAAGAGAAGAGTCCATTGTTTTTGGTTATTTGCCTTCCTAATCATAAACAATGTAAAATTGGTTATAATTTATTGCTGTAAAGTTTGCATTACCCTCTTGAGCAATTGCTAATGTTCCCCTTTTTCCACTTCTTCCTCATCCTCATATTAATAGACAATATAAGCAACTTCCTACAAAAATACTTTCAGGATTTCTTCTAATACATTTATTTCCCATAAAAATTACACCAAAAGCACATTAAAATAATCAGCACAGCTGACTGATTTTCATTAGGCTGCTTCTAGATTATTTTAGGTTTTGACGATGAAAATCATTTACTCTCTTTGTGGCTTTAAGCACAGGTCTGCCTAATGACAGACAGATGCTGGGACTTGGATGCCGACTTTCTCTGTATATGCAGAGAATCTCTGCTGACCTAGAAATGAGGTAGTTGTTGCCTATATACTCTGTGGCAGACTCCTGGAGAAGTCATTCAATAGGAAACTTAAAAAAAGAAAAAAAAACCTTTACCCAGAAGATATTTACTACAATAAGATTCAAATTACCAAAGATTTTATCTTCTGGACTATTATTTTTTGAACCTCATTTTGATTCTGCACCTCAATATCATTGAGCAGAGAGGAGTTTTTTTTTCCCCCCATGTAAGCACTAGATTTATTTTTGAAACAAATTAGAATTCATTGCAGAAGGGAGTACTGTGGGAGTTTGGAGTGTAGTATTTTGGCAAGAAGCACATGAGAAACTTTCACCCTGGGTATTTCTGGTCCCACTGGAGAGGAATACCAGGAATGCGGTGCCTCAATCTGTTCTCACAAGACTTGTGGCTTGAAATTCACACACCCACAAGGTTTAGATAAGAGTCTACCCTGAGCTTGGTCCTTGTGGATGCTTCTCTAAGGCTTAAGAAGCATTTCCACCTTTCGATGGGTCTCCATCCCCATCTAGGCTGATATTTGTGCAGTGCAATAGTTGTTTTCTCATTAAGAAGAGGAAACAATGAGAGTGATGGAGGAAAAGTCAATGAAAAGCATGCCCTGCTTTGCGTTAAAAAAAATTTCTGGTAAAAATGTCAGTATACAACACATAAAAATTTCATTGACCTGATTCTACTCTTTCCTACTTTTGTTCCCACCCTACCAATAATCCTGTTTTGGAAGAAGGCTGCTTTACATAAACTCTAAATCTTATTTTCTTATGAGTGTTTTCTCGTGAGTCTTCTCACTCCTTTCTTTTGCTTCATTGATTTTGTAGAAAGGCTGCTTCAGAAATCAGCCACCTGCTCAGATTGCCTAGATGATAAAATTAAGCTCTCAACTGGTGTGAGCAGAAGTTTCAATAAAAAAATTCAATTCAGAATTCTACTCAAAGGTATATTGAGTTTAGACCATGGGATATGCTTTAGCTTCAGAACTAATTGCTTCTCAGGGAATCAATTATGTTAGGTTGATCAAATGTGACTGTAGGGGGACATGTATGTTTATTGACCAAGAGTTATATGGCAGGCACAATACTAGCTGCCAAAATAATGGGAATGGCTCACATTTATATTGTGATTACAGTGTACGGTCATGTTCTAAGCACATTGATCCTTACTACAAATCAGAGAAAATGTTGCTGTTGCTTTTTCTATTTTGTAGATGAGGAAACAGAGAGGGGTTAAAACATCTTTACCAGGACACACAGCTGTATGTAGCAGGACTGGGGTTTATACCTAGCATTTTGGCTCCAGAATTTATGCTCTTAATCACTCTACTGTGGTGTGTTTGTGTGTGTGTATGTGTGTTCGTGGGTGTGTATGTATTTTGCAAACAGTTTTATGAATCATTGTTTGAAAGAGGATATTTATTTTTGCCCCTGTTCAGTTATTTTCTGTTACCAACTGTATTACAGTCAGTACAGACTGTTTTGGTGTGCAACACATTACATCAAATCTTACTGGTTTGAAAAAAATGAATATTTCTGATCAGATCATTTCTCTGAGTTAAGAATCAGAGCACACCTACCTCGCTGGGTTTTCTGCCTCAAAGTTTCTTATAGTGCTGCAGTTTAAGTGTTGGCAGGAGCTTCAGTCTTATCTGAAGACGTAACTGGGAGAGGATCCTTCCAAACTCATTCTTGGTGGTTGTCAGGCTTCAGTTCCTCACAGGCTGTTGTTCTGAGGGCCTCAGTCTCTTGCTGGCTGCTGGCCAGGGTCCTCCTTCTGGTACTTGCCATGTGGGCTCCCCGTAGGCAGCTCACAACATGTCAGCTGGCATAAAGTATGATTTATTACAGCAGATATAAAATGTTTGTGTAGAATAAACCTGTTTTACTAAAATAGGTTAATTCTGTGGTGTTTATTCATTTGAACATAATTTGTATATTTTAAAGGCCCATGCAGTCATCTGTTTGGTAAAGGTGTTAGAAGGTAGTGTTTACTAGCAACATGCATGTTTAGAAAGTCTTTTCTTAGTCTTCAAGTAGCAGAGTCTACACTGTAGACCACACAACAGGTGTGAAATCAGCCTTTGTTAACTAACTGAATTTCTCAATCAAAACAAATCAATTCCACTGTATTTTAGATTATAAGTGAGTTATAGTCGGTAAGGATAAAGATTATTTCTTTATTTGTTTACATTTATATATATATAGGTTAAATACATAATTAAAAGGAAATATTTAAAGTTCTGACTCTTTCAAGTATTCAAGCATTGCTAATGTGCTTTAACCTTATTCATCCTGCACTCTAGATACATTTTTTTTTAAAAAAAAATGTTTTTTGTGTGTGTGTGATCACAGCATAGCCATTTATAAAAATAAGTTTCCAACTTTCCAGAGAACACAGGTGACAAGTGTTATTTGATGTATAAAGTAAGAGTATCATCAAGATGTTTACCTTCTTTCATTTATTGAGAATTTCTATGGATGAAGATTTATGCTCAGCTCTGTGGAGGATTCAAAAATAAATCCAGTCTCTGCCTCGTGGAAAGATTTAGAGCATTGAAATCAGAGAAACACAAAGTAATGTACTATAATTTCTCTGGGCTTCAGTTTTCTCATCTGTGTAACAAAACAACATTAATACTAATTTAATGTTTTATAAAACACTTAAGCTACATAATATATGTGATGTTTCTTGAACGTAATGAAGGTTTAATAAACACAACTGCTCACCTTGCATCTCTATGGCCATGTCTACTTGTCACTATAGGAGCTAGTAGGGGAGAGAGGACAATGGCTCAGATAATTGAAGCACAAGGTAGAGAGTGGCAAATGCCATATGAAAAGTAGATAAATTAGGAGTTTAGAAAATGAAGATATGTTTTTTTGGAATTGTTTCAAGATGATGGACTGAGCATATTACACAGACTCTGGCTCCCCCAATAGACCTTTAGAAAATATGGAAAATATATTGTTTGTGGAAAGTTAAGTTAAAAATGAGTTTAAAATAATTTGGATTGTTGTAAAGGATAGATTTTTTTTTCTGTATCTTTTGTAAGTTTGAGTTTCTGCCTATCCTGTGGGAAGGAGTCTTCATATTGATGGTCACTCTAATTCTGTCTTGGATGACTTAATAAAGTTTTCCTCCTAGCTCCAAAACAAGGTATAAGGACTGTAAATATTTATTGCAAAAATGAGAAAAATAAAAATAACACAGTAAATGCCAAACAAGTAAAACAAATATATAATTTTGCGTCTAGATAATTTATAAACTCCATATAATTAGAAATAAAAATATTGACCTCTGAATAGACAACCCATGGATTGGGAGAAAATATTTGCAAAGCATACGTCTGATAAGGGCTAATATCAAAAATATATCAGGAATTCAAACAACTGAATAGCAAGGAAACAAAACCCAATCAAAAAATGTGCAAAGAAACTAAATAGATACATTTCAAAAGAGGATATACAAATGGTCATCAGATACAAGACACTATGCTTTTCATCGCTGGTCATCAGGAAAATGCAAATGAAAACCATAATGAAATATTATCACACACCTGTTAGAATGGGTATTACCAAAAAACAAGAGATGTTAAGTGTTGGCGAGGAGGTGGAGAAAAGGAAACCTTTGTACATTATTGGTAGGAAAGTAAATTAATATAGTTATGATGAAAACCGTTATGGAGGTTCCTTAGAAAATAGAACTATCATATGTTCCAGTAATCCCCTTTCTGGGTATATGACCAAGGGAATTGAAATCAGTATGCTGAGGAGATATTTGCACTCCCATGTTTATTGCAGCATTATTCACAATAGCCAAGACATGGAAGCAACCTCTCCATCATCAGATGAATGAGTAAAGTTTGGTATACATACCTAATGAAGTATTACTCAGCCTTGTAAAAGGGGGAAATCATGTCATTTACAACAGCATGGATGAACCTGGAGGACATTATGCTAAGTGAAAAAAGCTGGCACACAAAGACAAATACAGTATGACCCCATTTATATGTAGAATTGAAAAAAAAGTTGAACTCCTGGAAGTAGAGGGTAGAGGTCTTACGAGAGACTTGGGGAGGGGAAGGTGATGGAGATAGGAGAGATGTTGATCAAAAGGTACAGTTTCCAGAAGAGAGGAGGAAAAATCTTTAGGGATCTATTACACAGAATACTGACTATAAAAATTATAATGCATTGTATTTTTTAAAAATTTATCTTTGAAGTATAACCCACAATCTTCTGTCATTTTCAATTTTATAACAAATATAAGCATATGTGCAGTATGAGAAATAAATTTGAATTACAGCTTAAATCCATGTCCTGAGAATATACGACAAAATATAAAAGACTCTTTGCCGATTTTTTGTGTCCAATTCCTGTGCATTGCTGCAATATGAGTAGAGAGCTGAAAGAGTGTCTTTTTTGTCCTTGAAATAGATGTGGACAGCTTTCATATTTAAGTCTCTTTTCTCTATAGCTATCCTGTCTTAGGAATAGAAAAGCTGATTGTTCAAGCTGATTGTCAATAGTAAAGGCTGACTGAATATATAATATTGTGCTTATGGTTCCTTCCATGCATTGATGGTGGTACGATGACTATCTTTTGTACTGTTGTTGAGAGAGCATCAACAATGAGGTGTAATTTGAAACTTAGAAGCACTGCTGTTTATATATCTGAAACTTATGAAAGATGGACGGATACTTAGGTGATCACAGTGATGATGATGATGATGATGATGATGATGATGACGACAATAATAACCATTTTGAACACTTGCTATATCTGCTGGGCAGTTTTCCAATTGCTTTAGATGCAATTTAATCTCCACATTACCTTACATAGTAGTTTCTGTTATTGTTTCTCATTTCACAGATGAGGAAACTGAGTCAACAAAAATTTTAGGATTTGTCTTTAACTCATAGATTTGGTAAGTAGCATACCTAAGAGTTGGTTTCCATAGCCTAATCTTGGACATGTAGTAAACTCTAGACCTCTATACTATACAGCCTCTCACGTAAGGGTTCTAGGTATTAGATTATGTGAGGAATTGATCTCACTAAAATTTCTCTTGGGCTTGGATCTGTATTTCTCATATTTATTTTTCTTACTAATACTAAATATTCCTTCGATGTAGTATATTTTTACATACTAGACTAGGGAAATAGCAAGGTACCATTTTGATTTGTCAGTGTGGGTGATCATGCATCAAAACTATAATTTACCTCTCCCTAACATTTACAACTTTCATCCAACTGGGGAAGGGGAGAACGCAAACTAATAGCAGCAACTTCTCAACCTTGAAACAAGACATGGAATGCTCTGCTTTTGTGAGATCTAGGTGATATTGAAATTTGTCTTTCCATTTGAGCCCAGCTCAAGTATTCTTTATGAATTTGTAATATGCAGTCAAAAGGTGCCTTCCTGAGCCTACTTGGAAAACAGTGTTTATGGCTGGCTCTCTTTATATATAACCTCCTCTTCATACTTGCATATCTGTGGAAGATCTCTCTCTCTCTCTCTCTCTTACTCTGGGTTTAGTCTTTTCTAGTAGAAGAGTTATGCCTCTAAATACTTAGAAATGTATTTTGTACTATTGTTCTATGTTCAGAATTCTTTATTTGAGATATGCTACATGTCAAAATTAAAGGCAACTACAAGTATATCAGTATTTATATTACCTACAAATGAAATAAAACTCCAAGATAAATTTTGTCAAACTGGATTTTAAAAATAAAGCCCAACTATATGCTACCCACATATATACATATATTCCAATTATATACCTAAAATTGAGAGTAAAAAGATGGAAATATATACCATAAGAATGTTTAAAAAGATAGATGCTATAGCTATGCTAATGCCAGACTCATTAGAGTTTAATGTAAGAAGTATTAATGGACATAAAGGGTGCCACTTCATAAAGTCAAAATGATCAATTCCAAAGGAAGTTATGACAATCTTAAACCAGTTTGCCTCAAGTAAAATTATTCAAAAGGAGAAATAAAACTATTGTTATTGCAGATGACATGATTATATGCATAGAAAATCCAAAGTCATCTACATATAACCTATTAGACTAAATAAATGAATCAAGCAAAGGTCAGTGGATGTACTGTAAACACATAAGAATCAATTTTATGTGTGTGTGTGTGTGTGTGTGTGTATGCCATGAACAAAGAGAAATTATTGAAAAATAGCATTATAAGACCATAAAAAATGCTGAACAGCTAAGGACATAACTACAAAAATTGTGCATGACTTCTATATAGAAAAGTATGAACAATTACTGAAAAAAAAAAACTAAGGAAGACACAAATAAATGGAGCTATATAACATGTTCATGGCCTGGAAAACACAATATTTAAATCTGTCAGTTCTTCTCAAATTGATCTATGGCTTCAAAACAATTCCAATGTGTATGTGTGTGTGCGTGTGTGTGTGTGTGAAAATCAACAGGCTGATTCTAAAATTTACATGTTAATGAAAGGAATTCATTATTTTTCAGACCTTGAAAATCTTGAATCTCAAAGCTTTACTCAAAGTTTTAGGGCTTATAATATTATATTTTTCAAATCTTTCCTCACCCCACAGCTTTATTGAGGTAATCCACATACAAAACGGTATATATTTAAGGTGTATAACATGACTTGATATACATATACAGTGTGAAATGATTACCAAAATCAAGCTAGTTAACACATCCATCATCTTTCATAGTAATGTAAGGTGATCTTTTTTTTGTATGTATTTGTTGAGAACCCTTAAGATTTACTTTCAGCAAATTTCAAGTATACAATATGGTATAATTAATGATCGTTACCATGCTATATATATTAGATCTCCAGAACTTATTCACCTTATAACTGAATGTTTGTCTCTTTGACCAATATCTCCCGTTTCCTTCTTTCAATTCTCTTCTCCCTGCTCCCAGCCCCTGGCAACTACCATTCAGTCTCTGCTTCCGAGTTCAACTTTTCAGATTCCACGTATAAGTGAGATTATATAGTATTTGTCTTTCTGTGTCTAGCTTATTTTTCTTTGCATAATTTCCTCCAGATTCATCCATGACATCTGAAATTCCAGAATTTTCTTCTTTTTATGGCTGAACAATGTTCCATTGTAATTGGTATCTTATCTTTATAGACAGAGAGATGTATAGATATCACATTTTCTTTATCAATTTGTCTTAGTCCATTTAGTGTTGCTGTAAAGGAATACATGAAGCTGAATAGTTTATAAAGAAAAGCAGTTTATTTGGTTCATGATTCTTCTTGCTGGAAGGTTCAAGATAGGAAATGTGGTGAAGGCCTTGGGCTGCTTCTACTCATGATGGAAGGCAAAATGGAGCCAGCGTGTGCAGAGATCACCTGGTGTGAGAGGAAGCAAGAGAGAGATGGGTAGATGCCAGGCTTTTAAAAAAATAACC
Source organism: Homo sapiens (assembly GCF_000001405.40). Lineage (NCBI taxonomy): Eukaryota > Metazoa > Chordata > Mammalia > Primates > Hominidae > Homo > Homo sapiens. The sequence goes on along the minus strand of NC_000004.12, from coordinate 156,589,172 downwards.
AGCTGTCATGGGAACTAATAGAACAAGAACTCCTTCATCCTCAAAAGAAGTCGTTAATATATTCATGAGGAATCTGCCCCCATGATCCAAATACCTCCTATTAGGTCTCGCCCCCAACACAATGGCACTGGGGATCACATTTCACCATGAGATTTGGTGGAGAAAAACAAACAAGCCATATATAAACAATAACACTATTCATTTGTTATGGAAACTGGCTTCTTTCATATCCTGGCCATTGTGAATAATGCTATAATAAACATGGGAATGCAGCTCTCCCATTTCTTTTGGGTGTATACCTAGAAGTGATATTCCTGGATAATATGGTAGTTCCAGTTTTAAATTTTTGAGGCATCCAAATTCTGTGTTCCGTAATATTTGTACCAATTTAATTTCCCACTATCAGTGTCCTAAGGTTCGCTTTCCTCTATCCCATCACTAACACTTATCTTTTTTTATAATAGCCATCTTAACAGGCATGAATTAATATCTCATTGTGGTTTTAATTTCTATTTCTATTATGATCAGTGATAATGAATATATTTTCCTACAGCTGTTGTCCAATTTATTGTCTCTTGAAAAATGTCTCTTCAGATCCTTTGCCCATTTTTAAAATTGGGTGATTCAGGGTGTTTTTTTTTTTTTTTTTTTTTGGCGCTGAGTTGTAGGGATATTTTTATATATATTTCAGATATTAGCCTGTTATCAGATACAAGGTTTGCAAATATCTTCCGTATCATAGGTTAGGATTTTGTTGACTGTTTCCTGTGGTGTGCATAAGCTTTTTAGCTTGATTTAATCCTACTTGTCTATTTTTGCCTTTATTACTTATGCTTTGTTTCATAGCCAAAAAATCATTGCCAAGGTCAATGTCAAGGAGCTTTTTCCTGTATTTTCTTTTAAGAGTTTTATAGTTTCAGGTCTTGTATTCTGTACTTTCTGCATTAAATATTCTACTTATTAACTTTGAATTTTAAAGGTTCAAGATAAATATTTCAACCTCATTGAGATAATAACATGTAAGATTTAGAAAACTGTATTTAAATTGGTTGCCCTGAGCACATAAGTAATGTCTTAACTTGGCAGTTATATCTTAGCAACCAAATTTTAGTTTGACACATTATTCTTGAAAATGTACTGGAAAAGGAACTGAAGCTATCTTAGCCCTTAATGAGTTAAGGTATAAAAATGAAGACAAATATTAATAAATCTCACTGTTAATTAGTTTATGATAATTTTTATAAGTGCTATATAGGACCCATACATAATTCTAAGAGGAAGTATAACAAAAATATGTAAAGCAGTACCATGGCTGACACATAGTATCCTCTCAACAAATGTTTACTAGTTTTTCATTATCTGGGTCTTGAGTTAATTCTCCCAGACAATAGAGTTGTAAATATTCAGTCATTTTTCCTTGCTTCTATCTTATCTTAATAACCTGGCAAAATCTATTTGCTGTCATAACAGTCAATGTTATTAGAAGACCTAGACTATTGAGTTAGAAAGGCTTTCTTGGAGAACTGATTTTTTAGTGAAATTTGAAGAATTAAAAAAAAGATTTATAATTAGTTGCTCTTATTTAGGGAAGGAGGTTTTATTTAAAGGGGAAAAGCAAAGAATCTGTGACAGAAAGGGGCATATCTACTCAGAGTGAGAAGAGAAATAGGTGGCAACTTTTAGACTCTGCTAATGATTTTTAGAATAGAATAAGAAAAATGAATTAGAAAAGAAAACAGAATAAGAAAATGAGAATAAGACAAATGAGAAGCTATTGAAAGGTTTTAAGCCAAGCTTGTCCAACCTGTAGCCCATAGGCCAATGTGGCACAGGATGGCTTTGAATGTGGCCCAACACAAATTTGTAAATTCTCTTAAAACTTTATGAGATTTTTTTGTGGTTTTTAAAAAGCTCATTAGCTATTATCAGTGTTAGTATATTTCATGTGCGGCCCAAGACAATTCTTCTTCCAACGCAGCCCAGGGAAGCCAAAAGATGGGACACCCCTGTGTCCAAGAATTAAAGATAAGAATTAAAGAGAATTAAAATAATTAAAGAATTAAAAAGATAAGATTTTACACTTTAAAAAATCTTCTGGTTCAAGGCCAGAGAAAAATTTGGAGGGAGACAGAAGTAGAGCAAGGAACTAGTAACAAGGTAAGAGTTTGAGGTATTTTGTCACAAGGTAGTTAAAACATTTGGAGTGAGATTTCATAATCAGCCCTGTTATCTGTTAGTTGTGTGATTGTTTATCTTTCCTCACCCTGTTTTCCAATATATATCCTCCAATATACATCCTCGGGACAGCCATTATAACCCCCTGATGATGTTGGTATAAGTATTCAGAAAAATAATCTATATAAAGCACTTACTTCCACAGTGCCTGGCAAGTGTTGGAGATCATTAATGTCATGTCAGTGGAGATGGAGAAAGTGGGCTGCATTTAGACAAAATCAAGAGGATTTTGCAATTGATTGGCTTTACAATATGGAAGGAGAAGTCAAGGGTGGCTCCCAGGTTTTAGGTTTAGTAAGCTGGGAGAGAGAGGGGACAAAGAAGGCCTAAAATTGGAGGAAAGATGGTAAAGGCACTTTCGTTTATTTTGATCTTCAGATGCCTTCATGTCCTCCATGTGCGGATGTCTACTAGGCAGTATATGAACTCATCTATAAGGGCCGTGGTTGGAGTTAAAAACTCTAGATTGCCTGCTTATAGAGTATGGAGTGAGAAGAGAGGAGTGAATCCTCTGCCTTCTCCCGCCCATCATTACTTGCCACTTATACATGATTCATTGTGCTGTAAGCACAGCTTTATTACAAATAATCAGGATTATTAGATTAGTACAAAAGAATTTGATTTCATCTCTATTCTAAAGAGTTCTAATTAGATAAAATTGATGGTTTTCCTTGTCACTATATACACCTAAAATTTTCTCAAGAAGTAAAAACAAACAAAACGTATAATTAAGTAATGTCATAAAAGAAATTTTAAAAATTAATCAAGGATTACCTCCAAAAATGCCAGAAGAAAGTTTCTTCTCCTTTTGAATACAAATAATTCATTTTTTAAGCAAATATATGTGTATATATATATTTTTTTTCCACCAGAGTCTGTTGGGAATGTTTTCTTATGTGCCTACTTTGAAAAACTAACTTGTATCTTGCAAAGCCAAAAATGAGCATTCTCAATGGCCCAGCAGTTCCACTCCTAGGTATATCCATAGAGAAACTCTTATAGGTGTGGACCTGGAAGCATATACAAAATTCTTTAACACAGTTTATAAAGGCCCCAAACTGAGCAAAACTTGAATATCTATACACAAGAGATAGAATTATTATTATTATTATTATTACTACTATTATTATAGTGTTACATCAGCAAAAGTAAATCTCAAAGACAATGTAGGGTGATTAAAACAAGCTGCAGAGGGATATATTTGGTATAATACCAGTATTATAATATAATAATATAATATAATATATAAATTAATAATATATAAATTCCCCATATATCCAAAACTTTTAAAAATATATTGTTTAGGCCGGGTGCAGTGGCTAACACCTGTAATACCAACACTTTGGGAGTCCAAGGCAGGCAGATCACAATGTCAGGAGATCGAGACTATCCTGGCTAACATGGTGAAACCATGTGTCTACTAAAAATACAAAAAATTAGCCAGGCATGGTGACGGGCACCTGTAGTCCCAGCTACTCGGGAGGCTGAGGCAGGAGAATGGCATGAACCCGGGAGGTGGAGCTTGCAGTGAACCGAGATTGTGCCACTGCACTCCAGCCTGGCCAACAGAGCGAGGCCTCAAAAAAAAAAAAAAAAAAAAAAAATATATATATATATATATATATTTATATATAGTTTATAGGTACATATATTTAGCAAGAAAATAACAAAATGCAAAAACTTATCAACAAAAAAATTCATAGTCATGGTTACCATTTTACAGGGGGAAAAGATCTGTAATTATTGAAGGGCCCAAAAAAATTTACAGGCTTTGGAAATGTTCAATTTCTGAAGTTGATGGTTGGTTCAAAAGTGTCTGTTTTATTATTATTACTCCTTATGTAAATTATAAAATAGGTTCTTAGTTTATCTCTTGAAATTCTATAAATATTGCCTCAATATAGAGGCAATGGAATATCGTAGCTATTTTTCAACTGAGGAACATGCTTTGAGAAGATAAGTAACTGGTTCAGGGATTATCATCGAATGGCAGAGTGTTATAACTCAAAGATCACAATATATCTACTATATACAGTGCCTATTTTTCTTCTGAAATTAGAATGAATGTAGACATATAAATATTTAGGATTTCTAAAATTAAGATAACTAAAAATCAAAGAAAATTTTAAACATATTTCCAAGGGGGTTTAGGACTAAAATGGGACTCAGAGGTCATTTGGTCAATGGAAGCACAAGAGAAGCCATGTATCTTCCCCAAGGACAAATAGCCAAGGACACATGGTTCACTTGTGGCACAAAAAGGACTGAAAACAAAATCTCAAGACTCCTGGTCTAGGACTCATTAATTTACAACAATAGACTGTGTGTGCTTTAATAATATTCTCTTCATTTTCTTTTTCTTATTTCATGGTTTTGTCTTCCCAAGGGGAGTGGGAAATTTGAAAAATGTAAAGAGTATTGAATAATTTTTTTTTTCTTCAGAGATCTCTAAAACAAAGTGAAATTTACAGATGAACTTGATCACACTAACAGGCTTTAAATATCCTGTTTATCCCAGGTTTTAATACAATGGGTCTTTCATAATTTTTAAGAGGTATGTGGAAATCGTAAAGAGTTATTGCCAGCCTGTTACGGAGGAATGTTTTTTCTTAGACAGATAAGAATCAGGTTAGTATTTGCGGTGCCAGAAATGAGATAAAATTTCACTTCAGAACTTGAGCTGTGTTGATCTACCTATTCTCATTTTATGTAGCCATTTATAGCAGTCAGGGTCAGCAAACCGATCTGTTGCAATTACTTTTCTGCCATCTTAAAAACGTGATCACTCCTAAGTGGTGCACATGACATTCAACAGCACCACCAAATGAACTGGCCACACTAATGGCAACACAAATGTACCTGCTTGGCAAAATGCTGTATATTTTTCAAGGGAAATAAGGCAATTATAAGCCTTCTTTTATAAAGTCAGCTATTTTCAGTAAATGGTATTTGACCTAAGGTGAAAGCCCTATATTTGATTGGAGTATGGAAACTCTTCATTTTTTCCCTTTGCCCTACTTACATTTATTTTTCATAGAGTTTATGGCAGAAATGTTGTAGTCCAAGCAGCAAAATAACACTTTCCTTTGGACCTCCTGATTTTCCTACCGTTAACTTTTATAATAACTATTGCAAGTTATGAAAAGTACCGTGTTTGTTTTTTGGCCAGCACTGACATTTATTTTGAGAAATTAAAGAAAGTGAATTCAGTTTATGTATATGCATAAACTTCAACTTCCTTTTTGTTAAAACTTTTTCAAAGAAGACATTTTTCTTAAGACAAACTTACCAACATCCTTCAAATTATGTAAGTTCAGTTTTTCCATATTCGAAGTGCAAAACTGGATTTGCAGATAAAAGTTTTCACAGTAAGTCGGTATTCTGTCTGTGTAATAAGATAGAAGTTCTTGGGTTGCATGCTATTCAACAATCTCACCAAACACATCTGAAACCTGAAACCTGGGGCAGGTATGAATTTCTGGAAGACTTTGGCAAAGATAGACCACACCTGTTCCAGCTTCCAGTAAAATAAATCACAGTTGTAGAAAGAATTGACCATTAGCAGTAAGAATATCCTTTAGTGCACTTTCTCCTTTTCAAAGTGAAAATCAAAACATCAGCTCCTTTCTGCATGTCTTCACTCATGCAAGTTCTTCTCTGTTTTTATGAATGCTATCTCTTAGATATGACACATAGTTATACTTATTCTACATCTCTTAATTGTCTTACCAGTGTCAACTAAAGATATTTAAATTATATCAGTAAGATTTAAAGTGTTTAAAGATGCTGAGACAAAATGCCTTGTAAATCTAAAGTACTATATAGCTATTTGGGATTAAGGCTCGACTAATATAAATCTCTCACTGAGGTTTTCAGTGTTCATGATGAAAAGTTGAAGAATAAAATGACAGAATGAGAAATATACAAGTATTTTTTGTTTTAGTACTGCCACCTCTTGTATCACAGTGATCACCAGTGGGGTTACATAGCTTGATTTCTATTTGACATTCTTTTATGAGAAGTGATGGTAGAGGCCACAGATAATTCATGAACAGAACAGTTAATTTACTCAAACATTTCTTAGGGTACAAAATTAAACAGCGTCATTCTCAAAATAAAACACATTATTCCAAGCAGCAATTTTGTTAAAAAAAAGAAGAAAAGAGAAAAAACAAAGACTAAGTACTAAATCTTTAGCATAAACTTAATTTGTCACAGCAACCTTTTAGGATCTATGCCTCAAATACATCAAAGTTAATAAAGGCATATTATAAAACAAAATTGCAAAGAAATCATGACTCGTTATATTCATGATTGAACATTTACATGATTACTATATAAATCATTTTTTTAATATATCTGCCATTATAGCTGTTACATTAAAATATCTATATAAGTAGAATTTTACTACATCACATGCCTAGGTAATAATTCACACAAAATGAATGTCAAATGCAAACACTGTCAATAAGAAATACCCAGATGATGAATGTAACATATTTAATTACAGATATCCCAATTACTCTGAATTAATCATTATACTTATATACAGGTATCAAAATATTACATGTACCCCCAAAATGTGTACAACTATTGTATATAAATAACAAATAAATTAAAAATGATTTTTAAAAAAGTCATCAGTACCTGTAGACAGTGATTAATAGGTGTAAGTGAAAGAAAATGTCTGGACAAGGTAGCCTAATTTTTTTAAAGCTTCTTCACTATACAATTTGTGTTTTCTCTTTACTAACACCCGTTCTGTTGAGTAGATTATTTTACTATGAAGGAAAGGTAATAGTCAACAATATCTGTTTTCTTTTTTTCAGTATTTCTTATTTCTTAATGATAATACACCAGTACAAACCTTACTACAAGGATTAAAACATTTTAGTTGAATTTTTTAAGCATCATGGTTGGTTGTGGAAACAGAGAAACTTCTTTAGGTGCCTTGCTTAAGGGAATGTCCTTGCTTGTCTCCCTTTAATTCCTTCTGCAAGTGCTCAGTCACAGAGACTTTATTGTTGGCACTATTTCCTTCTTTTAAAAGCATTTGGCTCATCCTCAAACATGTAGCTTTTTATATAGCATGTTTGAAAGGTCGAATGAAAGTCAGAATGTCAATATATTTATTGGCAAAATGACAACAACCTATTACCTTTGCCGAAGCACTTTCATTTTCTATTGGGAATTCAGTGTGATTGTGTTTGTCTTGCAATTTGTTTTATAAGAGCCATTTAAAGAAAAAAATAATTGTGCACAACCTAAAATTCTCAAAGTTTCCCCAAAGCATTAGACCTTTATATACTTTCTGCCAGCCATAAGTGAACTACTGACTTACTCTTATGAGTTACTCTACTGAGTACCCCAGATTATTGGCCCCATTTAAACCATAGGCACTTCTGTTCCACTTCCTCATGACCTAAGTTTTTAGGGAGATAATTGAAGACATATGATATTTGCTTTTGCCTGTATTTTCCTAAATGCCATTCTAAAACTGTCTTCTTCTTTTAAAAATTAAACAAAAAAATTAGGCAGTATGCTAGACAGTGGCGGCAATACAGGAATGAGCAAGAGTCCTAGCTCATGACCTCAGTTTATACTGACTACTGGGGAACATAAAACATTGAACTAGTAAATTATAGTAAAGTGTGATTTTTTTTTAAGACTGAAAGCACAGAATATTCTAAAAAGACAGATGCGGGGAGGTGGTGGTGGCGAACTTGGTCTAAATGTGTTGGAAAGGTCCACCAAAGTAATTTTTAAATGTAATAATCTGAAGGGATCCATTGAGAGGAAAGCAGCCAGGCAAAGAGGGAAAGGAGTTACTGAAAGAATGTTACAGGCAGAGAAGAGACAGTGTGTGGAAACCCAGAGTAGAGAGAGCCCAGGAAGTCTCACAGAGCTGAAGTCCAGTATGTCTGGAGGGCAACCCAAGATGAGGTGCTGGAATAGAAAAACTTGTAAAACTGTCTTAAAGATATCAGAAAACCACTGAAGAGTTTAACACGAAATGATCCGTTTGTGTTTTACAAGGTCACTCTCATTGCAGCGTAGACCAAACAGTGGAATGAATGATGAAACATGTCGATAATTCATTTTTGTCAGGAAGAAATTTTAAGTACCTAACTCCAATTAGTTTTAATATATTTATTTATTTATAATCTATATAGCTGCATTTTGTTGGCCAATATCTCAAGACACTGCATGCATTTACGCTAAGGTTCATTGTTAATAATAATAACATAATTTCAAAATTTTTGATGATTTCTTGTCAAATGTGATTAGACCATTGTTGTGATTATCTGGTAACACAGCAAAGAAAAAGCCAGATTTAGAATTTTTGGTTCTAATATTTTCCTACTGTTCACTTATAGTATAGTAATGATGTCAATTCAAACTTTTATTGTAGGGATATTTTAAAATCTAATTTTCAATTTTTTGAAGACTAAAATTTAGTGACATAAATTGCAAGTCCATTTAACCAGGCATAGGTCAATTGTGGTAAAATGCAGCATGCTAAATGAAATGGACAAGTGTGGCTGGCGTTGTTAACTGCCTGTTGTTGAATTCCCAGTCTTGCCTCAGGATATCTTTAGTAACTTATGTAAAATTCAAATAAGTGACTTGGGGATTGATTACAATTACCTATATTAATTCCAGATGTTAAATAGTAGTAAGGCTTTATTTCTTTTTTTTCAGATAAGAATAATTATACATAAAAAATTCTGTTTTTTTTGGAAGTGTCATGAATCATCTTGGGTTCCTGAGACTGCATGGTCTTCACGTTAGAGATAATGATTGTGAAGGTTTGAATGGAGGAGAGCAGTGCCTGAGGCAGAGAATCCAATAGAAAGCTGCTGTCTAGGTACAGGAAGGTCTGATGGTCAGTGCTTAAATGATGACAGAGGGAATTGAGAGAATTGGAGAGGTTTACAAAGCAGGTAACATTTGATGTATTCTGGAAAACGATTCCTTAGAGAGGATCCAGATTCAGTGTCCCACTCTTCATTGATTCCAATACTTCTGAGTAGACGTCAAAACACAGGCTTTTCAAAGTGTTCTTTCTGAACCAACTGTAACAGAATCACCAGATGTGATTTAAATGCAGATTTCTGGGTGCAACTTTAATTTTATTGACATAGAAATTTTTAGAACATTGTAAAAGAAGCTGAATTTCAAACAAACTTCCCAGGTGAAACTGACACAAGTAGAGTTTAAAGGCCATTGATCTAGGCAGAACTTGGAGTACGAGCCAATGTGGACACACAGAATATTGGAGACTTACCCACTTATTATATGCCTTTCAGAACAGGAGTTATCTGATTAAGTTATCAGCTAGTTATCTTGCCTAAAGTTATTTTGTCTTTAAATCCTTCTTCTTGAAACTCTAGAAAACTTGAGAAAGATTTGTCTTCTTATGTAGCCTTTTAATATCCAAGTAACATACAAGAGGAGGTAGAGTCTGAAGTGTTAGATATTATTATTGTTGTTGTTATTATATTTGCAAGTTGTGGTGCAAAATTTTGTGTAAGGCAGCATTATCTTACTAATCATCCATAGATGAGTCATTGATAAAAATGAAATATTAGCAGGACTTGTTTGATAGAGCATGTCCAGTGCAGCTACAACTGTGTATATTACAATTTAAAAACTAATTATTCAGATATATTTACATATTTTTTCCTGATAGAGGAGATTCTATTTTTGTCAGTTCTCCTTTAGTTTGAGATTTCTAAATTATCTCAGTGATAGCATATGCCCAACATTTAAAAATACAATAAAATAAAAATTAAAGTAAAAACGTTGCCTTTCCCTGGCACAGTTGAACTTTACAGAGAAAATCTTTAGTAATAAAATTCATTTGCACTTATATTTGCCCACTTGCCCACTGCTCCATATTTAAAGAGTTAAGATAGCAAACTCTGTGTACAAGGAGGTAGATTTCTGAAGAAGGTATAAAGGGCTTAGTCATATTTGAAAGTGTTGAGAGCAGCTTACCTTCACTTGATTTTCTTTGGAGAACAGTTTGATTGGGAATTAGTCATAAATGATTTAGTTGCAGATTCTCAAAACACAAGTCCACTGGAGGTCCTTTGAAAATCCAGGGTGAAATCTCCAAAGCCCTTAGCTCAATTTTACTCAGAGAAAGGTATCTGAAAACATTAGAACACTTTTCTCAAGTTGGCCTCTCAACCCATTCTTGCTGGGATTAAAGAGTTCCCAGTAAAAGTATGACTTATTTTTTGTTGTTGTTAGAATAAGAAGCACTGGGCTTGGTGACTTTCATCACCACTTACTGTTTGTGAGACTCTGCAAGTTAACTTATTTGCACTCTCTGTGCCTCAGTGTCACAGTTTCAAACATGGCTGTTGTGATTATTCTCTTTTTATTGTTTTTATTATTACCATTAACATTATTAAGTCTGACTCAACATGAGTTGTCAGATCTTGTGCAAATGGTCCAGGAAGGAGGAAGGGGTAGTAAAGAAGCGGGGAGTTTGGGGAGGGAGGAATCTCCCCTTCCAGAAAGCTCCCTTCAAGAAAGAGCCCCTGTGCTGCTGGGGCAGCGTCTGGCCAGGAGGCAGCTCTAGAAAAACAAAAGTGGGCTATTTGTCTAGAGGATAAGAAGGAGGAAGTGACAGAAAAAAGGAAAAAAGTAAATGTGGGACACGGTATAAGAAAAACAAAGTCAGTCTAGGATATTTGTAGACAAGTTATCTGGGTCTGGTAATCAGTCATATTCTGGCAATGACTTGTTTACAGGATGTGTTGTTCCTGAGACTCTAGATGCAGACCCGTTCCTACAAAATGTTAGCGTAGTATTTTCTGCTTTGGCTCAAGACAGTCCTTAGCCAAGTTTATTTGTTAAGTCAATCCCTCTCCTTCTAAATCTATCTATCTATTTGCTCATTCTTCTTTACATGCATCCTATTCCAGAAGAAAAAAAAATAAGAAGACTATTTCTTGCCAGGATATAGCTCTCTTATATCCTTTCTTATATTATTAATTATTCCTTCTTTATAGGCATACTCCACTCAGACAGCTATACTTTTGCTTTTCTATGTCTTAAAAACAGGTATTTCTCTTCTCTTTGCCTTCAAACTAACGCTTCATACATTTTTTCTCTTTCTTAGAAAGAATAGTACAACAGTTCTAGAGCTAATAGTACAGACTTGAGGCTCCACTTTCTCACCTCTCTTCACTTCTAGACCCACTGATTCTGACTTACCCATCCCAGTCTATTAGCACCACCTCTTTTCTGCCAAATCCAGGGTCTACTTCCCATAGCCCATTGCATGATTGACTTATGACATTTGACCCTCTAGTTACCTTCTTGTTGAAGTGTCTGCTTCCCTTAATTTTTGCGTTAATACTCTGGGTTAATCACTTGTTCTCCTTCTTCATTTGTTTTTCTCTCCCTGTCCCTGTCCCTGGCTTCTCTGTCTTTATAGGCTGCTGTTCTCCAGGGTCCCATCCTCTGTCCTCTCAGGATTATTTTATATCCCTGATCTAGTGTTCTCTCATCTATCTTAATGCTTCTAATTATGTTCCCAATCTGCACTTTCCAGCTTATGTCTACCAGTCCTTTACTTTACTCTCCCTCTACTACCAGGGCTGAATTATCTTGCCTTACAATCTTCAACCATCCTCAGAATATCACAAGATTTCATCAGTCTGCAATTTTGTTTTCTTCTTGACTGCCTTTCCTTGCCTCTTTCCCTGCCTCTGCTTGGTGAACTCTTAATACTTTACACAACACTTCTCTGGAGCATCTAGCAGCAGAGCCTTTCCTCTGCCATTAAAGAAAGAATGTGATCCCTGCGTTCTCTGTGTTCCTGCATCTTCTTTTTTATTACTAGTATAGCACTCACATTATATTACAATTAATCATATGAGTGTATTTTTCTCTGTTGAAATTTTAGTTCCTTGATGATAAGAACTGTGTTTTAGTCATCTCTTCCCGCTAGTATATAGTAGTGTTTAACATATGGTGGCTTTATAAAAAATATATTTGTCTGTATATTACATGTGTGTTAGAAATAATAAACAAATAAGTGTTTGCATATTATGGCTCCTAAATACAGGATAAATTATATAGATGAAATTTTTCTGTTGTCATTCAATTTTGGATGGATTTAATTCAGGTCAACAAATTTACTCTGTAGCCACACTTAGTAAGATCTCATTTATATTGGCTTTGGCGGGGGTGGGAGGGATAGCATTAGGAGATATACCTAATGTAAATGACAAGTTAATGGGTGCAGCACACCAACATGGCACATGGATACATATGTAACAAACCTGCATGTTGTGCACATGTACCCTAGAACTTAAAGTATAATAATAATAAAAATAATTTGAGTAAGAAAAATAAAATTTGTTAAGAAAAGATGAATATAGTATAAGAATGAAAAGTTTAGATTTTATAGACTATTTCTGTATTTTGAAGTTCATTAAATTACAAATTTTAGTAGATTATAAACTTACCTCATTAGATTTATTTCTGACACTTTAATAAGTATCTAGATATTATAATCACTTATATTTTCAAGAGCATCTTGTCTTTCATTACAGTACAGCAAAATTTGTTTTCTGTCATGCTTTTTTAAAAATAGTGTGTGTGTATATATGTACACACATATACATGTAAAATCCAAATTTTTATAAAATCTTCTAATTTTTTTCACTATTCACTTATTCTTCAAAACATCATCTGGTTTATATCCTTAGTGGAATTACTGAAATTATTCTTCTTTTAATTAAATAAACATACAAACAAAAGGTACACAAACCATAAGTATATAGCCTGATGAAATATTATAAAATAAACACACCTACATAACTTACACTTTGGTTAAGAAATAGAAGATTACTGGCACCACAGAAACCACTCTCATGACCCTTTCTACCACTAATGTCTTTCTGTTCCCTGAAGATAACCACCATCATGACAACTCATACCATAGGGTAGTTTTGAAATTTACGTAATTTAAGCCTTACAGGGTGAAAATCATGGAGATGTGTTGCTTAAATACCACTTCCAGAAAGAGCTCCATGCCAGCTGCAAGGAATGTGGTTAGCTGCCAGCCTCTAGTTGTGAGCTTCTGCATCGCCTGTCTCGGCTTTTCAGTCTAGGCCACACTATATTTGGCAATCCCTAGACAATGACTAAGTCAGGTGGCAGTAGCTTAAGGACATAGTTTTCTTGGACTATCCTTCAGTCAATTACTGAAGAAGCTTGTGGTACAAGGGCCAAGTGATTTCTACTCAAAGCTGGGTTGCACTAATTGCCAGTCTTTGCTCTAGAGCGCCCCACGGGGTTGGTCAAAGCTTAGTCAGATTTGTATCATCCGCTGAGGACTCCCTTTGCTCAATCCTGCTTCCTCTCTTTTCCTTTTCCAGCTGTTACTCTCAACAAATTATTTGTTGCTACACAAAATTTATCTTCATGTTTTTCTATTTTTGTTTAATATCATATTAGTGATGTTTATATTCCTGGTGGTAGACATTTGGGTTGTTTCAATTTGGGACTATCATGAATAAAGATGCTATGAACATGTGTATAAGAATATTGTGGGCATGGGTTTTCAGTTCTTTGGGTGAGAATTGTTGGGTCAAATAGATCTACAATAAGCAATGTATGAGAGTTCTAGCTCCTTCATATCCTTACCAACAATTTTGTGCTGTCATTCTTTTAAATTTTATTTCTAGAGGAAATGAAGAGATATCTCATGGTGGTACTGATTTGCATTTACCCACTGATCAATGATGTTCAACATATTTAAATATGCTTTTTTTCCAGTTTTAATCTTCTGTTTTTGAATTTTGACTATTTTTATTATATTGTCTTTACAGTTAAATAGGTTATTTTTATATTCTGGGCATGAGTCTTTTGTCAAATCTAGTATATTGTGAATATTTTCAACAGACTATCTTGCCATTAACTTTCTAGTGATTTTTTTAAAACACAGACGTTTATATTTTAATGAAGTCTAAATTATCAATATTTTGTTGTTAGTATTTCTGTGTATTCTGCCTAAAAAAATCTGTGACAATTTAAAGTAAGAAAGATAGTGTCCTAAGTTTTCTTCTAGAGCATTTATGGCTTTAGTGATTATCTTTTGGCATATCATTTGTCTCAAATTAATATTTTGTGCATGGAATAAGGAGCCAAATATCTTTTTTTTAAATAAAAGACTAAGTATCAAACTTTTTTAGCACTATTTGTTAAAAAATTTTTTTTACCCCATTGGATTACTTTGATGCCGTCGTTGAGACTCAATTATTTCTGTACTTTACTTGCTTCTGTGATCAATATATTTACATTGGTATTACACTGTCTTAATTTTTATGAAACTGTAGGAAGGCTTGAAATCAGGTCGGGAAATCTCCAAATGTTTTTGTTTTCAAGACTGTTTTTGCTCATTTAAGTATTTTAAAAATATACATAATTTCAATTTTTATTTTAGATTCAGGAGATACATGTACAAATTTATTACATGAATTTACTGCATGACACTGAGGTTTGGGGTACAAATGATTCCATCACCCATGTAGTGAGCATAGTACTTAATAGGCAGTTTTTCAGCTCTTGCCCCCCTCCCTCTAGTAGTTCCCAGTGACCATTTTTACCATATTTATGTCCGTGTTTACCCAGTGTTTAGGTCCCATTTATAAGTGAGAACATGCAGTATTTGGTTTTCTGTTCCTGTGTTAATTCACTTAGGATGATTGTTTCTGCTGCTTTCTTGTTGCTGCAAAAGACAGGATTTCGTTGTTTCTTATGACTGCATCATATTCCATGTTGGGTATGTGCCACTTTACTTTTCTTGATTCAATCCACCCTTGATGAGCACCGAGGTTAATTCCATGTCTGTTATTGTGAGTAGTGCTCTGAAGAACATCTGACTGCATGTGTCTTTTTTGTAGAATGATTTATTTTCCTTTGGATATGTATCTAGTGATACGATTGCTGGGTCAAATGGTAGTTCTATTTTAAGTTCTTTGAGAAGTCTCCAGTTGGTCAGATAATCTTTGTCTTTTAATTGGTATAATGAATTCATTTACATTTAATTTACATACTGATGTATTTATTCTTTGCTTTTTTTTTCCCTGCTGGTTTTTTGTTGTTTGTTTTTTTTCTTATCTTTAGTTCATTAATGAATTTTTTAAAATGTTACTGTTTATTTATTATTTTTTGAGGCAGGGTCTCACTCTGTCATCTAGGCTGGAGTAAAACGGTGCAATCATGGCTCAAAGTAACCCCAAACTCTTGGGCTCAAGTGATCCTCTGGCCTCACCCTTCCATAATAGTGACTTTTAAGTTTCATTGCCTCCATTAATTTGTAAGTCAAACCTCCTTTTACTTATCCCTTGGTAGTTATTACCTAAAAATCAAAATGCATTTTGATTTATCAAAGCTCAATATATATTAGTACTTTTACCACATACTGAAAAATTTAATGACTTTAGAACACTTAAATTTTAAAACTGCCTTTTTGTGCTATCATTGCATATATAAAATTCTACATGTATTTAAAGTCTTGCAATGTAGTTACATTTTAATTGTTTAATACCCACATATTGTTAGCTGCTGCCATATTATATAGTACAGATATAAAACAGTTTAATCACAGAAAGATCTATTGGACAAAAATGAAGTTTAAGTAAAAATTATCATGCCAGTCACTACACTAGAGTTTATATATATTATAAAATTCTAGAACAACCATATAGAATAAATATTATTCCTATTTTACTGATGAAACAAAAAACATGCTAATAGACATTTAGTAACTTATTTGAGGTTGTAAGTCAAATATTTCAGACCTAGAATTTGAAGCTAAGGTCATATCTCAATAGAACTTCTGTTTGCCACTGGGGAATGCTGCAAAAGTATTTTTTCTCTTTTTCTTCTTTACTGACTACATTTTCTTAGTCCTATTAATAGTAATGATTCAATTGTCAGCCTTTTATTTTATTGATTTTTACTGTCTCCTCTTTAACCATAAATTTTATGAGCATGACTCTGAAATCTGTAAGCTCAAGGACATAACTCTCTTTTAACCTTTTAATTATTTTCAATATATTTCCATCTGAAACCTTCAAATTCAGTATGAACTCATTTATCAATTTCTTCAATAATGCAGTATGACTAATTACCTTAAAACAAGGACTTACTAAAAGAAGCACTTCTTTTTCTTGCTTATTGGTCTGCAGATGAGCTTGGATAGCTCTCTTACATTTACATTTCAGTTTGGAAGATTTAGATTTCCTCCACTCTGCTTCATACGCCTGAATTTAGAGACCATTGTAAAAGGGTATCAGACCATGCTAAAAGGGCACGCTCTTCTCATGGTGATCACAGGAGCACTGCAGCATGCATGAGCAGCACATGACGCCTGTGAAGGCCTTATCTGAGAACTTTCTCTTGGTATTTTCCACCCACAATCTATTGCCAAAGCAAGTCACAAAGTCAAACCCCACTTTCACCTGGCTTGGAAGTGTCTCTACCCTCAGAAGGAGGTTCTGAAAAAAATTAGTATAAATTCTAACACCTGGCCAGGCACGGTGGCTCATGCCTGTAATCTCAGCACTTGGGGAGGCTGAGGCAGGCAGATCACCTGAGGTTGGGAGTTCAAGACCAGCCTGACCAATATGGAGAAACCCCTTCTCTACTAAAAATACAAAATTAGTCGAGCGTGGTGTGCATGCCTATAATCCCAGCTAATCAGGAGGCTGAGGCAGGAGAATCACTTGAACCAGGGAGGCGGAGCTTGCAGTGAGTCGAGATTGTGCCATTGCACTCCAGCCTGGCAACAACAGCGAAATTCTGTCTAAAAAGAAAAAAATAAAATAAAAATAAAAATTCCAACACCTGAAGGAAAAAAAATTGAGAAGAATGACACTATCTTCCATAGCTTACTTGTTCTTTTCTTAAATTCTATTCATGGGTCCACCATTATCCTAGTTTTCAGACTCAGAATTCCAAAGGCATAATTTTTCTTATTTTCCACCTGTTGTTCTTTTGATATTTACTTTGAAATATTTCTCAGGCCTTTTTTACATCTTCTTTCTACCATGGATCAGGCTGTTGTCATATCCTGCATAGATTATCATGACATTCTTTTTTCACTGTAGGTAGCCAGTCAGACATGAACAGAGCAAGACAGGGCTCCCCACCACCCCCCAACACACACAACAGGACACGAGTGGCAGACAGCCATCAGGTGATGCTCAGGTGGTTGTTAACTGTCTCTCTGAAATAATAACTGTTTGCAGCCAGAGCCAGGGAAAGGCGGTCTCTCAATAAACAGCAACATGTAACTGAAACTGGTGGTCAGCAGCTTCCCAATAAGATCTCAGGAGCTGGGAAAGTGGGCGCATGCATGTGCACTAAGAGGCAAAAATGGCAGAGTTCAAATGGTATATGACCTTCTAGGGGCATTCTATTGGTCAAAGAAAAACGCCTCAAGTAAGCATGTGTACAGACTCAGAAAACGCTGTGCATGCAGCCCTTCCCAAGTGCTGGCAGGCCACTGCACATTCAGAGAACTGATCCCAAGGGAAGAATCAGGGCAAAGGGACTCAACCCCCCGGAAGCATGCTGACGTATACAACCCCAAGTCAAAGTCAAAAAGTGCACTTGATCTCTCAAGTCGCTGGCTTGGCTTTCTTCCAAATGTACTTACTTCATTTCATTCCTGCTCTATCTAAAACTTTTTAATAAACTTTCACTCCTCCTCTAAAACTTGCCTTGGTCTCTCTCTCTCTCTCTCTCTCTCTGCCTTATTCTCCTTGGTTGAATTCTTCTGAGGATACAAGAATTGAGGTTGCTGCAGATCCATATGGATTCACTGCCAGTAACACTTGTATCTGGTTTCTTAGCCTCTAATATTTTTGCTCTTCATACGCTTATACTCTGAAATCAAAAGCCTCAAAGTGCTAAACTGAATAAGTGACAATTTTCATCACCATAAAGCTCCCTTTTGCTAGCCTAATCAACTTTATAAGTCTTTGCTTGGCAATCAAGGAACATCATGACCTGCTCAACTTAACTCATTAGCTATACTATACATATAGATGCAATATATTTAGCTATTTAAAAATACTCCCTATTTTTAAAACTCTCACTTCTCTTCAGGTTGTTCATCATATTTCTCTTACCTGTTGATCTACTTGTTATCTTAAAGATTTAAAAAAATATTTACTCCTCATCTAACCCCCCTTGGTACTTTATAGAACACATATGATGCTTTCTATCCATTGCCTGGCATTATAGTTTCATCTTGTAAGTCATGTTTTCCTGAAGGAACTGTTTTGCCCAGAAATACATGATCCATTTCATAATGGCTTCTGTAGTGTATTGCACAACATAAATATTAAACGAATTATAGAATTAAAACTTTTTTGTGGTTTTCAAAACTTCTCCTTGACATATAGAGTAAAAGTTGCACCTAACCTTAAGTGTTTAAAACTGAGTTGAGAAGTAGAGTGAGAATTCACCAGGTAAGGGATATACCCACAGACACAAGCTCACACATTCACCCACATATACACACGGCAAGAAAAAGAAAAAGAAAAAGAAATTAATTGGGTACAAGGCAAAATGTGGTCTAAACTCAAGTCAGCTAACTGAAGAAATGAGTGCAATGGTGAAAACTGAAGGTGACATGGAACAGACAAGAAGGCAATGGAACAGACAATCCCTAGTTCAACCAGGGCTTCAAACTAAGTGAGAGGAAAGACAGAAGAAAAGGACACATAAGGTATCACCTTTTAAGAGATAGTAGTGAGTTTCAAGGATCTCATTTATTTTCAAGCTGAAAATACAGTATCAGATGTCAAAGTGAGTAAAGGATCCCCAGTTTGGGGTGTAGAGATACATACCCATCTAAAAGGGGAGAAATTGTGTTTTTTTTTAATTTAAAGATTTAAAAATTAATTTAAAAATCAGGACCTATTCGTTTTGGAATTGTGCTTTCAGAAACATTTAACTTTTCTCATTAAAGTGGTGTAGTTTTAGATAAGAGCATTAAGAAATGTTTTAAGGTCTGTCTTCTCACCTTTCTACCCCAAAATCCTTTTTAGAGATCAAAGAAAGAATAATGCATTTCCTGCCTTTGATGAAAAACATGCTATTGCTTTGTCATCACATAGACAAAGAACGTTAGATCAAAATGATTGGGAGCAAATCCCTCCGGACAGCTGCCATGTCAAAACTGATATACTTTGGCTTTGATGACAGAGACAGAGAGTTAGAGAGAGAGAGAGAAGAAGGGAGAGAGAAGTAAAAAATAATCATCATCACTAAAAGTTCTACATATTTCTAGCTATCATTTAGATACATAATGACTAATTATTATGAAGCAAAAATTTGCAAAATTAACTTTTATATATTATGCATATGGGATAAAAGTACTTCAAATCCTCAAAAGAAATCATATACTTGGTTTTGTAACTCCAAATGGAAAAAGGATATTATGATAGGTCATTCTATATAAAAATTTATATCATCTTTATGCTTCTTAGATATTCAATCAATAAATCAGTTATTTTTGATGGCATATTGTCCAATAGTGCAAAGTAAGGACACAATGTAATAGTAAAATTGTGATACAGCAGAGTAGCAAATGAAGTCCTGGTTCCAAACACATTAGTTTTGTTTGTTTGTTTGTTTGTTTGTTTTGTTTTGTTTTGGCTTCTTTAACAAAGCTGGGAGGAAAAAACAAGATAAAAAATAAAAGTTGTTGAGGTACTTAGGTTAGCCTGTAAGTAATCTTTAATATTTTATGTAATTATTTTCAAAGTAAAATTTTTTATAGGTCTAAGCTTCAGAGACAAGAAAGAAAGTGTTGGAATATGATGTTGCATGTAGAGGAATAAAATTTGTCTATTAAAAAGATTTTTTTAGGATTTAAAGGAAATCCACTTGATAATTTTCTACATGTAGGAAAATCACTTTTGAAATTGCTGTTTTTTCATCTTTTTCCACTTTTTCCTAAAAGGAGGTCAAATTAAAACAAATAACAGAGCATGCACTTATTTTGTATTTTGAGAAAATAAAATCATAATTTGAGAAGAAAAACCCTCCAGTGTGAAGATGTGAAGATTCAAGGTGCAAGGAATTAGCAGGGCAAGTACAATGAAGTGGAATAATTAGAGAAAGCTGGTAATTAAACGCTTCTGATGACTGAAGAGAAGAGAAGACAAAAGCCGGCTGGTAATGTATGCTTGGCCTCTCTGCAGCTACAGGATACAGCACAGAATAGAAGGGCTTAAAATCAGAGCTGAAAGTCAAAGGGTTACTGTTTCTAAGAAGCATTCATGTAAATAGGGCTTGGAACCTAGTTATAGGTGCAAAAGTATAATACTTTGTTAACATCTAGTTTAAGTTACATATTGTGTAAAAGCTTTTGAGACTTATTACAAAGTTTATGTAGGCAAATAAATTTCTTAAAATATATTCTCCAGATCATATTTGTATTAATATTTTAATGTACATATCACTAATATTTACAACATTGCTTTAGAGGATATTAAGCATAAGTAGAGTGCTACTCTCTCAATTTATTCATACTTATGTGAAGCTTAACTTGTCATCAGGGTGCCTTGACTCAGAGTATTCCATTCATTGAAGGTAGTTTGCTCAATTTGCAGGACTAGAGCTTAGAGGAAAAAGAGCCAGGCTTGCAGATCCAAACTTGTTAACTGTTGGCATGCATTCAGAGGAATTTGTGACATATTTGGAGAAGTAAACGAAAGAAGCTTGAAATACTTATCACATTAGCAGGAGAACTTATTGTCAGTTCCATTTATTTCTTCAAGAAATACTTACCGAGAGCATTTAATGTACCGGAAAGTGTTCAACTCTGTAGAAGCGGCACTGAATGAAAGTTGACTAAAACCTGCGCCCTCAGGGGTCTTGCTTTCCACGTGCTGAAGAGTAGAATTTAAACTTAATTTTGAACATCAGAGAAGAGGGCAATCCATCAGAACTAGAAGAGGTAGATAAGGTTTTAGAAGATAAAGGAGAAGGCAATAAGCAAGGAACTCCAGAAACAAGAACGATAACTGAGATGATTAAGAAATGGTGCAAGTTGGAAATGAGGGAGAAAGAGCCTCAGGTAGAAAAGGTAGCAGATGAGGAAGTGCCTGGGAAGTCGAGCCAAATGATGGCAACGCTGATGCAAAATAAACCAGAGAGCAATTTTGATATTAATTTCACACAATTAGAAAATACTAGAATGATTATTTTAAAAACGGCTTAGAATGAATGACATCGAATATTACAGTGAAACTAAATGTACATATATTTAAATAGAAAATAAACATATTCCAAACATTAAATAAAATGCACATTTGTAAGAAATTTAACATTAAGTTTATACTATTATTTTAATACAAAGTATCAAAGAGTCTCAATTTGTCTCAGTTAAAAATTAGAAGTAAAAAGTATACATCTGAATAATTTAAATAAACAGGCTGGTCTCAAAGTCCCAACCTCAGGTGATCCGCCCACCTCGGCCTCCCAAAGTGCTGAGATTACAGGCGTGGGCCACCGTGCCTGGCCCAAAAAAATCATATTTTCAAATAACGATTTTGGTAGGCCTTTAAATATATAAAGCAAAGCTACCTCTCCAATTTTGAAAATTTGAAGAATTTTTAGAGTTTATTTTACTTTGATTCCTGAGAAATCTTTTGAGTAAGCAATTTTTTTTGTATTACTGCTTTTTGTATTGTCAAAGCATATACTCCCTATGCATTTTTCATGCTTAAAATTAATGGTTAAAATATTGGATAGCTGAATAAATTGATCTTCAATGTATAAATTGAATATCTTAGGAGATAATTTACTCACATGTAAAACACATTGATTACAGTATTTGGTAAATTTCACATGTAAGAACTAGAGATGAAAGTTCAGGGCTTGTCTCTAAATTGTGAGGCTTGGACTTTCGTATGTGCTTCCTGTATTTTTTCAGCCTTTGCTTGTAAAACAAAGAACACCTGGAAAAGCTGTCAATTAACTAGCTGTATTAATTGATGCAGGAAAACTCACTGTTCAGTCCCTGAATCTACTCTGAGGATTTATATTATCTGAATAGTTTATATGCTTCTATTACACTAGATGTTGGCTCTGGTAGTGGTCTTCAAACTTTGTTTTTGTTTGGAAGTCGTCTAATACAATTTTGAAAATACATGTCTTCCTTTGCACACTTTAAAGTTGACCTCTAAAATTTATTACTAGATTTTAAAAATACAGAGCATATGATTTCAAGTGTATTATAAATATTGAGATTTTAATATAAAGCTGTAAAATCTTAATATTTATAATATACTTGAAATCAGACTCTATTTTAAGAATACAACATTTAACAGGCTTTTAAAAATAAATGCATAGAATGAATCTAAAAATCACAATAATTTGGTATTCACCAACATCCACATTAAAAATACATGAAATCTCTTCCTTAGCAGCTGGAAAATTTACTTGGCCCTTTGTCCACTCGAAGTCATAATTTGCATTCTACTTCCCTAGACTTTTGTATTAATATACTGTTTATTTTTATCATTGAAAGTTGTATTGACCATCTATAGAGTTCTCTGCAACAAAAATAACGTATATATTTTGAAATTTTAAAATAATTTACTTCTTATGATAAGACTCTATATAAACTTTTTCACGACTGAATTGCAATAATAGTTATTAGTAGTGCACAATATTTTGAATTCTGTAAAAATCAAAAGCAATATTATTGGAAAGAGTTCTCTAATAAAATTGGTTGTAAAAATGTTGTATATTTCTTTGACGGAAGCTTTACAGACATTATTATTTAATTTTCTCTTTATTTGATGATCTGGAGGTTTTTATAACTTTAGGGGATGCAACATAGTGAGATGGGTAGGAAACAGATACCTCCTTTCTCTTATAAACTGAAACAAAGGGCCGTTATCAGCAGTGAGATGGGAAAGGAGACCCATGGCAGAGAAGATCTCAAGCAGATTGGGTTTAGTAAAATCCACCAAAAGAAGTTGGATTATGTGAACCAAACTCTTAAATTCTCCTTTTTCCATAGGAAGTTTCCTGTCTTTGGAGTATTTTACCCTCTAGTTACTGATTGATTAACCATTTAATTTTCACTTTCCCTGTTGTCCATGTGGTTGTTAATCACAGGGAAGTGAGTTTCAAAACTGCAGTTCCTGTGATGTTACAGAGAAGGACTATACCTATTTTTAAATTCATTTTTAATGTTTAATTTTTATTTTTTTAGCAACAGGGTCTCGCTCTGTTGCCCAGGCTGGAGTGCAGTGGAGCAATCATAGTTCACTTCAGCCTTGAACTCCTAGACTCAAGTGATCCTCCTGCCTTAGTCTCCCAAGTAGCTGAAACTACAGGTTCCATCATGCCCAGCTAATTTCTTTAATTTGTAGAGATGGAGTCTTGCTATGTTGCTCAGGCTAGCCTCAAACTCCTGGCCTAAAGCAGTCCTCCCATCTCAGAAATACACCTGATATTTTAAAATGTGGTGGTTTTCATTCAACACTTCTAGTTCATATTTGAAGATTTAAAATAGATTAATATTTTTCTTAAATATGACAGCAGAAAAACATTTGTTTTAGCAGGAAACCTGAACATTTATTAAGCCACCTATAATTTTTCATGCAGAATTATTATGCTATTTCTTATAAGTAATGCTAGAATTTTAAATATAGTAAACAGCTGTTTAGCTGTAGCTATGGTTCTTGGATCTTTGTATGATATTTTCATTACCTACTTTATTTTACTGGCCTGTATTGCCCCTTAATCCCCATCTCTATTTTTCCATTGCTGTAACATTATTAATAATGTCTACTCACCTTACAGAAACACTGTGAAGTCTCATTGATTCGTCTAAGTTCTAAAACACTTTCAGTGTCTTGGAAAGAGATTTCATTTAAATGAGGCTTGCTTTTCCTACTTGTGTCTTATTCCAAAGTTCAACCTGATCAATATGCCTCTAGAATCCACACAAATTCCCAATGTGTTCGTTGAAATGTTAAAGAAAGTTTGCACACTGACTATTGCTCGTGGTGGGGGCGGGGGGGAATAATGCAGAAAACCCAATAGCTTTTAAATGTGTACAGGTATAGAAATAGCTAATGATCCTGAAGTTAGTATTGTTTAGAAAATAAAATATGAACAGTTAAATGCCAACTAATGTAGTTTACAGTGAGCCTAACTTTTAAACCTTTCTTTCCTTTTATATGGCTTTTACTCTATCCTGTTCCTCCCAATACTCATGTAAAAGTCTATTAATAAGCAGATTGTAAAGCAGATAAAAGCTTCTTTACTTACCCAACAATCATTCTTACTATCCCTTGGGTTTATTAATTTGCTGAGCTAGAATGGAACAAGTGTTATCAAATACAACTTGATTTTATTTTGTTTAAAGAATGGCTGTATTTGCAAATTAGCATGTGGGCATACTTGCTTATGGGTATTGTTCTTTAAATTTTAAAGTTAACTCTTAGAATATTTGTGCATGCTTTTAGGTTTATGTATCAGAAACAAATAATAATTTTCTGTAGAACTCTTACTAAACGAGGAGGAAGGCAAACACAAAGATAGATAAATAAAGCATGATTCTCTGCATTATTTACAAGACAGTGTGTCAATGTGTCACTGAAGACACAGTCTAGATATGAGTTCTAGTGGTAATAGTCATTACTGTCTGGCAACCAATCTCCTTATAAATAAGATAAAAATTGAATCAAGTTGATAACATTAAACACAAAGAAGACCAAGAGAGAGGCTAGTAATAAGCAGCTATTGGCAATATGAGAACATTTTCAACTGAGGGATTTTCAGTTATTAAAATACTGCACAAATAAATGTGCAGATAAAAAGAATGAGATAAGCAGTAATAACAGATGACAAGTTTTACATATTTTATTAGTAACTATGCAACAATGACTATTTTTCACCTTCTTTATCTCATCTTTTTAACTAGTTGATGCATTTTGTTTCTGTCTTCACTGGAAAGGATAAATGTTTATTACTGTGAGGAAGGATTTCCACTTTTGCTGTATTTTTAGCTCTGATCACTGCCAATGGCACCAGAAGCCTGCCATGACAAATCCTGATATAATACATTTGGTACCATGATCTCTTGTTTCCCCACCAAGAAAAATTCACTAGCACTAATTATAGCCAAACACTGAGGTCTTCTTTGAAGTCTGTGAGATGGAGATGAATGGATTACAAGTGTGGCTTGTCTGTGACAATCCTGGTTATGCCTGTTGAACAAACATAATAATAATAGATCCTCCTTTTACTCTGAGAAGTTTCCTAATTTGGGTGATAAATGATATAATCATCCTACTTGTAGGTGCTAAAAGAATTACATCTGTCCTGAGAAAATTTAAATTATTTAGAAATTAATTTTTCATATATTATAAAATAGGCATATTTGTTGAGCAATTAAAATACATACTAACTATGTTCTAATTTGTTATCCTGGTCTATTCTAATAATTTGAATAATCAGTTTTGATTTATTCACATATGCACATAAACTCTAAATGGTGAGTTACCTTAGATCACGAAGTAAGCCACCACACATTAGGAAACAAACTATTGTTATGTGTACAGTGGAAAATTTTTCATTTTTAATATTCAAGAAAAGTCATAACCAGGAAACTCATTTTGTTAATACGTGTATGGCAGCTTTTTGAGATGTATAAATTTATATTTCTTGTCTTCTAAACAACACTAAGGTATGTGCTCATCTGTTAAAAGGAATTTTTATTATTTATTTATTTGATCCACAATTGCTGCTATATTTTTCTCCCAGAATATTATGCATTTTGTTTTATACTTGAGAGAGTAGGAATTGAGTAGATCTTGCTAACCATTTTATATTTTGTTTGGAGAACAGTATCTGACAAAGAAATGTCTATTAAATGTTTTAAATGAAGGTTGAAGGAAAGTATCATAAACATCACATTCTGATTGACCCTGGGGTATAATGAATCTGTATTTATACCTAAGAAGCTCTCAGGGACATTGAACTTTTATCTCTCCAGCATAGCACTTTGATAAGCCCATAGGCTCTTAGTAGTGTCAGCTTGGTTTAGAATCTTTGCTGTCTCACTTCTTTTTTTTTTTTTTTTTTTTCTGAGACGGAGTTTCGCTCTTCTTGCCCAGGTTGGAGTGCAATGGCGCAATCTCGGCTCACCGCAACCTCCACCTCCCAGGTTCAAACGATTCTCCTGCCTCAGCCTCCTGAGTAGCTGGAATTACAGGTATGCACCACGACGCCCAGCTGATTTTGTATTTTTAGTAGAGATGGGGTTTCTCCATGTTGGTCAAGCTGTTCTCGAACTCCCGACCTCAGGTGATCCACCCGCATCAGCCTCCCAAAGTGCTGGGAGTACAGGTGTGAGCCACTGCACCTGGCCTAGAATCTTGGTTGTCTCACTTCTTAGAGATGTAGCTGTTGGCAAATCGTCCTCTTTAAGCCTTGATTTTCCTATCCTTAAGGCAGAGTAGTTGGAAGAATTATGTACTGAAATGCATGTTAAAAGCTAAGCATTGTGTCTGGCATATTGCAAGTTTTCAATGGTGCCTGTTTTGTTGTAAATCTTATTTTATCCTCTGATTTGATTCTAGTGGGAGTATCTCACATCACCATAAAAAAATATCTGAGTTGATTTTAGTGCTTGTTTCTCTTAATTCCCATGGGGTGAGCTAATGTCAGGAGCTTTCCAAAAGTAAAACCGCCGTATTTGGCAATAAAAATAGAGTAGCAAGTTAAATTTAAATTTCAGATCAACCAAGAATTTGTTGGTATAAACGTGTTCTGTATTTTATCAGGCTACTCTCTTCTAAAGTCTACTTCAACATGCTATAAAATCCTCTAGTTATAATCTCTATGAAGAATTGGACCCATAATGGGTCAGACTGGGAGAAAAAAATTAGAAGAGAGCTTAGTTGCTTATTTAATTGAATATAATATTATATAAAAATAAGTGATGTATTTATTTAACTATTAAGATGGAATCACTGTAATAATAAATTGATTTAAATAGACAATATATTATGAAATGCAGCAGTGCTATACAGCACAGCATTAGAAAATTGGAAACATAAAAAAGAAATCAGGTCTGTGGTTACCGTATGTTGGTAGCTAAAGAGATAAGTATTTCTAAAAAGTACTATAGAAGATCTATGTATATGATCAAGACTTAAAGAGGTCCTTCAAAAATGAAGACTATATAAAGAATTCTTAGAATAAACAAAAGCTGAGGGAGTTTATCAACTGTAGACCTGTCTTGAAAGAAATACTAAAAAGCATCTTTCAAGTTGAAACAAAAAATAAACTTCAACATGAAAATATATGAAAGTATAAAACTTCTTGGTAAAGATAAATTTGTAGACAAATACACAATACTATAATACTGTAATGGTCATGAGTAATCACTTATGTTTTTCGTAGAAGTTAAAACCAAAAGTATAAAAAATAAACATAAATATAAAAAATGTTAAGAAACATATAATATAAAAAGTTGCAATTTGTGACCTCAATAACATAAAGTGTGAGGGGAGAAGTAAAAGTTCAGAGTTTTTGTATGCAGTTGAAGTTAATTTTTCTCAGCTTAAAGTAAGTTATTATAACTATGAGTTGTTTTCTGTAAGCCCCACGGTCACTACAAAAAAAAAATCTATGAAAGACACACAAAAGAAAATGAGAAATAAATAAAGGCATATCACTGAAAAAAAAAAACGATAAACAGCAAAATAAATGATTTCCTATCTGATATGGTTTAGATTTGTGTCCCTGCCCAAATCTCATGTTAAATTGGATGAGGGGCCTTGTGGAAGGTGACTGGATCATGGGGGCAGATTTCCATCTTGTTGTTCTCATGATGGAGAGTGAGTTCTCACACGATCTGATGGTTTAAAAGTGTGTGGCAATTCCCCCTTTGTGTTCTCTCTCTCTTACTCTACCATGGTAAGATGTGCTTGCTTCCCCTTTGCCTCCCGCCATGTTTGTAAGTTTCCCAAGGCCTCTCAGTCATGCTTCCTGTTAAGCCTCTGGAACTGTGAGTCAGCTAAACCTCTTTTCTTACCCAGTCTCTGGTAGTTCTTTCTAGTAGTGTGAGAACAGACTAATAGACTATCAGTATTACTCTAAATTTAAATGGATAAAAGCCTCTCAATCAAAAGACTACAGTGGCCAAATAGATTTAAAAACAAAACAAAACAAAACAAAAACCAAGAAGATCCAATATATGTAGTATACAATATACAAGAGACTCACTTTAGATAGGCTGAAATTTAAAAAAAAAAAAAAACTGAGAAAGATGACCCATGCAAATGGTAACCAAAAGAAAGCAGGGCAGTTATATCAGAAAAAAAGAGATTTTAGGTTAAAACTTGTCAAAAGAGGCAAAGAAGGCCATTATATCATGATAAAAGTGTCAGTTCACCAGGAAGATATAAAAATTGTAAATATATGCACATCTAGTGTAACAGCACTTAGTTATACAAAACAAATATTGACAGAACTGAAGGGAGAGATAGATAGCAAGCTACTAATAATAGGATATTTCAATACCCTTCTGTCAGTAATGAATAGAACATCCATACCAAGCAGCAGCAAGCAAACACAGCACTTGAACAACACTTGAGACCAAATATACCTAACACATTTACAGAATATTGCATCCAACAGCAATAGAATACACATCCCTCTCAAGCACACACAGAATATTCTCCAGAACAGAGCACATGTTAAGTCACAAACCAAGTTTTATGAAATTTAAGAAGATTGAAATCATACCAAGTATCTATTTGTGTGATGATGGAATGAAAGTAAAATCAATAGCAAAAGGGAACTGGAAATTCACAAATATGTCCAAATTAAACAACAAACTCTTGAATAATCAACAGGTCAAAGAGGAAATCAAAAGGAAAATTAGAAAATACCCCCAGAGAAATGCAAATGAAAGCACAACATATTAAAGCCAATGGGATGCAGCAAAAGCAATACTAGGAAGGCAGTTTATTGCAGTAAAAACTTACATTTGAAAAGCAGAAAGATTCCACACAAACAATCTAACTTAGACTTCAAGAAACTAGAAAACTAAGAACAGACTAAGCCGAAAGTTAGCAGGGGGAAGGAAATAAGACGACTAGGGCAGAATAAGTGAAATATAGGGTTGAAAAATAACAGAAATAATCTCTGAAACTAAAAGTTTCTTTTTTAAAAGATCAACAAAATTGGAAAACCTATAGCTAGAGCAAAAAACAAAAAAGAAAGAAGACCCAATTAAAAAATCAGAAATAAAAAACAGACGTTACAATGTATGACTCATTAAGAAACAATAAATCTGAACTCTTATAACTCAAAAGGAGATTGAATCATTAACCAAAATCTTCCCAATAAACAAAGCCCGGGACCTGGTGGCTTCACCGGATAATTCTACCAAACATTTAAAGAAGAATTAACATCAACACTTCACAAACTCTTGCAAAAAAATTGAAGAGGAAAGACTACTTCCAAAATAATTTTATGAGGATAGCATTACCCTGATACCAAATCCAGACAAAGACATTACAAGAATAACAAAACAAAACAAAACAAAATTACAGGCTAATATTCCTGATGAGTATAAATGGAAAAATTCTCAACAAAATAGTAGCAAACCAGACGGGCTCCAAGATGGCTAACTAGACATCTTGTACTCACCTCTTCTGTAAAAAGGAGACTAATTAGCGAGTAGGTAATCACATTTTCAATAGATCATTGGATAACACTGGAATTCAATAGGGATGTGACAGGAAACACCTAAAGCGAAAAAGGAGAGGGAAGTGAAGCAGCCTGCTTGGCGGGGATCAGCTATGAGCTTGGAGAGACTCCCCAGTGTGGGAAAAGGATAAGTGAAGTACTCCTCAGTGGTTGAAATTCCCACTGTGAACTGCAATACCAGCCACGAGAGAGCCCCTTAAACTTCATAGGCTCTGAAGCTAACATAGGAAACTGCCTGGAGACTGGAGAGTAAGCAATGGCACTGCTCCAGAGAGGGAGCTCATGCTGTGTCCCACTCATGCTGTGTCCAAAGTCTTACGCAGCTAGAGTAAAGTACCATTTTGAAAGCCCAGCTCTCAACAGACTGCACTCTGTCCTGAAGCCCAACAGTGCTTGCATCTCCACATCCTTGGACCCCGACCAACATTCCCTACCTGGAGCTACACTGTGGCTGATTGCTGTCAGTGGGGCCAAGTGCAGGACATTGCCTGCAACCCTGCTGCCTCCAGCAGTGGAGCTACTACATTCTATATCCCCACAGCTGTGCTGCCAGGCCTGAAGCATGATAAATTGTGGGCTGCCACTGCCAGGGCTGAAGCACAAACAAAGTGTGGGCGGCCACTGCTGGAACTGAAGTGTGAGCTGAGCAAGAGCCACCACCACTGGGGCTAAAGCACGAGTGAAGCTCATGTTTCCCATCTACTTGCACACAGCTGCTGCCACTGAAAGAAACCGCACCCTCCCCGGTAGCAGGGCCACAGCACAATTGCTGCAGCCCCCAACCTAAGCATTTCACCAGGGGACTGTAAATCACTCTGCACCTTCCTACTGCAGTCACTGACTATACACACACCTGGAGGAACTGAGTACAAGCCTTACTGGCTTGGCTTTGATTCCACAGCCAGTACCAGAGCACACAGTCCAGGGGCCAGGGGATTGCCTAGCCAGTCTACTGTTGTTAGCATTTGAGCACTTCTCCATGGGGCCTGAAGTTGGGCCTGCCCACTCCGCTGCTACCACCACAGTTGGCACCTACCTGCATGTACCAGTTGTGGGCCTGAGACTGACCCACTCAGCCCATTGCAGTAATCACCAGCACCAGTGCTCACTGCTTCCGACCCAGAAGATTGTTTCCTACTGCTACTGTCATCATCCATGCCACACCTGCTGCGCAGGGGTGCAAGAACTTGTCCACCCACCTGGCTTGCTGCTGCCACTACAGGCATCTGAGCAAGCCAACTGGAGTTCTCAAAATCATTTTGCCTGGTCCCACTAATACCAGTACAGTGTTTGCCACCCTGGAGCTTAAGGGCAGATAGGCATTCTCAGCCTACCACTGCCACCACTGGGCCTCAAGCACGGGCCAACCTTGTGTCCTGGTCCCCAGAAAAACATCACCACAGCCTCTACTAATAACTATACCCTAAGACATCAAGGAAATTACAGATGTCACTGACTCTTTACAGCCAAAGGAATTATACAGAGACTACATTACTGCACGCACCTGGAATCAAAACCAAAGTGCCATATTCAAATAACAAGATAGATATATGTTCAGCAAAAAGTCCTTGCCTAAGTATGCAAGTTCAAAACACTGGAAGAATCCACTATTAAATCCATGTGCAGATACCAACATAAGGACACATGAAACATAAAAAGATAAGGAAATATGACACCTTTAAAGGAAGACAATAATTCTCCAACAAAAGATCCCAGCTAAAAATACTTGCAAAATCCTGGAAAAATCATTTATTTTTTTCTTTTTCTTTTTCACTTCCCCTTCTTTTCAGAGGTGTTGAATGGAAAAACAATTTAAAATATTGATGTTAAAGAAGTTCAGTGGAATATAAGAGAATACTGGAAAACAATATTTTAAAAGTCAGGAAAACAATTCAGGATATAAATGAGAAACTTACCAAAGAGATAGAGATCATGAAAGAGAACGAACTAGAAATTCTGTAACTGAAGAATTAATTTAAAAAATACAAAATATATTTTAAAGCTTCAATAATAGACTAGATCAAGCAAAAGAAAGAACCTCAGAACTTGAAGCCAGGTCTTTTGAAATAACCCAATCAGAAGAAAAAGAAAATAGAATAGAAAAAAAACTGAACAAAACCTTCATGACATATGGGATACAATAAAGTGACTAAATATTTGAAATTTTGGTATCACAGAAAGCAAAAAGAAAATAAAAGGCTTAGAAAACCTATTTAACAAAATCATAGACAAAAATTCCCAAGTCTAGCAGGAGATTTAGACACATAGATATAGGAAGCACAGAGGTTCCCAAACAGATAAAATTCAAAAAGGGTCTTTTTCACAGCACATTATAGTTAAAATGTCAAAAGTCAAATAAAAAGAATTCTAAAAACAGCAAGAGAAAACATCTATTCACTTGAAAAGAAACTCCCATCAGATTAACAGTAAATTTATCAGCAGGAATCTTATAGGCCAGGAAAGAATGAGATGATATATTCAAAATGCTGAAAGAAAAAAACAATCCTAGCCAGAGGTACTGCACCCAGCAAAGCTATCCTTCCTAAATTAAGAATAAATAAAGTCTTTTGCAGACAAGCAAAAGCTGAGGTAATTCATCATCAATAGATGGTGAATTCCTAGAGAATTCATCATTCTCTACAAGAAGTGCTTAAGAGAGTAAGGGAGTCCTATACCCAGAAGTAAAAGGATAATATCTACCACCATGAAAACACGTGAAAGGATAAAACCCACTGGTAGAGCAAACACACAAGCAAGGAAGAGAAAAGCCTCAAAAATTACCATACAGAAAACCACCACACCACAGTGATAAATAGTAAGATATACAGAAGGAAAAAAAAATTAAAAATAACCAGAAATTAATAAAATAACAGAAATAAATATCAATAATTACTTTGAATGTAAATAGATTAAACTTTTCTCTTAAAAGACATAGACTGGTTGGGTGGATTTTTTTTAAGTGAGCCAACTGTATGTCGCCTACAAGAAACTCATCACATCTATAAAGACAGATAGAATGAAATAAAAGGGATGGAAAAAGGTATTCCACACAACAGGAAACCAAAAGCAAGCATGAGTAGCTATATTTATATCAAATAAAACAGGCTTTAAGTCATACACAGTAAAAAGGAAAAAGATCATCATGATATCATGATAAAGGGATCAGTTCAGCAAGAGGATATGACAATTCTCAACATATATGCACCCATCACTGCAGCTCCCAAATATATGTAGTAAATAGTATTAGATTGAAAAGGTGAGATAGATTATAAAACAATTGTAGTTGAGAACTTCAACAACCCACACTAAGCATTAGACAGATCATCAAGACAGGAAATTCACAAAGATACACTGGATTTAAACTGTGCTTAGACCAAATAGAACTAACAGACATTTACAGAACATTTTATCCAACAGCTACAGGATATACATTCTTCTCATCAGCCTGGAACATTCTCCAGGATAGATCATGTGATAGGACACAAAGCAAGTCTCAACAAATAAAAAATAATTGAAACGTATCAAATATCTTTTCAAACCATAGTGAATGAAAACTAGAAATCAATAACAGGGGGAATTTTCAAAACTGTACAAATACAGGAAAATTAAACAACATGCTCCTGAATGACCACTGGGTAAAGAAACGAATTAAAAAGGAAATAAAACATTTCTTGAAACAACTGAAAATTAAAACACAATATACCAGGCCAGGCGCGGTGGCTTATGCTTGTAGTCCCAGCACTTTGGGAGGCTGAGGCGGGTGGATCGCTTGAGGTCAGGAGTTTGAGACCAGCCTGGCCAACATTGTGAAACCCCGTCTCTTGTAAAAATACAAAAAAAAAAAAAAAAAAAATTGCTGGGCATGATGGTGGGCACTTGTAATCCCAGCTACTTGGGAGGCTGAGGCAGGAGAATTCCTTGAACCCGGGAGGTGGAGGTTGTAGTGAGCCAATATCGCACCATTGCACTCCAGCCTGGGCAACAAGAGCTAAACTCCATCTCAAAAAACAAACAAACAAACAACAAACAAACAAACAAAAAACCACAACATACCAAAACCTATGGGATACAGAAAAAAGAGTACAGAAAAAAGAGCACAGTTTGTAACAATAAGCATCTGCATCACAAAGTAGAAAGTCTTCAAATAAATGGTCTAACAATGCACCTCAAGAAACTAGAAAGGCAAAAACAATCCAAACCCAAAATGAAGAGAAGAAAAGAAATAGAAGAGGCTGAAGTAGAACTAATGAAACAGAGACTAAGAAACATTAAAAAAGAATAATTAAAACCAAAAATTGGTTTTCTGGAAAGAAAAACAAAATGGATAAACTGCAAATTAGACTAACCAAGAAAAAAGAAAAAGACCCAAATAAAAAGAAAACCAGGAATGAAAAAGGAGACAATATAACTGATACGCCAGAAATACGAAAGACCCTCAGAGACTATTATGAACAACTATACACTAATAAGTTGGAAAACCTAGAGGAAAATAATACATTCCTGGATACAAACAACCTAGCAAGACTGCATCAGAAAAAAATAGAAAACCTGAACATATCAATAACAATAATGAGATTGAATCGGTAATAAAAAGTCTTCCAACAAATAAAAGCTCAGGGCTGGATGGCATCACTGCCAAATTCTACCAAACATTCAAAGAAGAACTAATATCAATTATTCTCAAACTCTAGCAAAAAATTGGAGTGGCGTGAATTCTGTCTAACTCATTCTACCAGACCAGAATTGTCCTGATATCAAAAACAGACAAAGATGCAACAAGAAAATAAAACCACAGGCAATATGCCCAATGAACATAGATGTAAAAATTCTCAACAAAATACTAGCAAACTGAATCCAACAGCACAACAGCAATAACAACAACAAACTACAATGTGATCAAGTGGAATTTATCCCCATGGTGCAAGAATGGTTCATGACAGGCAAATCTATAAACATGATGCATCACATCAACAGTATGAGGAACAAAAAGCTATATGATCATCACAATAGACACAGAAAAAATCGATAAAATTTACTGTCCCTTTATCATAAAAATTCTCAGCAAACAAGGCATAAAAAAATGTACCTCAATATTTAAAAAAGCTATATATGATAAGCTCACAGCTAACATTGTATTGAATGGGAAAAAGGTGAAAGTCCTTCCTCTAAGACCTGGAACAAGACAAAGGTGCTCACTTTCACTACTCTTATTCAGTATTGTACTTGAAGCCCTATCCAGAGCATTTGGGCAGGAGAAAGAAGTAAAAGACATTCAAGTCGGAAAAGAGGAAGTGAAATTTTCTCTCTTTGCTGATGATATGATCTATTTAGGAAAACCTAAAGACTCTTCCAAAAACTTTGAACTGATAAATAAATTGATTAAAGTCACAGGATACAAAATCAACATAGAATAATCAGTAGTGTTTTATACATCTATAATTAGCTAGCTGAGAAAAAATCAGGAAAGTAATTCATTTGCAATAGCTACAGAAAAATGAAATATCTAGTAATAACTTTAATCAAGGAATTGAAAATCTCTACCAGAAAACTATAATCCAGTAATAAAAAGAAATTAAAGAGCACACAAAAATTGGAAAGACACCCCATATTCATGGATTGTAAAAATTTATATCATTAAAATGACCATACTGCCCAAAGCAATTTACAGATTCAATGCAATTTTTATCCAACTACCAATGTGATTATTCACAGTATTAAAAAGAAATCCTAAAATTTGTATGAAACCAAAAACAGCCTTAGTAGCCAAAACAAGCTGAGCAAAAAGAGCAAAACTGGAGACATCACATTACCTGATGTTAAAATGTATTATAAGGCTATAGTAACAAAACAGCATGTTATGGTTATGTAAATAGACACATAGACCAAAGAAAGAAAATAGAGAGTTCAGATATAAATCCATGTATTTACAGCCAAATTGTTTTTGATAAATATACCAACTACATACTTGGTGAAACCATATTCTCTTCAATAAATATTGCTGGGTATATTGTATAGCCACATCCAAAATAATAAAACTGGGCCTGTATCTCTCACCATATGCAAAAATCAAATCAAAATGGATTAAAGTCTTCAACATAAGACTCAATACTATAAAACTACCAAAAGAAAACATAGGTAAAACACTTCAGGACATTGGTCTAGGCAAAGATTTTATGGCCTCCTCTAAACCAAGGACAAGAAAAATAAAAGTCCAGAACCAGGTGGATTCACAGCTGAATTCTACCAGATATTCAAAGAAGAATTGGCACCAATCCTGTTGACACTATTCCACAAGATGGAGAAAGAGGGTATCCTCCCTAAATCATTCTATGAAGCCAGTATCACCATAATATCAAAACCAGGAAAGGACATAACCAAAAAAGAAAACTACAGACCAATACCCCTGATGAACATAGATGCAAAATTCCTCAACAAAATACTAGCATATCAAAAAGTTAATCTACCATGATATAGTGGGTTTCATACCAGGGATACAGAGATGGTTTAACATCTGCAAATAATAAATGTCGTAAAACAGATAAACAGAATTAAAAATGAAAATCACATGATCATCTCAATAGATGCAGAAAAAGCATTCGACAAAATCCAGCATCCATTTATGATTAAAACTCTCAGCAAAATTAGCATACAAGGGACATGCCTCAATGTAATAAAAGCCGTGTATGACAAACTCACAGTCAACATAACACTGAATGGGGAAAAGTTGAAAGCATTCCCTCTGGGAACTGGAACAAGACACGGATGACCACTTTCACCACTTCTATTCAACATAGTACTGGAAGTCCTAGCCAGAGCAATCAAACAAGAGAAATAAATAAAGGGCATCCAAATCAGTACAGAAGTCAAACTGTCACTGTTTGCTGATGATATGGTTGTATACCTAGAAAACTCTAAAGACTCCTCCAAAAAGCTCTTAGAACTGGCAAAAGAATTCAGCAAAGTTCCCAGACACAAAATTAATGTACACAAATCAGTAGCTTTCCTATACAGTGACCAACCTGATAATCAAATCAAGAACTCAACCCCTTTTACAATAGCTGCAAAAATAAAAATAAAAACTTAGGAATATATCTAACCAAGGAGGTGAAAGTCCTCTACAAGGAAGACTACAAAACTCTGCTGAAAGAAACCATAGACAATACAAACAAATGGAAACACATCCCATGCTCATGAATGGGTAGAATCAATATTGTGAAAATGACCATACTGCCAAAAGCAATCTACAAATTCAATGCAATTCCCATCAAAATACCACCATCATTCTTCACAGAACTAGAAAAAAAATCCTAAAATTCATATGGAACCAAAAAAGAGCCTACAGACCCAAAGCAAGACTAAGCAAAAAGAACAAATCTGGAGGCATCACATTACCTGATTTCAAACTATACTATAAGGCTGTAGTCACCAAAACAGCATGGTAGTGGTTTTAAAATAGACACATAGACCAATGGAACAGAATAGAGAAACTAGAAATAAACCCAGATACTTACAGCCAACTGATCTTTGACAAAGCAAACAAAAACATAAAGTGGGAAAACGACACTTTATTCAACAAATGGTGCTGGGATAACTGACAAGCCACATTTAGGAGAAAGAAACCGGATCCTGATCTCTCACCTTATACACAAATCAACTCAAGATGGATTAAGGACTTAAATATAAGACCCGAAACTATGAAAATTCTAGAAGATAACATCAGAAAAACCCTTCTGGAAATTGGCTTAGGCAAGAATATCATGATGAAGAACCCAAAAACAAATGCAATGAAAACAAAGATAAATAAAAGGGATGTAATCAAACTATAGAGATTTGCACAGCAAAAGCAACAGTCAGTAGAGTAAACAGACAACCTAGAAAGTGGGACAAAATCTTCACAATCTATACATCTGACAAAGGACTAATATCCTGAATCTACAACGAACTTCAAGAAAAAAACAAACAATCCCATAAAAAAGTGGGCTAAGGACATGAATAGACAATTCTCAAAAGAAGTTAAACAAATGGCCAAGAAACATATACAAAATGCTCAACATCACTAATGATCAGGGAAATGCAAATCAAAACCACAATGTGATACCACCCTACTCCTGCAAGAATGGCCATAATCTAAAAATCAAAAAATAATAGATTTTGGTGTGGATGTAGTGAACAGGGAACACTTTTACATTGCACTCTTTCTCCCTTCCCTCACAGCCATGTCAGAAGGTGCTTGCTCCTCCTCTGCCTTCCTCCATGACTGTAAGTTTCCTGAGGCCTCCCCAGCCATGCAGAACTGTAAGTCAAACTTTTAAAAAATATATGTGTATATACACACACACATATATATAATGTATATGTTTTATTGTATATGCACAATGGAATATTATTCAACCTCAACAAAGAAGGAAATCCTGTCATATGCTAAAACATGGATGAACCTTGAGACATTATGCTAAGTGAAATAATCCAGTCATGGAAAGAAATGCTATATGATTCCCCTTATATGAGGTATCAAACATAGTCAAACTCATAGAAGCAAAAAGTAGAATGATGGTTGCCAGTGGAAGCAGAGAGTGGGAAATGGGTTATTGCTTTTCAATGGATATAAAGATTCAGTCATGCAAGACGAAGAAGTTCTACAGATCTGATTTATAAAAATGTACCTATAGTTAACTATATGTACTGTACACTGAAAACAGTTGTTATGGGGGTAGATTTCATGTTATGTGTTTTGATCACAATAATAACAATAAAGAGACTTACAGGTGACAAGTGAAAATGATTAGGTCCCTTATTGTATTCTGTTCTGCTGCCTCTTTTCTAGGTAGAAGTGTCCTCTATTTGGATTCAATGTATTTCACAGAGAATATTGGTTGATTAAACCTAACTATTGATGCTTTAATATTGAATAATCAAATATATATAACTACAGTACTTATAGCCATATAAAATCATTTGCCTACTAATGTAAAAGTCATGCTCTTGAGTTCCTACTACTCTTAGAACTGAGTAGCAGAAACTCAGTTCCAAATATAAAGAATATCAAAGCTGAAACCTTCCTATCACCTAAAGATGGAACAAATTCATGATGACCCAAAATATCAGTTTGGCTTTTATTGGCTTTATATTCTGGTCACATATGGCAATAATAGGTGTTTAATTTTCTAGTTTGACTTTAGTCAGTATTGCAACTTGATGGACATAAGTGCAAATAGACTCTCACTATTTAATCTGCATGATCCTAAAGAACATTGAAGAGCTGGGTGTGGTGGCTCACGTCTGTAATCTCAGCACTTTGGGAGGCTGATGCAGGTGGATCACGAGGTCAGGAGTTCGAGACCACCCTGACCAACATGGTGAAACCCCGTCTCTACTAAAAATACAAAAATTAACTGGGCATGGTGGCGTGTGCCTGTAATCCCAGCTACTCAGGAGTCTGAGGCAGGAGAATCGCTTGAACCTGGGAGGTAGAGGTTCCAGTGAGCTGAGATCATGCCATTGCACTCCAACCTGGGCAACAAAGTGAGACTCTGTCTCAAAAAAAAAAAAAAAAAAAAATCTAAGAACCATTAATCTTGTTTAGAAAATAAGATGGTAAAAAAAATGTGTACCAAGCTGTTTCAAAGACTTTGAAAATGAAAATCCTAATGGATCAGCAATTTAATGCTCTTTTCTGAGCTTATAAACAATCACTATCTCCTCCTATTCCAAAGACTATAAGGAGGACAATGTCATTAGTTGGTGTGACAAGAGTAATAGTCTTTGTCTCCAAGAAACACTTCTTGGATTAGAACACTGTTATCTATATTGCAAACACAAAATCCCTTTGATGGAAGGATTATGAAATGAATACTGGTCTTCAAATTTGGATATAAAATTGGACCTTAGGTTTATCTAGAGTTATTCTTAAAACTGACCTAGCAACGCATGAATAGGTTTTCTTCCTGTAATCTTAAAGGAAGAGTGGGAAGGGAAGTGAGGGAAGGTAGAAGGGGGATGAGGTCATAGTACAGAAAACTGAAAAAGAGGGAAGTAGCTTCAGTAACCAACTATTATAAAGATTATTTCAATCTTTGAGTTGCATGTTCGAGCATCTACGAGGGAATTAAAAAACAACAAAATTATGCTACGAGGAAATTCTCAGCAATTGTTAAAAGCACTGTCAGGTTACAATATGATACTAGATCTGAATTCCAACACTTCCCTCCACTAGCTGTGTGACGTTGGGAATATTATTAACTTGTCTAAGCTTGATTTTTTAAACGTAAAAAATGGAGTAATAAGAGTACTGACTTACTGGGTTATTGTTGTCATTAAATAAGATAATGCATGAAAAGTACAAAGTAAAGGCTCAACAAATCTCAGCTCTTAGAAGGAAGGGTATGCTGATGCTGATGATGATAATGATAACATTAGTGTCATCTTAGGCCTCAGGCTAAAAAGTAAAGATTAATATTAATACTTGCTCTTCTACTCACAGCGTGGTTAGTGGTATCTTGACATTATTTGTGTATATATATATATATATATATATATATATATATATATATATATTTAGGTTGTTGCAAAAGTAATTGTGATTTTTATTATTACTTATAATGGCAAAAGCCACAATTACTTTTGTACCAACCTATATTTTCTCCATCTATAAGATTAGTTGCTATTATTGCAATTTTACGAAAGTGGGATATTTTAAAAATACAATGGCATATACTGTGGGAACAGTAGAACAATTAAAATCTTGAGACAAAACTTTATTTGTGATTGTTTATTCACCTTATTCTAGAACACAAGAAGGACAAAACTAATTTCTCAGTTAATCACTAATCTGTAGGGTTTGGACAAATGTAGTAGTGAAAATAAGCCTTTCCAATACCAGTAGAAACCATTCTGTCTTTTCTTCATTTGGATTTCTCTGTATTTGTCGAAACATTACAAAGTCCTACTTTAAATGCAATCTATTTACTAGCCCATAGACTGAGTGAAGTAATCCTGAACTGGGGGCAGTCTTTTAGAATAGATAGGATCCTCCTTTCCTATCCTCCTGCTCTGAATCACTCCTGGAGGGAAACACACAGAGAAATCTTACTATGCTTCCTGTCTCACAAAAACTCCAGATTCTTAACGCTTGTCTATTTATCATTCTGTCATATGCCAGCATGTATACCTATCTTGCTCTCTGTACAAATGAATCCTGGTGTTCTACTTCATTCAATTAAAAAAGTATTTAATGATTGCCCACTATGTGTCTTTGCTTTGCATTAGATGCTACAGATAACATGGTTAGACATTATATAGAGTTCCTATTTATAATGAGTTTATAATATAAAAAGTGAGTATTACAGCCAAATATAATATTATAAATACAAGAAGGTTTTTAGAAGCGTGCAGAAGCAAAACCCAGCTTCAATTTGGGACTGAATAAGGTAGTAATTGAAACACTTGAGGAAGAAGTATCTGAGCTTATACTGAAGGATGACTCAGCCTGACTCAGATGAAATATGTGTGTTTTAAGGACATTGGAGTTTGTGGCAGACAGAGTTCCAGGCCAAGGAAATAGCATGCTTGAGGTTTCAGAGTTGAGAAAAACATGATATATTCAAGGAACCAAAAGAGCTAGTTGGGCTGGAACAGAGAAAGGCAGAGGGAAAGAAATAATAATGAAAAGAAATGATGCTGAAGAGGACGAGTGTCAGGTCATGAAGGACCTTGTCTGCTGTATAAAGGAATTTGTATTTTATCCTACAAACAAGGGGGATTGGCCTTGCAAGATTTTATGTACTGGAGTGCAATGATCAGACTTGTGTTTAAGAATCTTCTGGTGGCAGAATGAAAAAATTAACTTGAGGGGGTCACAACTGAGGCCGGAAGACATGTGAGAAGATAGTGGTAACTGATCTGGATGAAAATAGTGGCCTGAATTAAGGGAAGTACTGTGAGGTCCGGTAGTGGGAAGGAAATGAGACAGGTATTTAGAGTCAGAGAAAGAATCAGATTTGGTAATTAATTAGGTCTAATAGATAGAGAAAGGGAGGCCTTAAATTCTAGCATGAGCTAGACATAACACAATGCTTTAGAGTAGGAATATTCTTAGCATTCAGTCAATGCTTTTCTTATTCTGAAAAGTCTTAAAAGTCTGTCAATGAAGACAGATAGATTTGAAAGTTCTAGCTTGCCATGACATTTTTGCGCTAGCCCTGGTACAGTGGCCAAATGTTTATTGAGAGCCTGTTAGATATATAGATTAAGTCAGAATGACTGAGATCTCTTTCTCACAACAGTAACAGTCTTCTGAAAGACACTGACAACTAAGTTAGAGATGGAGCAGGATGAGTGTACAAAGGAGATATTCATGGAACTCTTGATAGGCATTTGCACGTAAAGAAGAGTGCCTTGTCCTAGCTATCTCAAGCAACTGCCACTTACTGTCAATCACATCTCCTGGAATTGGAATTGGACTTGGCTGCCCCATCTATCTCCATCTCTCCACAGTGAGCTCTGTTTAGTTTTTTTTATTATTATTATTTTTGAGACAGAGTCTCACTTTGTCACCCAGGCTGGAGTGCAGTGACAAAATCATGGTTCACTGCAGCCTTCACCTCCCCAGGCTCAGGTGATCCTCCCACCTCAGCCTCCTGAGTAGCTAAAACTACAGGCACACGACACCACAGCGAGCTAATTTTTGCAGTTTTCATAGAGATGGGGTTTTGCCATGTTGGCCCATCTGGTCTTGAAGTCCTAGACTCAAGTGATCCTCTAGCCTCGGCCTCCCAAATTACTGGGAGTACAGGCATAAGCCACTGCACCTGGACTGTTTTTGGTTCTTTCTGTACATCAAGTCCACTCTCTTCTCTATCTGCAAATAAGCTTCTTCTCTTATTTCTGCTTTTTCAAAACTTTGTCTTATCATGGTCCATCAAGGCCCTTCTGGGTCTTTTTTTATAACATAAAGTACTTCTTGAGTGAGCTTTGTCAATCACCTCACCTCTCTGTATTTCTTTTATTAAAAATTGTAGAGAAGAGTCTGATAGTCCCATTTAACATTTCACATTCATTGGAACATCAAGGATCCTTGTAAAACTGATGTTTTGGCTGCCTTTGAGCCTTGTGCATACCCCTGGTCTAATTGTATGGCTGGGTTGAAAAAATAAAAGCATATTATAGCCACATGGTCCAGAATTTGACCATGACTGACAAGAATCTGTGCACAGGAAGTGTAGATGAAGGCATATGTGTAGCAGACTTTCTCAGGGTCAGGTTATTCAATACACAGCATGTCAGATTGAAGCAGAGCAGTAAGACAAATGTCCCAGAGTAGATGAGAATTCAGCTGATGCTTGATCAAAAAGAAGGAAGTAGAGAGGTGAAAGGGAAGGATGAACCATTAGGGATAACTTCAACTGCAAAAGCATTAAGGATTGAGAAGCAAGGAACCTTCAGGAAACAGCAAAGTTGGAATGGCTGATTGTTCTTCATTTCAGTCAGCTAAGGACATTTAAACCATTGATTATCACAGTGTTTCTCCAACAGGAGTCTGTGTCTCCCCAGAGAGTGATTCAGTTGTTACAACAGAGCCACAGAGATTAGCAAGTTATAACCTCCTTTTCTATTTCCAAGTGAAGAGAAAATAGTAGAGAAAATATTTTGCTTTCCTATTGTATGTTTGTTGATTTCCTCTGGCCGACAGACATGTTTTCATTTTGATGGCTGCAATGGGAATTAAAGTAGCAAGCCAGTCTGACGTTGGGTGTCTCATGTAGACTACTCTATTTTATTGAAAGCAGCTATGCCAACCAGGTCATTCATATAAGAAACATGAACAAAACCATGAGAAACACATAACTGCACTGTGTCAAGTGGAAGGAGAAGATTTGTAAACAAGAAAGTGGGAGAATGTTTCAGCAGCATATTGCCTTGGGACCACTAGTTCTGACATCTTGGCTGACAGCAAGCCTACAAATGTAAGACAAACCACAGCAGCAAGTAGCTCTAAGAGAAGTTGCTCAAGCCCTAAAATGGTCTCCAATTAAAACAAAGGCACTCCAAGAAACATAAGTTTGAGAAACACAGGCACAGAAGTTACAGACCTTATAAACAGTTTCTGGAAAATACTCTCTTAGCCTAGCATAAGGGGATTAGGAAGGAAACACAGGGCCCAGACCTATGTGAATTTTCAGGAAGTGTATAACACCAGAGCAGTAGGTCTGTGACATTAAGAGTTTTCCCTGTGAGAACTGCTCACAGAGCAAGTCTCAGAATAAATACCGAATTAAATGACAATAATCATTGTTGACAGGGAAAGTGTGCCAGCCTTACATCTGGCATTCAGTAACACAACGTAAATTCTCTATCTGTGAAGAGGATTAATATGAAGATCCAGTTCATAGAGATGGTTTTAGATGATATTTTGGCTTTCAGAAAAGAGTTTGCCTCAAAAGCTTACGCAACCAACTTCTGTTAGAAAACCCTTTCCTAAAATGGAAAACTGAAGACATTTCAATTATAAACACAGTTTAACATATAATATTCTAATAACAGCTATTGAAATATGGGCTTTCATTGAACAAAGCTTAGTCTCATCAGTCACATATTATAATTTTGCATTAAGATACATGAGCTTAATTTTGGAAAGAAAAGAGGAGTTTAGTGAAGAAGCTTCTTGAATCCAACTCCCTCTTTGACATTCTCATTTGAATGCTTAATAGCCTTCACAAACTTAATATTT
Source organism: Homo sapiens (assembly GCF_000001405.40). Classification (NCBI taxonomy): domain Eukaryota; kingdom Metazoa; phylum Chordata; class Mammalia; order Primates; family Hominidae; genus Homo; species Homo sapiens. The sequence continues at coordinate 156,544,414 of NC_000004.12, read as the reverse complement.
CTGAAGTTTAAAATTTCCTACAATTCGATTTCATCCATAATATTGCAAATTCATTTTTCCATTTTCTCAAGCCATAAACTTTTGGAGTCATCCTTGACTCCTCTCTTTCTGTCACAACTCATATATAATTCATCCACTCTTCTCAGCTCTCCATGATTTGCTTGTTTGGTTTTGGAAGTGTACACAAAAGCTAGCATAAACAACCCCATTCTAGGCCACCGTTATCTGTACCTAAACTGAAATCTTTTAACCTGTTTTTCTGCTTCTACTCATGCTCCCTATGATCTTTTTGGCACCCTAAAGGCAGAGGTATTCTACAATATTTTTCAAGACATTCTGTCTCATTCAAAGTAAAATCCCAGTCTGTACCATGACCTCTAGGGTCCTTCTGCTGGTACTTCTCTGGTTTTATTGTCCTGTACTCTCCCCTTGATTGCTGTACCCCATTTATCCCTACCCTTCAGTTGTTTTTTTTTTCTGTTCCTTGCACACGCTAAGCATGTGCCTCCCTTAAGTCTTTTCTGTTCTCACAGTTTGAAATACTCCTTTCCAGATATACACATGCCTTACTCCTTCACCTCCTTAGATGTCTGCACAAATGCTATCTCATTTAAGGCCTTCACTGAACACCCTTAATGAAACTGCAATACCTTGCTTTCCCTTGGTATTTTTACTTCTCTTCCTCTGTTTTCTTTTTTGTGTGGCAGTTATTATCAACCCCATGTTTTAGATATGTATTTTTCTTTGCTTGATTATTTTCCATATACTCGCTAGAACATAAGCATTAGCATAGCAGGAACATAATTTTGTTTATTGCTGTATCTCATTCTTTAGTCGCTACAATAGTACTTGGCACAGAGTGGATATTCATGTTTGTTGACTAAATGAACAAGCGAGTTATGGTTAAATAAATGAATATCTAAAAGGGAAATTCATACGTATGCTAAAATTTTACTAGAGTATTTTCTCCTCTAGTTCAGTGCAACAGAGACATCTAAAGGTATAAAGAATATTAAAAAGGCAAGTCTAACATGGGAATATATTAATACTTAGTGTAATATTTTCATCAGGTAATATCTACAAGTCTGGGAGTACAGTTCCAATAAGTCTAAGAAGTACATAGCCTAAAATGCAGCTCTACAAATAACTATGTACCTAATTGTTCAAGATAAATGCAAATTTGATTATGGAAGTTTGAAAACAATTTTTTTTGTTTGAATAATTTTATAACTGGTGTTTACCAAGTGGAAATGAAGTGCACGCAAAGTGCAGTGTGAAGCTACACATACAAAAGGCAAAACAGGTCCTTGCCTTCAAAAATTTTTCATTTGTTGAGGTGACAAAACGTAAAGCACCTAAAGCTATTGAGAAGCAACATACCAGTGACAGTTAATATCGAGCGTCAACTTGATTGAATTGGAAGATGCAAAGTATTGTTCTTGGGTGTGTCTGTGAGGGTGTTGTCAAAGGAGATAAACATTTGAGTCAGTGTACTGGGAGAGGCAGACCCACTCTCAGTCTGGGTAGGCACCGTCTAACCAGCTGCCAGCGCAGGTAGAATAAAGCAGGCAGAAGATGCAAAGAGCAGACTGGCTGAGTCTTCCGGCTTTCCTCTTTCTCCCATGCTGAAGGCTTCCTGCCCTTGAACATGGAACTCCTAGTTCTTCAGCTTTTGGACTCTTGAACTTACACCAGTGATTTGCCAGGGGCTCTCGGGCCTTTGGCCACAGACTGAACTTTTGGCTTCCCTACTTTTGAAGTTTTGGGACTCGGACTAGCTTCCTTAGGCCTCAGCTTGCAGACGGCCTATTGTGGGATTTCACCTTGTGATCGTGTAAGTCAGTCCTCCTAAATAAACTCGCCTTCATATATACATCTATCTTATTAGTCCTGCCTCTGTAGGTAACCTTGACTAATACCGTATCTGAATATTATAAAGAAAACATGACAAAGAAAATTAAACCAATAAATTCTAATGAAGCGTTAAATAAAGAAATTAACAGATACATCAGATATATTTTGAGTCCATCAAATAATGATACACATAGCAGAGCAGTCTGTGAGAATAAATAGAGAATAGGAGAGGAAAACAGTGTATTCATTGGTTCAATAAGCATTATTGAGCACTTACTCTATACCACACATTATGTTAGGCACTGTGGTCAACTTTGGCAGTGGCAATATAAAAGGAAGGAAGGAAATGCATATGATTAACCTTATTTAAGCTTGTGTAGATTAAATCATGTATTTGGAAATTACTTTAAAATTTATTTTTTCTAAATATGATTCATCTATTGTTTTTAAAGCCATATTGCCATATTTTAAACTATTTTTGAGAGAAATTGTTAGTAAGTTTATTCTGAAACCTTACATTTTAATTCAACTGAAAAAGCTGCCATTTCTAAGCTAGTATGAATGGAAAGTACATACATAAAATTTTGCTTTTACAAAAACATGTACACTCTCACTTTAAAAAAAAATCTGTTGTTTTTAAAACTGAACTAGTTTAATGGAAAAGCATTTTTATAAGTTTTTGAAAACAAATTTATCCAATCTTATAATTAAAAGGCTGCATTTATGCCACATTTCATTTGATGTAAACTCATGTTTACAATTAATTTCAATTAATATCTCAGTTATACAGTTTTGGCTTAAGAGTACAAGTGTGTTTAAGCTAGTTTAGTTGAAAATTCATGTATGTGAGCTCCATTTATGCAAACTCATGTATCCACAGTAGTTTTAGTTAGTCTGCCACACTAAGGTTATTAAAACTGATTATCATATTTAAAAACCAGTTCCGATGAAAATTTTAGAATTCTCTCTGTTTTAGAAAAAGTGAAATATTTAATCTATTTTTAATTATAATTTATGTTCCCAGGCTACTCTTTATTGGAATGCAAGTATCCAACATATTAGATGAAATTTACTGGATTTCAAAGGTATATTTAACAAAGTTTGGTGAAAGAGCAGATATGGAAGGTGAAAGACAAGAAGTCAATCTTGACTTCTTGTCTTTGACAATTTATTTATTCATTTATTTATTTATTTATTTATTTATTTATTTTTTGAGACGAAGTCTCGCTCCGTTGCCCAGACTGGAGTGCAGTGGTGCAATCTTGGCTCACTGCAAGCTCTGCCTCCCAATTTCATGCCATTCTCCTGCCTCAGCCTCCTGAGTAGCTGGGACTACAGGTGCCCGCCACCACACCTGGCTATTTTTCGTATTTTTAGTAGAGACGGGGTTTCACCGTGTTAGCCAGTGTGGTCTCGATCTCCTGACCTCGTGATCCACCTGCCTTGGTCTCCCAAAGTGCTTGGATTACAGGTGTGAGCCACCGCACCCGGCCGACAATTTATGATTAAGTAAAATAATTGCTTTCATTAAAAATATAGTTCTTGGTGTCATAAATAATACGCAGTCGTATTATGATGTCAATTTTTAATGGGATGCCACTTAGGGCTTTCATGGCATGGAAAACTTTTAATTCTTTTGTAATTACTTTTCATCTTGTTTTATTCGTACATTTTCTCTTCCTAATGCCTTTTTAATGTTATTTATTTTCTCATTGGTCTCTGTTCTCCTTCTAGTAATGGTTGCTATTCATTCTGATGGAGTTGAGTATATCTCTAAGGTTGGCTCATAGTCAACAGGTAAACATTTCCTTGATGTCCAGCTTCATATTTTTAACTCTTTGCTGAAGATCTTCTTCAGAGCATCCATGAGTCACCTTGAGAATCCCTGAAATCAAGGTGGCAAAATCATATCTAATTGTCCCCCAAAGCTTCTCTTTTTTTAATTATTTGCCTCCATCACCACATCCTCCATCATGTGGCCCCCAATAAGTTGCTGAGTCTAAAGACACTTTGGCCTCTCAAAGTGGTGGGATTACAGGTGCCAGCCACCAGTCCCAGCCAAATATGTATTAAATGAGCAAATTACCTTCCAACAGAATAAATTGCATAGTTTGACCTCCAAAATCTTCCAGGAGCAATGACTACCCAAACCTTTAATTCATTTCAATTAGATTCAATGAATTACATTCAATTTAACCAAGATTTACTGTCTATAATTTTCAAGGCTTAAATTTTCTTCTGTAATGCTTTCCATTATTTACTCCTAATTAAACCATTTTTCCAATGAGCCATTTTTTTTTTTTGTCTGTACTATAAGACCATCTGCGAAATATACTTACCTGCATCTCTACCTCTTCAAATCCCATCATATCTGCTAAGGTTCAGTTTAACTACAACCTCCTCCATGAAGGCTGATTTGATTTAATTATTAGTCCGTAGCAATGTCTTGATCTTTCTACTATGATAGTTCCATACTAGGAACTTGATGTCTTTTGAGCTGTACTTTATTATTGGTAGCCTTTGTCTTTTATTTCTTACTAGATAAGCACTGATTTCTCCATTTTCTTCATTATCTAATTCAAAGCCTTGTACATTTATTGAACTGAATATTAATTTGTGTTTAAGATGAAAAATTAAGAATGTAGCCTGGTCTTTAAAATCCAAGTGGGCAGTGCAAATGTCTATGCCTACTGAACATGAAATTATCGTGCTACAGACCATCTGCTGAGAAGTAAGAAGATTCAAAAGCATTTCAGTGTTATTGTCCTAGATATAAATTAATAAATTTCTCCTGGAGGTCACTAAATGCAATGGCAGCAAGCTTTTCCTTATGTATTTCAAAGAATAATTTATACAGAAAAAAATTTTATTTCATAATTTAGTGACTAAAAGTCAAATATGCTTCTTTTGAATTTAAAATTGTCTTAGCTTATTAAGTCCCTGTATTCTCTTTTATAAACTGTTGCCATGGAAACAGCATTTTAGATGTTTTGTGTTCCCCTAAATGTCACATCTGCTATCATGCTATATATAACAGCATCTCAGACGCTGATACAGATACAGACATCTTTACTGCTTATGAAATCCAAATTAATATTTTATAATATGAATATGCTATCCTTTATACTGATGACTAATATTTGAAAATCATTTGAGAAACAGTAAGACATTTTTGACTTAATGTATTTAATGCAGATAACTCACAATCTGAAAAACTGAATTATTTTTGTTTTACTAAACTGTTATTTTCAAGTATTCAGCAAGTTGCCACATGGTTCTGTTATTTTGAAGTGTCTTGTGAACTTGCACTTGTCTTTTAGATTTACTCATGTAAATAACTGCCCCTTCGAGTTATGTCAGTTCTGTTAAGGGCCTTCACTCTTCCTTAAATTCCTGCTTTAGCCTTTGTACTTTTCACCTACACAGTGAGATGATGGAATCCATCCATTCACTCCCATTCTGCCATATAATTATGCTCTTAATCCTTTTCAGAAAGACATTGACTTAGCTGTTTATTTTTCTTTCAGACAAAGAGTATGTCATCATCACCAGGTAAAATGAATAGGAGCCAAAGATTAGATGTGAAGAATCCTGACTGGCAGTGGTTGTGTTGAAATATGAGTTTTCACCATTCAGAGATATCAGCAAGAATGAATAACTGCAGGGCCTTTTCTTTAAAATCAATTATGTGGCCAATAGCACAGATTCATATTTTTAACCTGGGTCAGCAAATCTGTTATTATTCAAAATCCTTCTTTTAACCTGGTGTCTGCCCTGGAGTGAATCTTCTGGAATGTGAGAACTGCACCTTTCCCTGAAGCTAGTTCCTACTACAGGGTCCACATGGTCATAGGTATTTTAGGAAAGACTGTGCATTTAAACTAGTCCAGAATTAATTATTCCTTCTATGAGTGGCTTTCTGAGTGAACAGAATTAATTATCAATTATATTTACTTAGATAACAATCATCATATGAATACTTTCTGGGGAAACTCTGTGTTCGAAAAAAATATGATATTAGACAAGTTTTTAGCACAGTAAGGTATGTAAGATGAAGCCAAATAGCAGAGTAAATCAAGACTTGATAAGCATCACAAAAATGTTCAGAAAAATTCTTGGGAATTCAGTGGCTTATTTCTGACTGAGAGATCATGGAATAGCATGAGCATTGAGGTAATGAATAGCCTTGAGGCTTGAGAAGATATCGATGTCAATTACAGACTTGACAAGTCAAGAAGAATTTATGGTTAAGAGGATATCCTTTTAGATGTCCTTTTCATCATGTTAAGTTTGATTTGCTCATGAAACATTCAGGGAGAGCTCCCCAGCCTGTAGTTATAAAGTAAAGCTGGATCTCAAGGAAAAAAATTAGGAAAAAATATGAAAATGTGATGATAAGCTACACTGACACATTGAAACTTTGGAGACCGCTAGATCATGAAAGAGTGGTATCAAGATTGATGAGAAGATAGTGTAATGGTTTTTAAGGAAATGGAGAACAAGCAAGCAGCCAAAAAAACAACAACAGAAACAAAAACAAAACTGAAAACCCATACAAACTTTGGAAATGTATAGTAAAGAGAAGGTGAAGAAATTAGAATGACAATAATGAGAGTACAGTATGTAAGATATGAACAAGAGATGTGGAACCTTATAGAAAGGAAAGGGTTTGTCAATCATATCAACTGGAGGATAAGGATTAAGACATGACTAGTAATACATTTGGATGTTTGGTGGTGTTTCAGATATCAGATTTCCTGCAGTTCAGGTGAGAAAAGATTGTATAGAGCTATAGTTTAAGTAGAAAGTAGTTTAAGGAGAATGTATACATTATCATTTGAAAAAGTTTCGATGGAAAAAGAAAAATGTAATAGACTTGTGTGAGTAGCAGAAATTGGAAGACCATGGGGTTCAAGACAAAACTAAAGATGACAGTCTTATATTTTAAATTTCTGACTTATCTTCTAGCTGTAGTATGTAAATATGGCCTGGTTTATGATTTTCCTGTGATCTGTGTCATTCTAGTATGGTTATTCTTTTGTGAGGGTAGGGTTTACATGATCTCATATAATGGTGCATTCTTAACAGACCACAAGAGATCTTAATTCCAGACCTATGGCTGCAAAGAGAGACAAGTTCTCCAAGTGTGTCAATATAAGAAATTTTAATATGGCCTTAAGTAGCTAAGAGTGTGATAGCACTCATGACCCCTGTACTTTACTGAATATTATCACTTTATAGCCATTTCTTTGATGAATGCTTTGAAGAATTTATCTTCATGTTTCTATGCTCAGCTTTTGATTATAAGAATTCAAGATATTTTTCAATGGGAATACAGCAAATATCTCTACCAGAGACATATTTTTGATGTTAAGAAATCTATACAATGCAGCACACACACACATAAAAAGCATATTCAGGGAATATGGGCAGAAAAAGGAAGGGAAACCTCCCATCAGAATTTTTTCCTATTTTGCTGATAAAACATACAAGATTTTAATTAAAATCAAGTAAAATTTTTTCCCAGGCTTCAGGCACATTAGAGAATCAAGAAAATTTTTAGAACTTTGGTGAAGAATTTTTTTAAAAGCTTAGAAAAATGGCTTTATGAAGTCGACTTGCCCTCTCTGCAACCTGAAAACAGCTCCTTCCCTCTTTGAAGCTTCCATCAGGCTCACAGCCAGGTGTGACACAGACCTCATTCCTCTTGCTGAGATCTGCTCTCTTTGTGTTTGTGCTTCAGGGCATGTTTCAAAACTGATAGATACACTAAGTTCTTGATTCAGCCTGTCTTTAAAAAAACAGACAATTTATAAATGAGCTATCTATCTCAGCCCTGAGAAAAAAAATACTTATTGGATCATTACTGATGGAATGTTCTCATCTTCAGTTTTCTATATAATATATTTTGCCCAGTTCCTAAACCTTGACTCATGAACTGGATTTTATAAAAAAGGAAAAAGAATGAGCAATTAGCTAAAATTGTTTCTTTGATTTATCCAGTCTGTTAAAGAAAGTATTGGAGACCTTTAAAAATCTACTTTTGGAGAAAGGACTTTAAAAGGTGTGATCCAAAATCCATCCTGTATGTATACATTACATAAATTCTAACAGTCCCCTGTTGCTTGAGACTCGAGAGGAAAAAAGGCCATGATATAAAATACTCTACACTTCTGCTTTTGATATACCAGAAAGAAGGTTCCAGGAAAGTATTTAAAGGTTAAAATGCGCATAAATTGAAAATCAAGGAAAATAAAATGAGCTTTGCAAAAAATTCAAATAATATTTTGTTTGAAATGCTTTCTGAAATGGAAAAAAAGATACAGCTTTTTTTTTTTTTTGCTTTAAAAGGAATGAAATGAGATGGAAATACTTTAGACCATTTATGATAAGAAGCAGGTTAAGTCACAGCTAACTACTACCGAGTTTTACTAAATCTCTTGAATTATAGGAAATTAGAATAGCTTTAAAACTCTGGTTGTCTTGCCTGATACGACTGCCATGAGAACTACAGATTTGTTTGCTTCTACAAACTGATAACGTTGTTAATTTATTTTCAAATACATTTTTCTAATATTATCTATTGTAATGAAAATCTAAGTTTTATTTTTACATAGAAACAAGATCTCAAACGGAGCAGGGTTAATTCCATGGAACTTCGAGAATTATTTTTAGAATGGCTTCTACACTGTTATCCAGAGTGTTTTTTATATGAATGTTTAGACAATGTTATTGTTGCAGAGGCTGAATTGTTGCTTTTGAGCAGTGGCTCCGCAGGATTCTGTTGTGAGACGTGTTCCAATCACATAAACGTGCATTATGAGGCAGAATCTTATCACTACAGAATATGTTATTCAAACCTACATATTGTTAAGGAAAACCAAAAACCTTTTTCAAATGTACCAAAGTGTAATGAAGGTGTCATCTGTAAACTCCAACCACTACCTAATATCACTTATCTCTATTAGAAGCTCATTATTATAATTACTTAAAATGTTTAACTGCTTGAAATTTCCAAAACTTTTGAAATGAAGGATGATATTTTGATTCTAGTCATTGGAAACTTTGTCATGGACATTAATTTAGGGAATGCCTCTAAGATTAGTTATGAAGTTTTAAGATTCTAAATAAATTTCTGACCCTAAACAGCACAGACGTTCTTGGCAACAAGTCTAACATGAGATCTATAAAAGAAAAAAAGTAAAAGCAGAAATCATTGTCTAAATTTCATGTATTTTTAATTTTTAATCTCTCTCTTGCTAATATTGAAAAGCTATTAGAGGCAAAAAAAAAATTCCAGTAACAATTTAAAGAAAGTTGTTTTTCTCACTTCAAAACTTTCTTTTGTTAGGCACATTTTCTGCCTTTTAGATATTTATATTTTGGAGCTTCTTTCAATTCATTTGGTTCATGAGGTTTCTTCCTGGATTCTTAACTATCTTAATAAATCTTTACTTGATTAAATTTATTGAAAAAGTTTACAGTGCTTTCTTAACTAAATATATCACAGCTTTGTTACCCAAAGTTTCTGAAACTAAAGTCCAGCTTTGGAGATCATAATTTGAGTGAATAAAGGAAAAGATTTGTAAATTCAACAAAGATGGACTGAGTAACTATTGTGTTCAACATTTTTTGTTTAATGCCGCAAGTGCAAATCAAAAAATAGTCACACAAGAAGCTTATGAGGTATGTAACTGGGGCATTGTATCAGAGAAACAAGTCAGAATAAGCTAACTGCCATCATATAAGGGTTTTTAAATGATTGAAAGGATTAGAAAAGACAAATCTGAAGGAAGTGAAATTTGAACTGGTGGTCTTTAGAAATAAGTAGAATTTTGACATGATGTCTGGGAAGGACAAAGAGGTAGCAGAGATTCCTGGTAGTGGATGAAGCATGAGTAATATCTCAGAAGAGGAAAATGATGGGGCACATGGGTAGTTGAGCCTAACTGGATTATTGGATATTCATTGGGATCACCAGGATATAAAGCTGGAAGGGGAGAAAAAGTCCACCTGGTAGAGGACTTAAATATTCAATTATATGTACTCAAAGATGTAATTGAGTGCATTAAAGAGAGACCTAGTAACTTCAAAAAAATAAAAATAACTGGGCACTTGTGCTTTCAGTGGATTAGAGCAGAAAGGCCTGCAGGCAAAAGGGCAATTGATGAGGATTTGCAGTAAGCATTGTAGTTTAAGTGGGATTGAAAAGCATTGTGGACATACACTCTACAGACTTTTCAATTACGTGAACATGGTCAACAATGGACAAGTCAAAAATGATAGCGTTTTGACTGGGTGAATGAGCAAATAGAGGCATCTTTAAAAGAAGTAGATTAGAAGGAGGAGTCCCCTCTGAGAGACAAAGTGCAGTTTTCTTTGGTCATGTTCAGTTTGTGGTTGCAGTGGAGGCATCCGGGAGACAAGGAGTAGCACTCTCCTTAAACTGTATATCTAGAACTTGGAAAGAGGACATTTGGAGCAGACCCATGGATGAGGGGGTCATTTCTGTAGATAAGATAGCTAAAGGCCATAAAAATAGATGAGAACCTAAGAGCTAGGGCAAGGAGTGAAAAACATGCATACTGAGAGAGTAAACTCTGAGAAATATGTTTAAATGGAGGTGGGGTGAGAAAAAGTGGACCTACATAGCACTCAAAAAAGAAATGGCAGGCCAGGCACAGTGGCTTATGCCTGTAATCCCAGCACTTTGGGAGGCCAATGCAGGAGGATAACTTGAGGTCAGGAGTTTAAGACCAGCCTGGGCAACATAGTGAGACCCCCCTCTACAAAAAATAAAAAGAAATTAGCCAGGTGTGTTGGCATGCACCTGGAGTCTCAGCTATTCAGGAGGCTGAGGTGGGAGGATTGCTTTAGCCCAGGAGTTCAAGGCTGCAGTGAGCTATGATCATGCCAGTGCATTCCAGCCTGTCCCCAATTAAAACAAATAAAAACAAAATACAAAAAGGAAATGCTAAAATCATTTGAAAAAAAAAATCAAATGATCTTCTGTCATAGAGGCCAGGGAAAGATAAACTATAGAGAGAATAAGGTTGAAAAGAACTGGGAAAATCCTTATGGCTTGGAGATTTGGAAGCTGCAGGTACATTAGCAGGAGGAGCTTTACTAGATAAACAGAGAAGACAGAGCATAGGAAAGTAATGGAAAGAGGGAGTGGTGTGGTGCTAGGCGTATTGGAGATCAATACCTTTCAGCTAATTTGATGAAGGAGAAAAAAGACTGAGCTTGAAGGAGCAGCAGAGCTGAAGGGTTGCATGAATCTACTTATTGGATGAAGATACCTGAGCATTTAGAAAGACAATGCATAAGAAAGTCACAGAGTTAGAAGATATAATAGAAAGTATAGTTTAATAACAAAGTTTTTAAACAGTGAGAGACACAGAGTACAGGAAGATGAACTATATATTAGAATACCATTTCTTTTTCAGAGAGAAAGTGAATATAAAGAGGTGTGTGTGTGTGTGTGTGTGTGTGTGTATTTGTAAATTAAATGGATAGTTTTTTTCTGTGTTAGTTGATGGCCCTATGCAAGAGACCTCAATCTCAGTAAAGTAGGGCATAAGGTCCTGCCGATTTTATTGTGATCTGCGTAAGGCTGATGATTTGTGGACAAGGTTTTTAAAAGTGATATAAGAAGCATCAGCCCAGGGCCACACTGAAGATATGTTTTTTCTTGATTTTTATTATTATTATTTTCCACTTCATTAGGGTTACAAGCTTTTGATTATGCCACAGCATATAAATAATAAGTTAATTTTTTAGTGAATCCCATTAGTGAAAACAAAGAGATAAACATTTACTGATAAAGATACTGATTTTTTTTTCCTTTTGCTAATTTTGGTCAGACTTTAAAAATATTTTTTGCTTGAGTTTGCTTTGTGCATATGTTCTTTATGTAATTATTTAATCCTTAGAATGGATGAAGTCACATATTACCAACATTAAAAAAATTAGCCATATAATATATTATGGTTATCCATTTAAATAAATGCTCCATGTATATGTATATCCATATATAACATGTCCTTAGAATCTATCATAATTATTCGTTCATATTATATGTTGTATCTAAATTAATTTGACTTCCCAAATCAGTTAATTGCTATGATCAAAATGCCCATGATAATTTAAATATTGATAATTACCATGATAATTTATCAGGTACTTATAAAGAATGCTATTAGATATGTTATAGTCAAGAGACTTTATTAAACAGGTTTTAAAATTTGGACTTGAAATTACTATACACATACACAATATGTTAATAGGTAATGAGACTATATATATAAGATCTAAAAATAATTTCTTCTTGACCTTTGAGTTACAAATGGTTTGATACTCTTACACTTTCCAAAGACAACATTTACACTTTAAATATTGATTGAACCATAATTTACAAAATCAGCATAAACAATTTTTGTCAATATTTACAAATATCCATTTCTCTTCTACTCCTTAAGTCACAGTAGTCTATATTTTATAGTCTTCCCTGTATCTAAATAGATCAATGTGATTAAGTTTTGGTCCATGTAACATGAGGAAAAGTGACATACTCCTGCATTTCCATGCCCAGACATGAAACATCCTATATAATCTCCCATGCTTTTTCTCTAGTTTGCTGGGTTCTTAAGCAAAGATCATCCTATGCAATTTGCCATGCTTTTTCTCTAGTTGATTGGGTTCTTAAGCAAAGAATCTAAGAAGTTGGAGATAGAAGGATATCAAATCTCTGATACACTGTTTGGAGAAGAGCCACCTACAAGAAACAGTGGATGAAGCTCATTGACTTTGGATTTTGTGCTAACGAGAAATAAACATTTCCCATACTAAACCACTGTAATTTTAGGGTTCTTTATTAGAACAGCTAGCATTGCTTATCCTGATTTAGACAGAATATCTCAGTAAATGAATTCAGTTTGTTACAGAAAAAGAGCTTTTATTTTAGCTTTTCTAAACTGAAGACCGTTAAATAATGTTTATCCCTAAAATAAGCCCAGAAATTATGGGAAAAAATAAAGTTAAACATATAGGGCTTCCTGGAATCTAATAACGTAAATTTTCAAGAAGATGGCCATGGAACACTTTGATATAAAGGCATCTTTATTAATATCTATCGGAACAACATCCTCCAAAAACCAGTTTTCAATAAGAAAATGGTGATAAAGAATTTTACTAGGCAAGTTTATTAAAAGCTTAACTGTTTTTAATGGAGCATAATATTTACTTATACTAAATATACTTTTCTGACACTATCTTGGAAATAAAAATTGTATTGAAAACATTTTTATCATGTTTTTAAATGATATACAATACTAAAATATGAAAAGATTCCTTTGAGTAAGTTGTATACAGTGCAGCCAGATGATAAAATTTAAAACAAACCAATAATACTAAGACCTAAAGAAGCACGTTATAATCCAGAAGTGGAATGAGCTGTCACAGCCGACAATATTCATGCAAAGAACATTCATATCTTCATGTATTCCTCACATTATCCAAGATGTTTTCAGTATTGTTTTAAACAATTTTATTTCTCAGTGATTAAAGAGAAGGTAGATAAAAATAACGTAACCATATTTTCTATTTTTAATTTTGTGATGTTTTTTCCTGAACTTTCCTTTGGACAGCAAGATAATACCATTTCTATACTCAACACTATGTCACTGAATGTGCCCCCTGCCACAGGCTGACACCTGCGTAAGAGAATAAAGAATCATTCAGCCAATTAAAAGAGACAATTCCCTCCATTCCAGTTATAGGCCATGTTCAGTTTTAATGAAAACAGCTAAGAAGTATACAAATTAATTCTGATATCTTCTTATCATAGACTGACTTTTGTCTAGAGGAGAAAAAAGTTTTACTCTGTAAACTTCCTCTAATGGGATAGTTCCTCAGTTGCAGATTCAGGGAAAAATACTATTTCAACTTAAAAATAACACTCTTCCCTCTTCCTTTTAAGATAACATATTTCTTCTCTGTATTTTATAGTCTTTTCCAAGGATTTTCTTTTTCTGTGAAGTTTTTTCAACTCTCATATCTTTGAATTCACAAGTTAAAACTAATTTGTAATTTAAATTGATAAGTCCTGAAAGTAAATACTCGCTAAACTTCGTAGTACTTTTCAGTGAGATAAGAACAGAAACCAATGATAGGGCTGAGGGAGAGAGAAATTGTAAGAATACTAACCACAGGTAGCTAACTTGTACAGATATCACACAATAATAATTTCAACATTAATTTCAACATTTCTTCTAATTTGAAGATTTGTGCATGTTGAATTAATCATGTCGATTTAATTATTAATTCAACGTGCACAAATTGTCAAATTACAAGAATAAATGTTTCAGATATACCAGTAAACACTGCAAAGAACACTGATGCAAAATCTATCTGCAGAACAAGGTCAGTTCAAAGTCTTATTATAATCAATGTTGCTATTTGTAGCTTAGCTCGATTGCAACTTGATGGTGAGATAGCAGTTTCTCATCATTTACACATTACACATCAAAAATTTACACATTTTCTGCATAGCTTGCTTTTTAAAAAGTCATATTGCATTGTAAATACTAAAACCAAAGACAGAAACCAAGGGCATGCTGTTGTCCTTAATCAATCACAGTTACTGTTAACCATTATAAATACCAATATTAATGTCCAATACTTTATTATGCTCCATCACAAACATTTTATTTTAAACCTGAGTAGACATTGTGCTAAAAAGTTAACAAGTGCAAGACAAGTAATAGAGGTAAAATTCTAATTCGAATTAGCAAAGGAATTTATTGACATTCAGTCTAGAAATTAAAACTTAGTTTAAAAAATGGTAGTTTAAAAACTTAGCTTAAAAATTGCATGATTAAGAGAGTTGATGACTTGAACTTCAACACTGATAAAGTTAGAGATTTTTAGAGTTGAAAATAAACTATTAGCACCCATCTCCTAGTTAGTAATTGAATCATTCTGTAATGTCTCCCCAAGTAGTCAGAGAGACTTCATCAATACCTGAAGGTTTCCTCCTGATATGGTTAGGGCTTGTTTCCCCACCCAAATCTCATCTTGAATTGTAATCCCCAGGTATTTATGGAGAGACCTGGGAAGTGATTGGATTATGGGGGTGGGTGCCCCCATGCTGTTATCATCATATTGAGTGAATTCTCATGAGATATGATGGTTTTATAAATGGTAGTTTTTCCTGCACTGACACAAACTTATTTTCTCGCGCATTCTGCCATAATTGTAAGTTTCTAAAGGGCTTCCCAGCCATGTGGAACCATGAGTCAATTAAACCTCTTTTCTTGATAAATTACCCAGTGTTGTGTATGTCTTTAAAGCAGTGCACGAACAGACAAATACACCTCCATAGGGAAAATACATCTATCTATTTCATTGGGGGACAGCTACATTTGTTTAAAAATTTCTTTCTTTTGTTGAATCTAAATTTTGCCCTACTTTTTCAACATTTAATGATTCCCAGTTTGACTTCAGGAAAAACTGAGGAGGAATCTAATCCATCTGGATTAGCATGTCTGAAGACAGAGGTATGGTACACTGAAGTCTTCCATTCTCCAGATTAAATTGTCCCTTTCTTTAAAACAATTTATCTTATAACATGCCTTACTGTCTCAGGAAAACAACCATTCTCTTGTGTATGCTCTCCTGTTTGCAAAGCACTTTTCAAATGGATGATCTAGAATTTGATCCAACACTCCCAGTATAGTTTGACCCAGGCAATGTTTTATTTGGTGCTTCTCTGGTGCTACAGATGGAGCACTGTCTTCCTTGGGAGACACATTAAATAGAGGAATATTGAGCTTCCAATTATGTTAAACTGTACTATTAAGCCATCCATCTTTTTCTAATACTTATGAAGTTGAATTATTGGCTTGAAATGCAAAAATGTTAAATCTGTTAAATTTCATTTTCATTGATCTAGTCAATTGTGCCAGACCACTGATTCTTTTTGTCCATCTCTGACAACTAATAAAAGGGTTAGAAAACTATGGCCTGTGGGCCAAATCCAGTTCACTGCGTGTTCTGTAAACAAAGTTTCATTGTAACACAATCATGCTCATTTGTTTATAAACTGTCTATGGTTGCGTTTCTGCTGTAACAGGGAAGTACTTATGACAAAGACTGTATGGCCCACAAAACTTAAGATATGTACTCTCTTGTCATTTACAGAAAAAGTTGTTTACAACTGAATTGGTATATCAGCTGTCTCTTCCTGTTTCCTGCAGATTTAGTGATAATTCATCTGTCTTCTCACGAAGACTGTGGATTACAAGGTCAGTCCACAAACTGGACATTCATAAATAATAATGAATTCATTAATTTGCATTAATTCATTTCACCTGATGTGATGGCAAATAATTAAACTGTCATCTAGCCCACATTTCCTGCTGTCATGAAGAAATACTTTCCTGAAACTCAGATATGCTTTCTGCTACTCCTAGGCACAACAGTTCAGTAATTTAAAACTGGAAATGGCTTAACTGAAATGACTTCTTAGTGAAGCCATGTTTGCTCTTAGAATTCATCAACTTCCTAAGTGCTTGTCTAGCCTATTTTTTCCCCAAAATATATTTCTCAGAAATAGTACTTGTAGAACTTGAATAAAGAGTTTCAAAGTCAAATAAGTTGATGAAATGCTACATTCTGCATTCGATATATTTTGTTGTGAGTTACAATGCACATTAGCATACTCAAAGGTCTGAGAAATTATACAGTAAATACACTGGTTTTAGATGATTTCAACACATTCTTTCCCCACATTACTTAACCATAGAGCCTCCCTTTCTTATTATTCGGAAACTTTGGTGGAAGAAACTTTAGAAAAATTTGTAAATTCCTATGAGGAAGAATTTTAACACAGCCTCAGATGCTGAAAAACTATTTCTTGTGGGCTTTTAGATATTTGTGGACAATAAGCAGGAATAGTTTGAATTATGAGAATATCTCAGAATTTATAGTTCCATTTTAAGAATGAATGTTGGTTTTGTTCTGTTTTACCTGAAGTTACTAGGCTGGATTTACATTTTTAGTATTGATACAAGAGTGAGTAATATCCTCTGATTTTATAAGAGCAGTTAATTACCATGGAAATAACAGGCATAAACCAAAGGAATAAAACATAGTAACAATATGAAACTTTCCATGAGGGCCAGAGCTATTTCTGACTTATTTGTATATGTGCAATTCATTACCTTGCAAGTAGTAGGTACTCATTACATTGTTGGATGAATTAAGTAAAGGCATGCATTTTTAACTATCATGGTCCTACTAATTTTCCATTCAATATATGTGTTTCTACATTACTGGTATGGTAGAAAAATTTCATTATCTTAAATTGGCTTTTCTATCAAAGTGTATAAATAAAAACCAGAAATCGCCAAATTGAAAAAATAAAACGAGTGTTACTCATTCTTCAAGAAGCAAAAAGTCCCATTTGATACAAACAAAGCAGTTATATTCAGTGTGTCTACACAGCCTTTGGGGGCAGGGCTTGAGGATCAATAACCATCAGGCTGTATGATTTTTTTAGGCTGAAATTTAAAACATACATAAATGTGGAGCATAAAATGAGAAATAAATATGCAACTGTCTTAGATAAGGATCTACAGATTTTTATGAAGAGTTGCTTTGGGGAATATAATTTTAGTAGTTTACTTTTAGTTACATATTTGAGTACAATATTTTAGAAAGTATTTTTAAACATACAGTTTAAGTGGACATTTTAAGTGTCGTGTTCAAATTTTAATGGAAATTTATTTGTTACTTACTTGAATCTGAATTGTTTAGTGAATATATGTGGTTGAAGAATTTTGTTTGTTTTTGTTTTTATTTTAGAAACTATGCTAGAGGCTGTTGTAAGAGGACTGTCCCTTTTGACAGGCCATGACATCTGACACTCCATTGGTCCTTAAGGTGAATTTGACTAAGTGTTTGGTTAAATCAAAATGCTTGTTATAACACAGTCCTGTTATGACAACTCTTTTCTTAAAATAAAAACCCTTATTGGCTTCTAGAAATCACCATTTTTCTAAGAATTATTTAGTAACTCTTATTTTACTTTTTATCCTTATATATTATATTTCCCCCCTCAGCATTGGGCTTTGCCATTTTACTATGGCGAGGATTTTATTTCCACCTTAAATTTTATTTTAAACTCCTTTGACAAATTTCCAACAAATTGGTTAAAGCATGTAATATTATTAGCAGTTTATACGTTGGTTTTGCTCTAGATTACAATCTCCTTCATTTCAGGCCTCATACTTCATCTTTATTTGTATCAGCATTCGTTCATGGTATCTTGCAAATGGTAGTTTTTCAAATGTATTTTTTAATAATTAAGAAATGACACATATACATAAAACCTCTTGAGATGGAACCTAGCATAGGATAGGCACTCAATAAAGATCTGATTGCAGAAAAGATGCAACCTCAGGCTTTTGACATATCACTGATTGCTTCCTCGGGAGCTCTGAGTCTTGGTCGATCATGGGTGTGCTCGCACATGTACGGAACTGTGCTTGGGAGCATGAGCTCTGGAGTGTCTGCATGAGTTTACTTCTTATCTCCTACCATAGGCTGTGTGAGCTTTGGCAAGTCATCAAACCTATCTGACCTGAATATCCTAATCTATAAAATAACTCTCATTGGATTTCTGTCAGGATTAAATGTTTACAAAGCCCACTGCATGCAATAATAATTTGTAAAAAAAATTATTATTATAGTTTGTCATCCAAACTCATATTTTAAATCACATTTATATTCCATGAAAATAGAGCATTCAAATATCATTAATGATTATATTTTGTGGTAGTATTATGACTCCTTAAAATCCTAGTTGCCTGTGAAAAACAGCCTTGTGTTACGGATTCTGCCTCTGAAAGTCCCTAGACCAAGCATTGGGATGCTCTAATGGAAAGAGTTTCTTTTTTTCTTCATCTTTATTTTTTTGAATCATCAGACTTTTTACATTGTTCCTTCTGATCTGCTCCTCAGATCTTATAACAGACGTCCATATTTCTACATCCCAGAATATATACTTATCAATATTTTACTATATACTGTTTTACAAATATTGCTAAAGTCACTTTACCATGGCATCCTTAGTCCCATCATTCCCCCGGATAATGGCTGGATTCCATAACAAATAAATAGCATTGTTTTGACTTTGATTTTTTAAGTTACATGAATGAATTATACTGTCTACATCCTCCTTTTCCTTTCTGTTTTCCTCCTGCATCTTATGTCTTAGCGATTTCCCCATAGGTTCCATAGATATTACTATAATGTTGATACCTACATGAATATGTAGCTATGATCAGTGATGTCAATACCTATATCACTGTCATGCCAGTGTCACAGCCAATATTTTACCATTTAACATGTAATGTTTCACTTCATTAATAAATACCACTTTATATAAAACCTCTTCTTACTGATGGACTATTAGGTTGTTTACAGTTTTATAATTTTGGTAAGAATACTGTAATAACATAATTGCCCCTGGCGTACATGTAAGACAGTTTCTCTAGGTCTAGAGTCTTAAATGCATACCGAGATATAATATCTGGAGCATGTAATATCCCTGTTGTTAATTTTACAAGAGGATTGTCTTATTCTTTATTACCTAGATCACTGTGGTCTAGGTTGCTTTGTTAGATTTCAATATGCCTGAAGCCAAGGCTAAGTTCTCAATCATTTTGTATCTTCTATAGCACGGAACAGGCTCCATTCAGTGGGTTTTCTTTTTTAGCTTCTTTGCTGTTAATGGATAGAATTCAGAGGGTATATGTGTTGCATGGGAAAAATTATATCTGTATTTTTCCTAACCTCTAAATGAAACTGAATGTTTATTACATCATAAATATAAGCTAAAAATACTTCCAAGCTATATTAGTACTACCTGTGATTTTTGCCACTAACAGAAGTCACGGATACTTTTGTATCACATTATTTCTGTTTCAGATGCCTAAAATATTTCTTATATATACCACTACTTCAAAATTATGGTAATTATTAGAGATGCCACTATATTTTATTATTTGATGTCTTAATAAAGTACACATATTAGAACATCACTGTTTAAAAACATATTTTGATAACCGCATTTCAGTATACTTGAATTCCTTTGTAATCCTCTGCATTTTTATGCATTACCCTGATAAGAAGATCATAGGATTCACCAGAGGTTTATGAAACAAGAAAGGTTAAGAACTTCATTAAATGTTAGTTCTTAATCCTTCTCTTTGCTTTTTTTCTTTCCCTGGCAGGCCTTACTTGAA
Organism: Homo sapiens; assembly: GCF_000001405.40. Taxonomy (NCBI): domain Eukaryota; kingdom Metazoa; phylum Chordata; class Mammalia; order Primates; family Hominidae; genus Homo; species Homo sapiens. Next base: position 156,524,249 of record NC_000004.12, on the reverse strand, counting down.
CCTCTTAATGTACTTAGGAATGTCAAGTCTGCAGGGACAATTTGCTAATTGAAAATGAAGTAATGCCACCTTGTTTTTAGCCCGATGCTTAATGATCTGCTTTTGCTTAAGCCCAGATCTCCTTAGGGATCACAGTTCTGTGAGTAGCATAGTCACATCATTCAAAGAGCCACATTATGGCTCTCAAATATAAGTAGAAATAGAAGGAAAACATGAAGGACTTAGAAAGATATATTGTTCAGTTTCCTTAGTAACAGCACACTTGAGAAAACTGTCTCTTATTTTAATGTTTCCCCACTTAATGTCTTTAATTCCTCTTTAGTCTGATTATTTCAGGTAGATATTATCACATTCCTGAATTATTCAATACATTAAGCTATATGTGTGCTTCCAGTTGCAGTGCTTCTTTTTAAAGTCTATATTTCTCCCCCTTTGCCATGGGAGATGTTTGACCTTCTCATACCAGGCCACTATACTTTCTACTGTTAACGCTAAGACAATCAAGATACTGTGTCAGATAATTTAACCAGGAGATGACATCTAGGAAACCGGCTCATCCTTTTAGTACTATCCTATTTAGAACGTTGATGAAGATTAAACTCTGGTTACTCAATAAGACTTAGTCTGCAGCTAGGACCATATGCTTAGTGAGCTTAGAAGCTTGCAGAAAGTAAGTCTTAGTAGGCCTCTCATTCTTGGTGCCACATAGCCATGTGACCTCTCATTCATTTTCTTAGATGTACCTCTTTCTCCAATCTCTCTTTCATTGTGCCTTCCACTGATAAATCTCCCCTTTTCTATTTGTCTGGTTCTTAGAGAAACAGAACAAGTAATAGAAGTTCCATGATCTGCAGCTGTTATGTTAAGAGACTTAGGAGCGCTGATGGTGGAGTTCCAGTCTGAATCTGAGTCCAAAGGCAAGAGTGATGTCCCAGGTCAAAGACAATGAAGCAGGCAGAGAGAGTGAATTATCCCTTACTGAGCCTCTTGTTTTTTGCTATTCCAGCCTTCAATGAATTGGAGAAGGACTACCCACATTAGAAGGACAATCTTCTTTACTCAGTCTACTGATTCAAATGTTAGTCTCATCCAGAAACATCCATACAGGAACATCCAAAATAATGTTTAACCAAATATCTGGGCATCCTGTGGCCCAGGAAACTTGACACATAAAATTAACTGTCACACCATTGATGATTGCTGTAAGCCAGTTTCACTGTTAGCACACATTCCTACATTCTTATGTCTCTAGTTTCTTCAGAGAATACCCAACATCCCCTCTCCTCACTCATTCCTCTTCTATTTTGAAACCTGGGTCTTTTTTAATTTAAAGACCTTTCCGTTGAAGCCCACTGAAATCAAAGCTGTTGAATCTTTCATACAGCACAAGGGAAATATGGGTATCGATCTGACTCTCAATTGAGAATTGCAGATAATTACTTTTCTATCCTTCTTTCTTTGAGGTTCTTGTCATGATATATAACACTTCCATCCCATCACATACCAACTTTACTCTCCCCTATTCATTTAGAATTTTGGCTTCTAGCATGTATTCTTTTCATTGTGTCATAATGCCTCACATGTATATGGCTCATGCTGGTTGCAAATTTACTAAGCTCTTTCTGGCCTAAAATTTTGCTCATAGTCAATCTTAACTTGGAACCAACTCTCTTGAAGTAAATTTTGTTATTAGTTTAGCTGACCCATTTATGAAGTGTTAACCTCTAGCAAATCAATATTTCATTACATTCTTCTGTCAGTCCATAACTCTCTCCTTTATTCTTTTCATGTCTGCCCTTTGTCTTCTATTGCCCTGTACCCATCTTTTTCTACACTAACATTAGTAGGCATCCCTTCATGAATCTCTGATCCAGCTGATAGTCTGGATCATTAATCAATATCTTTCTTACCAACATCTTCAATGCCTTCACCCTCTAGTTTTCTAGAATACTATCTCTAAAAACTCATAAACTTGAATCGTTCTAATTACTTGCAAACTTTGCCATTATATACATGGCTATATATATGTACACATAGGGTGTATATATATAAAATGGTTATATATATGTGTATATATAGAGAGAGAGAGCGAGAGAGAGAGAGATGCTATGTGATAGTTAAAAAATAATATTTCTAATGTGGACTGGTGTCTCTAAACACATGCAATTTTAATGAACTGGAGAATAAAATTCAACCTTTTAGTAAGGATAAAAAGAATCCATGATGTGGCCCTTGGTTAGCTTTTTTCCTAGGCACATTTTCTAGTAAATTTTTCTTTATATTCCTGTCAAAAACTGTGTAGAGTCTGAGATTTTACCCTATTTGCAAGCTAAGTTAGCCTGCCACAGTTTCATGGCTACCGGGAGAAAACATGAGAGCCCCAGGCTAGCGTGTACAGTAAAGAATTTAACCTCCTGCAAACAGAGGTCTGGCTTTGCCCTCAGCTCCTGGGAGGTAATCTCTAAACACTTGGAATGTGCTACCAGATTAAAGTATCTTCATTTACCTGGGGGCATTGGAAGATGCCAGACAGTGTAACAACCTAATTTATAGTGGGGATTTGGGGTCATGTTGTATTATCTAAATTTCCACAGGGCCTGGAAACTGACGTCAACCACATGGGCAGTAAACCATATCAACATGGTGTAACCTCAGTAAAGACTTTGGCACCAAGGCTCAGGTTGGCAATAAGTGCATATCATTACACATCATTACTGGAGGGGTGAATGCTGTCTGTGACTCCAACTGGAAGCCCCATGTTTGAAGCACTCTTGCACTCTGCCCCATGCATGTCTTCTCTTGGCTGATTCTAATCTCTATTTTTATTTTTGCTGTAATACACCATAATATAACTGCTTTCTGTGAGTTCTGAGTCCTTCCAGAAAATGTTCAAAACTGAGTGTCATCTGAGTGACCCCGAAACTTTACACTGGTGTCAGAAATGAGAATGGTCATGTGGACTCTTCCCTGACTTTACATGAGATAAAGAACTTTATTAGAAATCAAGACCCAGTGGGCAGTGTGAGTTTCAAGTATGCACCAGTTCCTTTTGTCCCCCAAGTCCCATGGGGATATTATGGAGGGATCCCAGGTGGAAGCTGCTCACAGAGTGGGCTTGTAGCATAGCTGAGGAACTCTGAAGCCAGGGAACATTAATCTTTTATACTGGATAAGCATGCCTTCCCAGAAGACACTATCTTTATTTTCCAAAGCTATGCACAAAGTAGCCATTTGCTCTGGAAGGAATGACAATCTCTATCTTCTAATGTTATGTGCTATAAAAGGATCCTTGAAAAAGCAGTTTTGAAAAGAATGTGCAATTAATGCTTCTTTTGCGTGATGCACAGAAACAGGAGAAGCCCATGGAGAATTGTCTTCCAACAATTCTATGCTTCAATCACCAAGCTACCTACACTTGTTTCAAAGTACCTTCCAGATCATGTATCTGTGTTGTGTTTACATTCCTTTTTCCTTCCCAAATACACCAATCATTGTGGAGAATATTATTCACATTTTAAGACTCTTTTCAAGGGTATCATACCCAAAGAATTCTTCTTAAATTCCCCTTTACACCTTCCCCCTCTATCACTAACCATCCTGCTCCTCTTTGTTTTCTAAACTACCCTCTTCAAACTTCTAGCACCAGAATAACATCACTCTATTTCTCTTGCTTATTTAAATAATTTTTGTTCTTTACTGAAGCATTTCCCAGCAGCTACTTCTGATTTGTCCTTGTATACCTTCAGTATCATTGTGCCTGCCACATAGGAACTACTGGGAAATTACTTAAAATAAAAAATGATTCCACATGCTGATGATAAGAAATTCTATTTGATTCAAAATGTTTAAAGCTTTTGACCACACACAAGTGAAGTTGGTTTTGACTTTTCCAACAACATTCATGCGATTGTCCGGAAAAATAGAATCAGTAACTCAAGGCTCCAGTTTGTGTTCATTAGGGCCCTCTTTATGAATTCCAAATAATACAACTTTAAAATTTGTTCTCATGACCACTTATTTCCTGGAATCTAGTCATTTCTCACCATCTCCACTTCTACCATCTGAGTTTAAGCCATTATTACGTTTCACCTGCTTTACTTAACAGCGTCCAGCTTGTCATTTTGCTTCTAACTTCCCCTCTAGAGTCTCATTACAGCAACCAAAGTGATCATTTAAAAATGTAAAGCAGATAATATCCCTCTCCTACTCAAAACTTTGCAGTGATTTCCTCTTTCCCCCATAGTAAAAGCCAAATTCTGTACAACGACCTCTTAGGGCTTTTGCACTGGCTGTTTTCTCTGTCTGAAATGCTCTCCTACAAGTTAATCCACATCAACTATAACTAACCTTCTTTGACTCATTGATTAAATGTCACCTGCGTACTGAGTGCCTGCTGGATTAAAAAACACTATCCTAAACACACGATTAGGAATTACAAACTGTGTCCATTCCACAAGCATTCTTGATCTCTTTTAATTTCATCCTTTTTTCTTCAATAACTTACAACTTTCTAACTTATCTGTAATTTATCTTTGTTTATTGTTTATTGCAAGTCTCCTGCAGAATATAAGCTCCATGATGGCAGAAACCCTTGTCTGCTTTTTTCCATTAATGATTGCAATGCATTTAGAACAGTGTTCAGCACATAGTAGGAAGTCTAAGTATTTTTGCGTGAATGAATCAATGAATGATATGGGCAAGTTTATGTCATTGTTGCTGCTCTGCTACTTTATGTTGCTTTCAATTGGAAGAAAGGGCAGTATGAAATGAAGTGAGGAAATGATGGATAAAAATACATTTGGAAGACTAAGTTTTAAGGCACACTCTGAACAATGTGAAACTACAGGCACTCAGCATCCTGACCACTTAATTCCCTTTGAGGACCACTTGATGGAAGTATATGTTAACATGGCATTCACTTTGTGATCATGTGAGAACTTGTCTATATTGTACATAGTTATCAGTTTCTGGAATAGGATAATTGGTGCAAAGAAGGAAATAAATTTTAAGCACATTAAGTATGCCATTATTTTAAAGTTCTGATGTTACCAGTGTTACTATTGCTTAGTTATATAAATATACACAATTTTATATTTATTTCCCTGGAAGCCAGGTTATCTATTTCCCACAATATTCAAATCTGTTATTTTTTTCCCTTGGAAACTACATAATCTGATTCTTATCTTTGCTCTGATAACTGTGGAAGAAATCAGAGCAGAAAACTGTCCCAAGTTAGCAGTAGCAACACATAAAACAGGGTGTGTTTTCTTCAGTAATAGATAATCATGCCTTTGGGTATTACCAAAGCAGGAAGCATGATTCTAAGATCTCGATTTTTGAGGTATGTAGTTTTCTGTTGAAGACACATTGGAAAGATGTAGGTATGTGATAGTGAGGATGACAAATCTTGTCGCACCTTTAGAAATTTAATTTTAATAGGTAACTAATTATGAATAAATCATTGTGCTGGAGTATATACATAATGTTTTATAAGAGTGAGATTCATGATATTTCCTTTGTATGATTGATCCAAATTACTTTTTTCACTTTTTTCTCACTCTTTTTTCAAGCAAAAAAAATCAGATTAAGTTTTAATTATTCTAGGAATTTTTTAAAGATAAAATTCTTCCTTTCTTTTGTAAAATGCGACTGTAATATATTTTATTGTTATTGTTAGTTTTACCAGTGGCAGTTTTTATCTATTTTACATATTACAGGAAGAGCTTATAATTGACTAAATAATCAAATTGTTGATTTTCTTCTGTTTATAGTTTTTCTCTGTGTTCCTAAAGGACAAGATAACAAGTTTAATTGCACTGTGTTGATATATTGAACTAATATCTATCAGGGATAAAGCTGAAAGGCAATATTTTAAGCAACACCTGAATTAAGATCAGATAAAGATAATGTTCAGCAGTGTTAGGATCAAGTTTGTGCATGAACATGTCCTACAAACTACTTGGTATTTGGATCTAATGAATATTTCCTACTTTGAAAGTAAATTGCTAAATATGCTTCCTGGCAATGCCTTCCTGGTGCCAGAACATACCGTGTTTTCTCTTTGAAAGATCATTCATAAAAAGATTGGTACCTTCAAATCAATTTGACTAATCCTTACATGCTGGGTTCCGTTTTTGCACACTGGAGGAAAATAAACATTGAATTTAATACATTCATAAAAACAAGCCTCTTCAAGTTCTCTTTTGTTAAATGCTTTTTTTTGCTTTTCCCTTTCCTTCCTGCTTCCCTCCCTCCCTCCTTCCCTCCCTCCCTCCCTCCTTTCCTTCCTTCCTTCCTTCCTTCCTTCCTTCCTTCCTTCCTTCCTTCCTTCCTTCCTTCCTTCCTTCCTTCCTTCCTTTCTCTTTCTTTCTCTCTTCCATGTTTCTGGATTTAAAAGAATAAAAAAATCTCTCATCTTGCTCTGTCCCTCCTATAATTTCTAAAGGACAGGATCCTATTTACACACAGGTATAAATTCCTGCCCTTCCAACAAAGTAGAATGCTGTGCTTAGTGGTGCTGATTTGTGCTGGAGGCTATACCTCCACGAAATCAAAATAATAAGGGTAATGAGGTAAAGATAATGATAAACCTTTCATCACCTTATTGTGTTATTCATTAGCTGCACAGGTTGGACTACTAATTTAGCAACAGTGAATGGGAGTTCAACAGACTTCCAAAGATTGAAAGAGAATCTCTCAATATATGCCCTGAGAATTCATTTCTAAAGAAAGGATGGGAAGAAAGAATTCATTTCTAAAGAAAAGAGGGACCCTTCTGCTGTCATTCTTGTTATTGTTAAATTCTTGCAGTGGCACAAACACTCAAAATCTTTTAAGTTTCATAACAATTATTTGTAAATAATAATATATTCGATAGAGTGTTGGGTGACTAAATAAAAATTTCAATTTGTTAAGTATAGTATAAATATTCTTATGATTGATATGTACAACCTCAAGTGATCATCATAATATTCTAGTGAAGACAAGTAAGTGATTTGCCCCAGAAAAAAGAATTAGGCAGTGGCAGAAATGGAGCTCTTTCATGGTCATCTGACCAGGAGTCAGGAGATGTCATCTCCTCACTTTAGAGTCTTCCAGAAGAATCTTCACTTCAAAGTAATGATTGCTTCCAAGGCACTGTTGGTCCTTGTATTTTATCATCTACAGTGATACACCCAACATATAGGCATTCATTGTCATATAAGGTGATTCATTTCATTGCAGGGAACCTCTAGTTTTAGAATAATTTTTAAAGTTTAGCTGAGAATACCTTCTTGAAGGAGTCACACTTTTGAGTACAATTTTGCTTATCTAACAAATACTTTCCTAAATTAAATAAATTCCTAAGTAAACACTGCGCTGCACTTTCACCTAATCTCAGTGTGAGCAATCCTTCATAGTTCTCACCATCTTTGCTTTAGACTTGACTTTGCAACCAAGATTTGAATCACTTAATGTCTCTCAACTAGAGTTTCATCTTCTGAGAATTGAGACAGTTGGATTAGATCAATGTTTTTAAATTCAAACTGTACTGCAAAGTAATTATTAATGGTAATAAGTGGGAGAAAGTATGAGGAGATAGTGGAGAAGAAAGGGAACAAAAATCTGGGTGTTGTTGGTAATATTTTAAATTGGCTAGCCTGAGGCCATAGGGAAGATCACCTCTAGTTTTGAAACTTTGAGATTTTTGTACACTCCACCTTGAGCTTGTTTACAATTGTTTTGGTGAATTGTGTGGTATTGATATATTTGTATTGAAAATAAACCTCATTATTTCAATGATAAAAATTATACCTATGAAGTACTCGAAAAGTTAAAAATTAAAAAACAAACAACAACGACAGAAAAAATTAAAGATGACTTTCTTTAGCCTTAGAAGGGTTTATGCTAAAGGTTAGAAAATTGTTTAACATTTGATAATTCCTGCTGGAGAGATGTCCTCAAATTCATTGAGTTTTCTTTATTAAACAATTTTTTTCTTTTATATAATTCACATCTCAGGCCGGATGCAGTGGCTCACATCTGTAATCCCAGCATTTTGGGAGGCCGAGGTGGGTGGATAGCTTGAGCTCAGGAGTTCAAGTCAAGCCTGGACAACATGGCAAAACCCCATCTCTACTAAAAATACAGAAAATAGCCCGGTGAGGTGGTGCATGCATAATCCTAGCTACTTGGGTGGCTGAGGCAGGAGAATTGTTTTAACACCAGGAGGTGGAGGCTACAGTGAGCTGAGATTGTGCCACTGCACTCCAGCGTGGGTGACAGAATGAGACCCTGTCTCAAAAAAACCCCCAAACTAAAATAAAATAAAATTCTTATCTTAGAGGGGCTTTCTTAAGGAAATGAGTGTGGCAAAGTTTCTTATAAATGCTTATTCCTTGTTATTCATTGTAGACTTCAGACAAAAGGAAATATTTAGCTCAACTATCCACTCTCAAACTTTTCCTAAGTAGGACTGATCATAGTCTTTTTTGTGTGCCCAGTATATTCAGTACCCGCTTCTTTTATATTACATGTATGTTTGTATTGAGATATTTTTTGTCTTTTCCAATAGACAACTTCTAAGAACAACGACCTGTTGTTTTGTGTATCTTCATTCCTGCCTTACTAGCAATACTACCTACATGTTTCTCTTCCCTCAAACCATAGAAAGAAGATGTCTTGAAAGACTGGCAACACATTTTTTGATATACTGTATAGATTTTGATTATGTCATTAGGGAATGACATAATCAAATGTAAAAAGGGAAGTGCATCAGAGACTCTAAAAGCTGTAGGATATGACTCATCAAAGGAAATTTAAAATGAATAATCCCGTCATATGAAGAAAACAAAACAGCAAAACTTTTAAACCCTAAAGCTTAAAGGACAGATAAAATGAACAGAGCAATCTCAATGGTGCTTGAATGGGGGGATGTGGAATGGAATAAAATGAATTGAATTGCGGAAAATGTCTAATTAGACTAATTGTAGTCAATATTTATTTTCAGTTTTGTAATTATTTATTTATGCTGTCCTGCTTCTGAACTCCCTGACTATGTCTGGGGAATACCTCCCTGCATTCACGTTGGTGGAACAGGTCTGGTCTCTGTATACACAAGCAGAAAATCCCAGATATCGAGTCCTCCCCTCTTGCAGCCAGGTTTTGGGCATTTGACCTATTCTTGGCTCATTACCTATTCCCACCTAGACATTTGCATCTAGAGGAAATGAACCAAGAGACAGTGCAGAGGCAATAGCATCACCTTTCAGTTTCCAAAGGCAGGAGTGGAATAAAGGAAGCAAATGCACCCATGTCATATGGCAACAGTGGCATGTATGCCAACTGTGGTGTCTGGGATGCAGTGGACACAGCAATCTGTCTGGGTGAGCAAAGTCCTCACGCTGATATTCACATGGGCATGTTTTGGCTATAAGAATTTCCACTTATTTTTTGAAGTTTTTTTTTACAGTCTTCCTAGTAACTTAATAAGCTACCCAATTTCCTTTCAAAATATATATTTTTTTCAATTACAGTCTGTTTTTCTTGAATGCAAGTAAGAACCCTAAGTGTCATTATCAAAGAAATTCTAGGTAAATCTAGATATGATTTTCTTGCTCTTAAAATAGCAGCATTCATGTATGTTAATATATACTTTATGTATGTGTGTATGAATGCTATACACAGACATGCACATATATATATTCAGTTATATGTGTACATATATATGTGTGTGTGTGTATATATATATACTAGTACTAATAAGATTGTGTCAAGCCTCCTCTATGAACAATCTGTGTTTGGCATTGCAAATTGATGTGTAAATAAAAAATGGTAGATTTCTAACAATTATGACTCTCCAAAATATTTTTTCTCAATTAAAATAATTTAAATTTCTCCATTTAAAGACATAATATTTCAAGACAAATAAAATTCAAGTGCAGAATCATAAGCTAGAATGTAATGTCTTATTTATTAGTGAAGATTTCATTGGCTGTACCCTGGGACACTGGTAGGACTGGAGATATAAAGATAAATAACAAGTGGCTCCTGGCAGAATAAGATTTTTATTTACTATAATATTGAAAAGCAATAGGTAATATGTATTGGGTCATTATAATATTCATATTCTTGATCCAGTAATTCCATTATTGGGAATTTGTTCTATAGAAATAACAGGAAACATTATGTGAAAATATTCATCGTAGCACTACGCATGATTGTAGAAAGATTAAAAGAAAATTCAGTGTTTAATTATAGGCAGTCTAATCATTAGTACTACTAAAAACATATATGTTCTTCTTCCTTTCCAGGCTTGTGGTAAAATTGCATTTCCTTGCTCCTTTGAAGTTAGGTGGCCAAGCAAATGTGGGTGACAGTTCTGTGCTTCACTTGCAGGCAGAGCTTCGAAGCTGTGTGTCAGTCTCCTCTCCGCTCAACCTTTCTCAGCCTGGATCTCCAAATGACAAGCTCTGAAACAGAGGCCCCAAAAACCCATAATCGGCATTCAGAGTGAGTGAGAAGCGAACCTTTCTGGTTATAAACTGCTAACATCATGGAGTTAACTGATAGCACAGAATAGTCTATTTTAAGTGAATACATAGATTCAATAATGGCTTTTAATGATATAAGTAAAAAAAGCAAAACTTCAGCAAATTATATGTACTTATGAACAAAGATGTAATAATTGGATAAAATGAAAGTTTGGATACAGCAGATGGGAATACGAATTACATATTTATCTCTTAAACTTTTACAGTAAGTTTGTAAGCTATCCCCTGTCCTTTCAAGATGTTTCAAATATAAATTTAAAGTTATTTAAATTGGTCAAATAATATTACAGTTGCATAATTAATTAAATATAAAATTTTACATATCTTTTAAAAACGCATATCATAATTTTAATTCACACCTTGTTATCTTCCTTACCCCAATCTAGTCAGATATCCACTACATTTTCAAAAAAACAAGTTTAGTTTGTGATTCAAATTGGTACTTCAGAAGGATTTCACTCAGAAGACAAAAAAGGATGCAGATTTTATTCATAGCAGCAAAATTTACGGAATTCTTAATTTAGACATGCGTGTTTAGCATCAATCAATGGCTTCACAGAGAGGCCTTATATAATACGGATCATTGCCATGCATTTGTTATTCTATTAAAAAACACAGGATATTGGAATTTGAATAATTAAGTTGTATGTCTAATATCAACTTCTGAAAAATGAAGGCAGGTCCTCTCTGCTGATGAACAAACTAAAATTCTGTATTTTCTTGTTTTGAGCATGAATAAGAGTTAGTATAATAATATGTGAGTTATTGAGAATTAACAATTTTTAATGTGTAAACCAAAGTTAATTTGTTTGTAGAGTTTACCAAAAACTCAACTCAGTGTACTGTACTTGGAAGTCCTGCTGACATATGATACTTGGCAGTGTTACAGAGTGGCTCTCATGCTTGTGCGGACACAGGCAGTCAGCACTTTTGTTTTGCACAGAACAAACTTCACATGGTACATCCTAAAACCTGCTTCATGTAGGTCGTTGCTTTCATTTTATTTTTCCTTCCAGTATAAATCACTATTAGTTTAGTTTTATCATTATCAGTCTAGATTTTTGTGAACTTTTTGTTTAACTCATACTTTGATGCTTATTTGTAATAATAGAAATTTTAGACTTTCAGACTCTGGCACATAAATGCACAAATGAATGATTCCACCTTCAAATTTTCTTGAACAATGGCACTAGATTGTCACTGACATTTTTAAACTAAAATAGGCAGAAAAGTGGAGATGAGGGCAAAGGTAAAATAAAAAGTTTAATGTTTGATAATGAAGCTATTTTACACTTTGGAACTCTTTATTATACTTATTTAATCATCATTTGAGTTCTTGATATATAGTAAAAGAGAAACTTAGACCTTGTGATTAGCTGATATTTGGCGATATATTAAAAATAAAACAACAAAGCAATTATTCCTTGTTAGATTCCAGTCTGACACAAATCAAGCAGCTGATTAGCACAATTTTCCATTTGGCCACACTCTAGGTAGTCCTGTGAATGGCTGTGCACAAGAAAGATAGCATTTGCTCTTCTTACCTCTCCCAGGTGCACCTCTACAGAGTTCTGGGACTCTCCAATTGGAGTCAGATTTCTGTCACCTCTATTCATCATACAAGTCCAAATGCAATAAGTGCCTACCCCCTAGACATATTTCTTTTTTCTTTCTTTGTTTTTTCCTTTTATTTTCTTTTTGTTCTTTTTTTTTTAAATTTAACTTTAAATTCCAGGATACGTGTGCAGAACATGCAGGTTTGTTACATAGTTATATGTGTACCATGGTGGTTTGCTGTACCTATTGAGCCGTTCTCTAAGTTCCCTCCCCTTGCCCGCCACACCCCAAACAGGTCTTGGTGTGTGTTGTTCCCCTGCCTGTGTCCATGTGTTCTTATAGTTCAACTCCCATTTATGAGTGAGAACATGTGGTATTTGGTTTTCTGTTCCTGTGTTAAGTTTGCTGAGGAGGACGGCTTCCAGCTTCATCCATATCCCTGCAAAGGACATGATCTCATTCCTTTTTATGGCTGCATAGTACTCCATGGTCTATATATACTACATTTTCTTTATCCGGTCTGTCATTGATGGGCAGTTGGGTTGGTTCTATGACTTTGCTATTGTAAATGGTGCTGCAATAAACATACGTGTGCATGTGTCTTTATATTATTATGATTTACATGCCTTTGGGTATATACCCAGTAATGGAATTTCTGGGTCAAATGGTATTTCTGGTTTTAGATCCTTGAGGAATCACCATATTGCTTCCACTATGGTTGAGCTAATTTGTATTCCCACTAACAGTGTAAAAGTGTTCCTATTTCTCTGCCAGCATCTATTGTTTCTTCACTTTTTAATAATTGCCATTCTGACTGGCATGAGATGGTATCTCATTGTGGTTTTGATTTGTATTTATCAAATGATCAGTGATGTTGAGTGTTTTTCATATGTTTCTTGGCTGCGGAAATGTCTTCTTTTGAGAAGTGTCTCTTCCTATCCTTCGCCTGCTTTTTAACGGGCTTGGCTTTTTTTCTTATAAATTTGTTTAAGTTCCTTGTGAATTCTGGATATTAGACTTTGTCCAATGGATAGATTGAAAAAATTTTCTCCTGTAGGCTGCCTGTTCACTCTGATGATAGCTTATTTTGCTATGCAGAAGCTCTTTGGTTTAATTAGATCCCATTTGTCAATTTTTGCTTTTGTTGCAATTGCTTTTGGTGTTTTCCTCATGAAGTCTTTGCCCATGCCTATGTCTTGAATGTAATTGCCTAGGTTTTCTTCTGGGGTTTTATGGTTTTGGGTTTTACATTTAAGTCTTTAATCCACCTCGAGTTAATTTTTGTATAAGGTGTAAGGAAGGGGTCAAGTTTCAGTTTTCTCCATATGGCTAGCCAGTTTTCCCAGCACCATTTATGGAATAGGAGTCCTTTCTCCATTGCTTGTTTTTGTCAGGTTTGTCAAAGATCAGATGGTTGTAGATGTGTGGTGTTATTTCTGAGGTCCCTGTTCTGTTCCATTGATCTGTATGTCTGTTCTGGTAACAGTACCATGCTGTTTGGGTTATTGTATGCTTGTAGCATAGGTTGAAGTCAGGTAGCATGATGCCTCCAGCTTTGTTCCTTTTGCTTAGGATTTTCTTGGTTATACAGGGTCTTTGATTCCATTTGAAATTTAAGGTAGTTTTTTCTAATTCCATGAAGAATGTCAATAGTAGTTTGATGGGAATAGCATTGAATCTATAAATTACTTTGAGCAGTATGGCCATTTTCACGATGTTGATTCTTCCTATCCATAAGGATGGAATGTTTTTCCATTTGTTTGTGTCCTCTCTTATTTTCTTGAGCAATGATTTGTAGTTCTCCTTGAAGAGGTACTTCATATCCCTTGTTAGCTGTATTCCTAGGTATTTTATTCTCTTTGTAGCAATTGTGAATGGGAGTTCATTCATGATTTAGCTCTCTGCTTGTCTATTATTGGTGTTAAGAAATGCTTGTGACTTTTGCACATTGATTTTGTATCCTGAGACTTTGCTGAAGTTGCTTATCAGTTTAAGGAGTTTTGGGGCTAGAATGATGGGGTTTTCTAAATATAAAATTATGTCATCTGCAAGCAGAGATAATTTGACTTCCTCTTTTCCTATCTGAACACCCTTTCTTTCTTTCTCTTCCCTGATTGCCCTGGCCAGAACTTCCAATACTATGTTGAATAGGAGTGGTGAGAGACAGCATCCTTGTCTTATACCGGTTTTCAAAGGGAATGCTTCCAGCTTTTGCCCATTCAGTCTGATATTGGCTGTGAGTTTGTCATAAATGGCCCTTACTATTTTGAGGTATGTTCCATCAATATCTAGTTTATTGAGAGTGTTTGTTTGTTTGTTTTTTGAAACAGAGTATTGCTCTTGTTGCACAGGTTGGAGTGCAATGGCAGGATCTCAGCTCACTGCAACCTCCACCTCCCAGGTTCAAGCGATTCTCCAGCCTCAGCCTCCCGAGTAGCTGGGATTACAGGCATGTGCCACCACACGGGACTAATTTTCGTATTTTTAGTAGAGACAGGGTTTTGCCTTGTTGGCCAGGCTGGTCTTGAACTCCTGACCTCAGGGGGTCCACACGCCTTTGCCTCACAAAGTGCTGGGATTACAGGCCTGAGCCACCGCACCTGGCCTGAGAGTTTTTAACATGAAGGGATGTTGAATTTTATCAAAGGCCTTTTCTGCATCTACTGAGATATTCATATGGTTTTTATCTTTGGTTCTGTTTACGTGATGGATTACATTTATTGATCTGCATATGTTGAAACAGCCTTGTATCCCAGGGTTGAAGCCAACTTGATTGTGGTGGCTTCAGTTTTTTGATGTACTGCTGGATTCAGTTTGCCAGTATATTATTGAGGATTGTTGCACTGATACTCATCAGGGATATTGGCCTGAAGTTTTCTTTCTTTTGTTGTGTTTCTTCCCAGTTTTGGTATCAGGATGATGCTGCCTTCATTAAATGAGTTAGGGAGGAGACCCTTCTTTCAATTGTTTGGAATAGTTTCAGAAGGAATGGTACCAGCCCCTCTTTGAACCTCTGGTAGAATTTGCCTGTGAATCAATCTGGTCCTGGTTTTTTTGTTGTTGTTTGGTAGGCTATTAATTACTGCCTCAATTTCAGAACTTGTTATTGCTCTATTCAGGGATTTGACTTTTTCCTGGTTTAGTCTTGGGAGGGTGTATGTGTCCAGGAATTTATCCATCTCTTCTAGATTTTCTAGTTGATTTGCATAGAGGTGTTTATAGTATTCTCTGATGGTAGTTTGTATTGCTGTGTGGACAGTGGTGATATCCCCTTTATTGTTTTTATTATGTCTGTTTCATTCTTCTCTCTTATTTATTAATATAGCTAGTGTTCCATCTATTTTGTTAATTTTTTCAAAAAAACAGCTCCTGGATTCATTGAATTTTTGGAAGGTGCTCATGTCTCTATCTCCTTTAATTCTGCTCTGATCGTATTTATTTCTTGTCTTCTGCTAGCTTTTGGATTTGTTTGCTCCTATTTCTCTAGCTCTTTTAATTGTGATGTTAGGGTGTCAATTTGAGATCTTTCTAGCTTTCTGATGTGGGCATTTTAGTGCTATAAGTTTCCCTCTTAACACTGCTTTAGCTGTGTCCCAGAGATTCTGGTACATTGTCTCTTTGTTCTCATTGGTTTCAAAGAACTTCTTGATTTTTGCCTTAATTTCATTATTTACCCAGGAGTCATTCAGGAGCAGTTTGATCAATTTCCATGTAATCATGTGGTTTTGAGTGAGTTGCTTAATCCTGAGATCTAATTTGATTGCACTGTGGTCTGAAAGACTTCGTTATTATTTCAGTTCTTTTGCATTTGCTGAGTAGTGTTTTACTTTCAATTATGTGGTCGATTTTAGAATAAGTGCCATATGGCACTTAGAAGAATGTATATTCTGTTGATTTGGGGTGGAGAGTTCTGTAGATGTCTATCAGGTCCACTTGATCCAGAGCTCATTCAAGTCCTGAATATCCTTGTTAATTTTCTGTCTCATTGATCTAATATTGACAGTGGGGTGTTAAAGTCTCCCACTATTATTGTGTGGGAGTCTAAGTCTCTTTGTAGGTCTCTAAGAACTTCTTTTATAAATCTGGGTGCTTCTGCATTGGGTGCATATATATTTAGAATAGTTAGCTCTTCTTGTTGAATTGTTCCCTTTACCATTATGTAATGCCCTTCTATGACTTTTTTTATCTTTGTTGGTTTAAAGAAGTCTATTTTGCCAGAGATGATGATTGCAACCCCTGCATTTTTTTTTTTTTTTGCTTTCCATTTGCATGGTAAATTTTCCTCCGTTTCTTTATTTTGAGCCTATGTGTGTCTTTGCACGTGAGATGGGCCTCCTGAATACAGCACAAGTATGGTTCTTGATTCTTTATCCAATTTGCCAGTCTGTGCCTTTTATTTGGGGCATTTAGCTCATTTACATTTAAGGTTAGTATTGTTATGTGTGAATTTGATCCTGTCATCATGATGCTATCTGGTTATTTTGCACACTAGTTGATGCAGTTTCTTCATAGTATCATTGATCTTTATATTTTGGTGTGTTTTTGCAGTGCCTGGTACCAGATTTTTCTTTCCCTATTTAGTGCTTCTTTCAGGAGCTTTTGCAAGGCAGCCCTGGTGGTAACAAAATCCCTCAGCATTTGCTTGTCTGGAAAGGATTTTATTTCCCCTTCGCTTATGAAGCTTAGTTTGGCTGGATATCAAATTCTGGGTTGAAAATGCTTTCCTTTAAGAATGTTGAATATTGGCCCCCAATCTCTTCTGACTTGTAGTTTCTTCGGAGAGGGCCACTGTTAGTCTAATGGGCTTCCCTTCGTAGGTGACCTGGCTTTTCTCTCTGGCTGCCTTTAACACTTTTTCCTGCATCTGATAATTATGTATCTTGGGATTGATCTTCTCATGGAGCATCTTAGTGGTGCTCTCTATATTTCCTGAATTTGCATGTTGGCCTGTCTTGCTAGGTTGGGGAAGTTCTCCTGGATAATATCCTGAAGTGTGTTTTCCAGCTTGTTTCCATTCTCCCCATCTCCTTCAGGTACTCCAATCAATCATAGGTTTGGTCTTTTTACGAGGTCCCATATTTCTTGGAGGCTTCGTTCATTCCTTTTCATCATTTTCTATCTAATCTTTTCAGCATGCCTGATTTCAGTAAGGTGGTCTTCAAACTCTGATATCCTTTCTTCCACTTGGCCAATTCGGCTATTTATTATTGTGTATACCTCACAAAGTTCTTGTGCTGTGTTTTCCAGCTCTGTTGGGTCATTATGTTCCTCTCTAAACTGGTGATTCTAGTTAGCAGCTCCTGTAACTTTTTGTTAAGGTTCTTAGCTTGTTTGTATTGGGTTAGCTAGCTAGTGTACTTTTTTATTACCCATCTGCTGAAGCCTACTTCTGTCAATTCATCCATCTCATCCTCTGACCAGTGTTGTGCCCTTGCTGGAAAGATGTTGCGATTATCTGCAAGAGAAGAGGCACTCTGGCCTTTTGGGTTTTCAGCACTTTTTTTTTGTTGTTGATTCTGTGCCATCTTCATGAGTTTGTCTAGTTTCAATCTTTGAGGCTGCTCACCCTTGAATGGGGTTTTTGTGGGGACTTTTTTGTTGTTGTTGATGCTGTTGTTGTTACTTTCTGTTTGTTTGTTTTTCTTTCAATGGTCAGGTCCCTCTTCTGTAGGGCTGCTGTGGTTTGTTGGGGGTTCACTTCAGGCCCAATTCATCTGGTTTGCTACTGTGCCTGGAGATGTCATTCAAGGAGGCAGGAGAACAGCAAAGATGGATATCTGCTCCTTCTGGGATCTCTGACCTCAAGGGGCTCCAATCTGAAGCCAGTAGGATTGCTCCTGTACAGGGTGTCTGACAACCCGTTGGAGGATCTCACCCAGTTGGGTGGCACAGGGATCAGGACCCATTTAAGAATACACTTTGATTGTCCCTGGTAGAGGGGGTATGCTTCCCTCAGGGAAAACCCACTTGTCTGGGCTGCCTGGATTCCTAAGAACTACCAGGAGGAAAGGCTAAGTCTACTGGTCTGCAGATACTGTGACCACCCCTCTCCCTAGGGGCTCAGACCCAGGGAGATCTGGGTTCTGTCCCCGAGCCTCTGGCTGGAGTTATTGGAGTTCCTGCAGGGAATCCCCACTCAGTGAGGAAGGAAGAGTCAGGGTCAGGCCTGATGTGGCACTCTGGCCACAGTCTGCCACAGCCAGTGTGGTGGGCTGTGGGGCACATCTCTTGGGACCAAGCTGTCTAGTCTTCCTGGCTCCAGCCAGGGAGAAAAAAGTGACCAGGAGCTGTGGAGATGGAGACCACCCTTCCCCCGCCCAGGGAGCTTAGCATGTTAGGCGGCTGTGAGTCCCAGTGCTGGCTGCTGCCCCTCCCCCAAGGAGCTCAAACTGCTTACAGAGCACGCAGTTACAGCTGTGGTGCTGGTTGCCCCTCCCTGCAGGAGCTTGGTAGGCTTAAGCAGATTCCAGCTGAGAGGCTGTTGAGAATCTGTGTGGCTCTGGTGTTGGGATGCCAGGCCCTGGTGGCATGAGTTCGCAAGTGGGATCTTCTAATCCATGGGTTGCACAGTTCCGTTAAAAAAGCACTGTTTCCCCATCTGGGACCTCCCTTGGCTGGGGGGGGGTGGGGGCTTTCCTGCCCCGTGTGGCTCTCGGGTGGGCCGCCACACCACACTGCTCTTCCTTCCTCTCCGTGCATCATATCAGCCTCCTAGTCAGATCTGATAAGACAACCTGATGCCTATGTTGCGGGTGAATGAGTCACATGCTTATTATGGTTCTTTTCAATGGGCGCCTTCAAACTCCGCTGTTTCTAGTCAGCCCTCTTGCCCCACCCCCCACCCCAGACATATTTCTTAAGGAAATAAACACCAGGATGTCAGATACTTACTTTCATCACGTTATTAAGGTGTTTTTATGTCCTAACACAAAAGCAAGAGTTAAATGCCATATGAACTTTGTCTTTGATTTATGCTTTTCTTAGCAAATACTGAAACTAAGCAAAAAAAAAATTAGCACATTTGCATTTGTTTTGTACTTGGAAACTGAACATTTATATCAACATGCATATACTTTATAACCTTATTGCAGTGTTTTAGAAATGCTCACATGAATATGAGTAACTATAGCCTTGTAGTACAGTTTGCAATCAGGTAATGTGATGCCTCCAGATGTGTTCTTTTTACTTAGTCTTGCTTTGGCTATGCAGGCTCTTTTTTGGTTCTATATGAATTTTCGTATTGTTTTTTCTAGTTCTGTGAAGAATGATGATGGGATTTTGATGGGAATTGCATTGAATTTGTAGATTGCTTTGGCAGTATGGTCACTTTCACAATATTTATTCTACCCATCCATAAGCATGGGATGTGTTTCCATTTGGTTGTGTTGTCTATGATTTCTTTTAGCAGTGTTTTGTAGTTTTCCTTGTAGAGATCTTTCACCATCTGGGTTAGGTATATTCTTAAGTATTTTGTTTTATTCTTTTAGAGTTGTTATAAAAGGGATTGAGTTCTTGCTTTGATCCTCAGCTTAGTTGTTATTAGTGTATAGCAGTGCTACTGATTTGTGTACATTGGTTATGTATCCCGAAACTTCACTGAATTCCTTTATCAGATCGAGGAGGTTTTTGGATGAATCATTAGGGTTTTCTAGGTATAGGATTATACCATTGGTGAACAGCAATAGTTTGACTTCCTCTTTACTGACTTAAATGCCCTTTATTTTTTTCTCTTGTCTGATTGCTCTGGCTAGGACTCCACAACCATGTTGAATAGAAGTGAGGAAAGTGGGCATCCTTGTCTTGTTCCAGTTTTCAGGGAGAATGCTTTCAACTTTTCCTGACTCAGTATAATTTTGGCTCTCTTGCTGGTTGGCTTTCACATGGGCACTTGGAGATTCCCCCATCATGGAGGATCTCTGAAAATTTCTGGACACAAGTAAAAGCCTCTCCTTCACCTGGGCCTTGTGTTCCCTCTCATCCTGTGGGCTCAGTTGTGTACCTTTCTGGTGCAGTCTGCTTGCTCTCCAGGGCTCTGTGGCTCTCTGTGAGATTGCAGTCGACTTCCCAGCTCTGGCCCCTATTCCACTGGTTTTATCACTTTAATCAGCTGTTTTACCGTTTGGCTTCCTGAAAGTTTGGTAAGACAGCTCTCCACTATGTTCCCCAAATTCCAGAAGACACATGTTAAATTATCTGAGTGAAGCCACTGAAGTTCTCCCAGTGAATCCTCTGCCCTTCTCACTCCCAGTGGGACAGTGGGTAGGGGAGAGGACCTAAGAGCAATTCTCTGTGTAAATATCTTTTCTTCAATTTCCTGGCTGAATCCTCAGTCTTTGCTGTATAACTTGAAGACACATGTCAGACAAAGTTCACAAAACTGTTCTGACATCTCTATTTCAGTCCTCATACGTGGTCTAGCACCTCCTTTGTAATGTTGCAATGATTAGCACCTGTTTTCTTGGTTCTTCAGTTGAAAAATAAACAAAAAAACCCATTTAAATATTATAAGGCAAAACTAAAACTGACTATGGTCAAGGTATAGTCTAAGATTTATAGGACTAATGGCACCTTATTATTGTATATGCAATATGATATTAAAATAGACATGTAATATGATATCATTATGATATGATATTGAAATATGTTATTAATGAAAAATCCATTACAGGAAATTTATGAATGTCAATTTAGCCATTCTGTGATGGAGCAATTTTACTTGTTACTCTTCACAGAACATTAACTGAAAGAATGTCTATTGATCATCTCTCAGGTGACAAGCACTTTGCCAGTCACTGGCGACACTGAGGTGCATACACACAGGAAATTCCCCCTGCCACATGGTGCTGTTGACTGAGGAGACATGATAGTTAAATAATCACAGACTAATGTAAACTTGTAAATGTGACAGATTACAAAGAGTTGGCACACAGGGCTACAAATAGAATTTAGACTTAGTCAGGAAATCTGGCTCGAGGTAAGAACGGAAGGAAAAGTAAAAGTTACCTGAGGAAAAAAAAAGTGATGGGAAGATTTTCTAGGAAGAGAAATTAGTATGCACAACATCCTCATGAAGCGCAGAAGCCTAGAAAGTGTGAGATTCTGCAAGAAAACCAGTAGTAGCTGGGCTCAGGAAAATGACAAGAACATTGTATCAGTTGAGGTTGGAGAAGTAAATTTAGTTCATATATTACAGAGCTGTGTTGACTCTGTCAAGGAGATTTGTCTTTATGAGTCAAGATACATGTCAGACAAAGTTCACAAAACTGTTCTGACATCTTTATTTCAGTCCTCATAATTGGTCTAGACTGGAAACATTGAATGGACCATTTTGGTAGGTGGAATGGCCCCCTAGAAATGTCCATGTTCTAACCCCTGGCACCTATGTATATGCTATGTTAGATGGCAGAAGAGACTTTGCAGATATAGTTAAGGTTATGGGCCTTAAAATAGAGATATTATCTTGGATTATATCGGTACATTCAATCTAATCACAAGAGCTTTAAGTGCATAACTTTCCTTGACTGGAGGCAGACAGATACAGCAGAAGGGAAAGTCAGAGGTTCCACCAGGGAGTAGGGATTGACACTTGGTTCTGAGATGTAGGAGTCCACATGAAGGAATGTACTGAGACTTCAAGGAGCTAAAGGTGGCCCTTGGGGGAGAGTCAGCAAGGAAACAGAGACCTCAGTCCTTCAATCAGAGAAACTAACTTAGTTCAACAACCTGAGTGAGACTGGAAACAGGTTCTTCCCCAAAGCCATGTCTACACCTTGATTTTGATTGTGTGGACCTAGAATAGAGGAGCAAGCTGAACCTTCCTTTGGCCACACTTTTAACCCAGAGAAACTATGAATTAATAGAAGAGCATTGTTTGAAGCTTCCATCTTTGTGGTAATGTGTTTGGGAGCAACAGAAAAGGAATACAAACATGAATGATTCAAAATGGGTGGCATAATGAGTGGATGCAGAGAATCATAGTAGACCTGCTGGGAAGCTAACATTTTTAAAAGTATGGATGAGTCATGGTGGTGACTTGTCCTAGAGTGCTGGTGAGGTGATAACAAGTGAAATTATTTCCAAAATAATTGGAAATTAAATCTATAGAACATGGTAAGGAATTGATCATGAGTGGAGAGGAAGAGGGAGTTTCAAGGCTATACAAAAGGTATTAGCTTGTATAATAGAGTTGTTGGTGTTGCTATTCACTCAGGGAATACTAGAGGAATAGCAAGATTTTCGGGTGGGAGGAAGGGAGGAGGGAATCCTAGTCTAGTTTTGGATATGTAATGTTTGAGGTATCTTTAAGAGAAACAGTAGGAGACTTCATGTAGGCAGTTAACATATATTGATCTGGAATTCAGAAGAGAGGTATGTGATCTATATTTAAATTTGTGAGATCTCTTCTTGTCACTTAAGGGGAGAATATAGAATGATAAGAAGAAAGAGGTTCTTAACTTGAATATTGTGGGAGAATAAGATTCAAAACAGTTACACAGTAACTGGAGGGCTTGGAGGAAAATTAGGTTAGTATGGTTTCATGGAAGTTAAGGAAAGCAGATGCATCAAGAAAAAGGAAGTGAATGACACTGTCGAACATTGTTGAAATGGAGGATAATAACTTCTGAAATATTGATTAACATGCAGATCTTCTCAAGAACTGGTTTGGTATAGTAATGAGGATAAATACCAGACTAAACAGTTTGAAAATAGTGGAAAGTGAAAAAACAAAGACATAAACTGTCATGAAACCTAACTAAAATCAGAGGACAAAGGTCTTCTTTCATTGAGACAACATGTATTATCACTGCCTAGGTGCGCTATGTTTGGGTTAAGTAGAGTAAGACTATGTGCCCCTTTTCGTCATGCCCTCCTTTCTCATGTTTGAAAATCTGATCATTTTTCCCAGTCCCTAAATTTTCACATCTTCAGACTTAAAATTTCTAATGCCAATACCTACTTAGCTTTCTTTTCTTTGCTTTGCTTTTTTTTTTTTTTTTTTTTTTTTTTACAGAGTCTTACTCTTGTCGCCCAGGCTGGAGTGCAATCGTGCAATCTCAGTTCACTGCAACCTCCACCTCCTGGGTTCAAGCAATTCTCCTGCCTCAGCCTTCTGAGTAGCTGGGATTACAGATGCACACCACCATGCCTGGCTAATTTTTGTACTTTTAGTAGAAATGGGGTTTCACCATGTTTGCCAGGCTGGTCTTGAACTCCTGGCTTCGTGATCTGCTTGCCTCAGCCTCCCAAAGTGCTGGGATTACAGGCATGGGCCACAGTGACCAGCCTTAGCTTTCTTTTATTAATATGTTGGTTATTTACTCAATGGACTCTCTCCAGATTGTCCTTCAAATTGTAGACCCCTAACCAGGAGTCAGTACTCCATTTGCAGTATGCTAGTTGTAGAATACAGCAGGGTGCTCATTTCTTTTGTTCTGAATGTGCTGTGTGTAGGTCATACTTACAGTAACATTTTTGGCTATTGTTCTACACTGTTGACTCATTTTGACCTTATAATCGATTAAACCCCACAGACCTTTTACTTTTCTTCAGTTTTTTTAAAGTAAATATTGCTCTTATGTAGGGACATCATAATCTTTAATTTTTACTATTTTTTTTCCCTACCTTGGTGCATTTCTGTATGCTTACCTTTATTGTTTGTTTGTTTGTTTGTTAACTGTGGCCCACCACTAAGCTGAGCCAAGTATTTTTGGCTCCTCTGAAATATCGAATGCATGTGGCTACAGCATGGAGAGTGCACTTGTCTGTAGCATGCAGCTACATGTTATCAACATAATTGATATCTGTGTTGATGATACCTTATTAAGGAGTGATGAAAGTCTCAAACAGTCAGAACAAGGTGAGGGGTCTCTGGCATACCTGTAGATAATCCTCTTCACATTAAATCTTAAAGAAATTAGAACAAAAAAATACAAAACACAATATATTTACAATTATACTTCCTTGGACAAACATTATTGACACTTCGTATTATATCTTTCCAAATGCATTCACGTGCATGAAAATCATATGCCTCTGTCCTTATAAGGTAGAGTCAATACCTAAATTTTAAATTCTTGCTAGAGATTGTGTCTTTGAAGTCATTCAAAAACCATCTTCTACCAAGACTGGTTATAAAGGAAGGATATTTTAAAGGACATTTATTTTATTCATTTTATTCTTGATTATTTTGGCAACAGGTGGCTGCATATTTTAGGCTGATTTCTTAGTTCTTCTATTGAATTTATGCTAGTGAGTTGCATTCTTATTCATTGAAGTACATAAAGTATTTATATGCACACGCTGCTCTTGCGTTGTTAGTCAGAATTTTTTTGAATGGCTATCCACTACATTAATCATCAAAATTTTATAGAAATAAATGAAAGAAAATCTTTATTTCTCTCATGCATCTGATTCATATGTTAATAATGCAAAATGTGAATTTTTTAACTAATTGACTTTTTACTGTTCTAGCCAAAAGGCTCAGTGCCAATTTTGTATCAATATTTTGTTATTTTAGAGCACCCTCTGACTTATATTTCTGTGTTTCTTCTGGTTAACTTTGCCTTCATCTAGTTAAATTTCCAGGCCTCTGATTTTATTTTTTATTTTATCACAACTCACTTCAAATTTGGTTATATAGCAGCAGGATATACCTAACAAAATAGTTTAAGGGAAACATGTAATAGTATAAAACTGGCTCCTGAATAAATACTGAGTGATTACTGGCTGAGAAATTCATACATCTCATCATCCTGACTTTGTTTGAATTTTTGCTGCACTAAGATTCACATATTTGATCTTTTCAGTTGTTCCTCACCCTCATTGTGAAAGATGAAGCCTGGAACACTGGGTATGCTCAAGAAATGTTGGTTCTCATTTCCCTTCTCTTATAGCAGAGGCTGTCCTGGACGCTCCTGAATTATCCTTTCCTTTAGATTATTATGAACAGGTTCTGAGGGATATTATATAATCTGTGATTTTGCATCTGATCTTGTGATTCTTTAATTTTTTAAGATTAGAAAGATATTCTTAAAGTCTAGTGATATCTCTTATAACATTAAGAAATATTCCAAACATTTCCCCTGCATTTCTCCTAGCAATTGGAACTTTTGATAATGAAGGAAATTCTGGAATAGACAAGAAAAATAGATTGCTAGGTAAAACTGTCTGAAGATTTTAGTGTCTATGCAGCTAAGCTCCTGGACATTACTTTTCAACTTCAACTTGGAGAGCTTAATTTCTCCTAATCATAGAATATTAAAAAGTTGTAGCTCTAGGAATAATACCATAGGATATATAAGGATATTATCTTAGGAAATAAGAATTCAGGAGACAGCATAGCAGAGAGAAAAAGGAACTAAAAAGAAAATTAGATGGCTTGAGCACTACTTACAGTGAGGGCCAAATGAATTTTTGGAAGAGGAGCAATTAGGTTTAAGTTGCAAGTAGTTTGGACTGTTGCAGTCCAACTCATCCCCCACTTTTATATTTTAATAGAGTCTTCTATTTATGCATAGACTTTGTGTATTTATGTATTTGTGAATCAAATAAAAGATCTAAATTCTATATTTAAGTTTCCTTGGTATAGAAAAAATTAGCCAGGCATGGTGGTGGACACCTGTAGTCCCAGCTACTCTGGAGGCTGAGGCAGGAGAATCGCTTGAACCCGGGAATGGGAGCTTGCAGTGAGCTGAGATCGTGCCACTGCACTCCAGCCTGGGCAACAGAGTTAGACTCCGTCTCAAAAAAAAAAAGAAAAGAAAAGGAAAAGAAAAGAAAAGAAAAGGGTCAGTTTTCATGGGATCTAAGTAATTCAAATCATAGTAATATCTGAAATAGGAGTGCTGGTGTCAGAAGTTATCACACTCACACTGTAAGTCTCTGGAGGTGAAATTTCCTAAAAACCAAGCACTGGAGATTCAATCCATTTTGTCAATGATATCTTTATATTTAAGGTGAATTGTGACCCAGATGATGTTTGGTTTGTACTGGGAAGTCATTTTAGATATTGAAAAATAAGTGTATTCCAGTAATCAAGAGTCACTCAGAAGTACTTAGGGAATACTCATTAGCTTCCTAATACTGATAGGATCCTTAATATTACTAAAGCTGCTTGCCCTTAAGGACCACAGAAAACAATTGGGGACAATATTAATTATTCACTAGAAGCAATTAAAGGATAATTAAGTGGTAAACTGTGGCTATACTTGAATGTTTTGTTCCCTTTAAATATTCATGTTGAAACTTAATCCCAAATGTAACAGTATTGGGAAGCATGGCCTTTGAGAGGTGATTGAGCCAGGAAGTCTCCTCTCTTATGAATGGGATTAGGTGCTCTTATAAAATAATTTGATGGACGGAGTTTGACATTATTTTTTCCCTTCTGCCTTCTGCCATCTGAAGACCTGGTGTTTCTTCCCTCTGGAAGATGCAGCATTTAAGCTTTCATCTTGGAAACAGATACCGGACCCTCAACAGATGGTAAACCAGATGGCGCCTTGATCTTGGACTTCTCACGCTCCAGAGCTGTAAGCAATAAATACTTGTTCTTTATATGTTACACAGTTTCTGGTGTTCTGTTATAGCAGCACAAAACAGACTAAGACTAATTGCGTTACATGATTGAAAGTGCAAGGGAAACCAGAAGTAATTTTGTTTATAACGTCTCTTACAAAGTTTGACTTCATTATCTATCTGTTGCCTCTAATATTTGGCCTAAGGTTTTAATTAGATGGCCAATGTGAGACTCTTTATATGTGAATATGTTTGTAACATCTCCTGCGTTTCACAGTCTTCGAATAGATGTTGAACTAGAGTAAAAGGGTTTGCAGGGCAGTGGAAAATAATAACACATTAAAAATGCAAACGTAAGTTGGACATGGTTTTGAATTTGAAAATCTGGCTGACTCAGAATCTTGTATAGTAGTTGTTTTTAAATAAATTGGAGATATTCAGCTTATGTTACCAACAACCTATGAATTTTATAACTGACAATCTCCAGCCTTACAGCAACACTTGAGAA